>NC_000001.11:115311410-115614441 GCF_000001405.40 Homo sapiens | reverse complement strand
GTGTCTGCCACAGAATCACTCCTTTGTTCATTCACCAGATGTTTATTGCGCATCTAGTAAGTGCCAGGTGCTGTTCTACATGCTGGGAAATGTTCAGCAGTAAACAAAGCAAATTCCCTGCCATCATGGCGTTCATGTTCTAGAGCAAAGTGATAGAAAATAAATAAGTAAGCCAACAAGTAAATATAAAATGTGTCAGATGGTGAATGGTTTGGAGAACAATAAAGCAAAGGGAAAGGGAGTGAGGGGAAGATGGGCCACTATTACAATGTTCTATGGGGCGTCAAGAAGACCTCTTCCATGAGATGAGGTTGGAGCGGAGCCTGAAGGAAGCAAGGGGGTGAGCCTTAGACATCTGGGGAGAGAGTTGCAGAAGAGGGAAGACTCACACAAAGGTCTTGAGTCTGTACCTTGCTTGGCAAGTTTGAGGAACAGCATGAAGGTCAGGGCAGTGGAGCAGAGTGAGTGAGTGGGGAGTGGTAGGAGATGAGGTGGAGGCTGAGGGTGGGAGGCAGCCCCAGAGGATGCTATGTGTCATGCAGGACTTGTAGGCCATGGTAAGAACCACAGCTTTTGCCTGACACGGGAGCCACAGAAGCATTATGAGAGGGGAGAGACCTGGTCCTCCTTCCACCCCAGGTGCTATGTGGGGTATTGACTGCAGGGAGCGGGGAGATGCAAGGAAGCGGGGAGAAGCAGGGAGCGGGAAGAAGCAAGAAAGCCATTTAGGAAGCGATTGCAATATAAGGAAAGGATGCTGTGGCCTCTGTCATAACAGATCAGGCTCCACATAGAAAGTGGAGCTGAAGGATATGCTGACGGCTAGAAAATGGTGTGTGAGAGAAAGACAAGGATGATTAAGTTGTTTGGCTTGAGAGGCTGGAAGGAGAGACTTGCCATTTACTGAAATAAGGAAGACTATGGGAGGAGCAAGTTTGGAGAGGAGAAGAGATTCGGGTTAGTTTTAGGCATGTGAGGTTTGATACCCAAGAGGAACAGTCAAGTAGACAGATGGATATGTAAGTCTGGCATGCAGGGGAGAGGTCTGGAAATAAAAAATAGACACAGTGAGGCAGGGCAGTATCTGGGGGACCGTTCATTCTTTTTCACATGTAGGTATGGTTTTAGGAGCGGGTAGAGAAGATCCTAGAAATGAAATGCCAGGCTCTAAATAGGCTCCAGCTTTTCACATCAGGCTCCACCCCTTCCTACTGTGCCCTTTTGCAGGTGATTCTCCTATTTTGAGTTCATTTTCCTGTCCACAGAGAAGGGGTTGGACAAGAAAACCTAAGGTCTGGCACACTATGGCTTTGTGGATATCTTATGAAGATTAGATACATTTAGAAGAAGTAGCGCCTCAAACTAGCAATTATTTGTGTGGGTTCATCTCTTAAGCATCTACCTAAGGAAGCAGGGGAAAGATCCTAAGGGTTAGAACTCACAAAGGCAAGCATTAAAGAGGAGGGGTGAGCGCACACCTGGAAGGACATGGGACATGCTCTTCAGAGTGGAGGGGAGAAGAAGGTGGGCTTTATAGAGCTGCCCAGGGCTGCTCTGAAAGTCAATATCCCAGCCTTGCCCTGTAGGGGCCTGGCTGTCCCAGCAACTCTAGAACCTGTTCATTTTGTAGCTCAAACCCAAAAGCTCCATCTTCCTAAGAGAATTCCCTGCCTTTCCTAAAGGGACTGTCTCCCTACCTGAAAGCCCATCACACCTTCAACTAGGGGCTGCTAGAGTGTCTTCGTCCATTTTTTGTTGCTTTTAACAGAACACTTGAAACTGGGTAATTTATAAAGAAAAGGAATTTATTTCTTACATTTCTGGAGGCTGGGAAGTCCAAGGGCATGACCTGGCATCTGATAAGGGACTCTTTAGAGTCTAGAGGTGGTGCAGAGTATTACATGGCAAGAGATCTCTCTTCTACTTTTTATAAAGCCGCCAGTCCCACTCCTATGATAACTCATTAATTCATTAACTCTTTAATCCATTAATCAGTGAATAGACTAATCCATTCATGAGAGCAGAGCCCTCATGACCCAGTCATCTCTCAAAATTCCCACCTTCCAATATGGTACATTGGTGATTGAGTTTGCAGTACATGGAATTTGGGGAACACACTCAAAGCATAATAGGGAGGGATTCAGTTATAGGGGAGTGTATTGTAGACAGTGGAGACTGAAGCCTAGACATCCGGACAGACCAGCAAGACAGCAGTAGGATGAGGTTGTTAACTGGGCCTGTGCAGGCTCATCCCTGGTGGCCAAGTTTTGGGTCCATGTAAGAATACATATTCTCAGCCTCCCAAAAGGCAGACGGGAAGGTGGAGGAACGAGGAAGAAATGGAGCCAGGAGGAGGGTATCAGTGACTGCACCTCAGATGAACAGGGAAGGGAGAAGTGAAGAATTTGTTGCTAACCTACATGATGTGCCAACATAATTTATGAGGTGTACGTGTTCATGCATGAGTTTCAACCATGGCTAACTGAAATGAAAGAGCTTTGTTCCCAAAAGATTCATTTATGACAATGTTACACTACCCTAGCCGTCCTTGGCTGACCATAAAAGGACTTGTTTTTGAACCAAGAGTCAAATTTTAGAAATAAAAAAGCCTGCCATGGAGGCTTGTTCATCTAAATGGGAAGAAGCACTCTAAAGGGGTGTGCTGGCATGGGATTTTCCTTTAGGTGTTTGGTGCACAAGAGAGGTTAGACACTACGAATTGGGGATGTGTAAACTTGCCAGCCCATGGCTATGAATGAGGCCTCATTAGCTTACATGATCACCCCATCTGGGTGCATCAGCACGGCATTGTAGAAACATGACATTGTAGAAAAAGTGAGCAATAAGACAGGTAGGCAAGTAATAGAGAGACAGGGCGCAGATACTGCATCTGTCACACCAGGCAGTAAAATTGCCATCTTTTTAACCTGCATCTTGGATTGGATCACTCTGCGGAGATTGCGATTTTTTTCCCTAGCTTAGGGGAGTGATTTATAACCCTGGATGGGTACACAAATAAGTATAGAGATAATGAAAAAGTGGATGTGGATTTCTTCTGAGTGGGCTGCATTATATGGGATTTGTAATAAGTTTCGAAATCGTTAAAATTTCATTGCTCTGCTTTGTATATGCTTTGTTTGCTTTCCTGTTTTCATAATGTTTGAAATGGGTAAGAGAATCTGATTTACCACATTACAAGATTGATTTATTAATTTGCAAAAATAGCGTAATTGCTGAGAATAATTTTGCTCGTTAAGTCTGCCACAACAGGGGTTTCATTTGCCTGGAAAAATCTGATATGTTAAATTTGTGGTTGTGGTTGTAGTTGTAAATGTCTAAGAAAATATGATTTTTTTTAAGAAGTGAAGTCAGTGTTTAAGAAGGATTTAAACCATTAAATTTAAGTTAGTTGAACACTGATCAAAGAGCCAGTATCAATGATTTTAAAATTATTTTTATTGATAAATCTGCAAATAGAACAAGAAAATTTGTAGGTTTAACTTAAGGGTTTAAGATAATCTAGGTTTTAAAATAAAAACTTTAATATATTGCATATTACCCTTTAAAAATGAACTAAAATTGGTATTTTCCAGGTACAAAAGCCTTTTTTCTCTGTATGAAAAAAAGAAAAGAAAAAAATTATAACTGCATCTTATTGGCCTTTTGTAGAGTTGCTCTAGGTCCTGCCCAACACTGGTTGTTATTGCTGTTATTAATTTCCGCCAACCATATGAGTCAAAAATGACATTTCTTTATTGCTTATTACATTGCTATGACTACAGTGAGGTTGAACAACTTTTCATTTTAAACTGGACATTTCCAGTCATCTCAGAATTTGTGCTGAAGCCTCAAAACTAAAAACAGTAGATGATAAATACTACCTCATTCTAAAGAGAGGCACTGGGCCCATCTTAGGGTTTGCTGAGGGGTGGCCGAGATGATCCAGATTCCCCACCCACCTCAGGACTGTAAAGAGAAAGTAGTGAGTCCTTGAGGAAGGAAGGAGACCCTAAAAGGGAACCAATAGGAGTAGAGAACACTAGAGTTTCTCCTCCTCTCGCCAATGTGGTGGGGTTCCCTTGCTCTCAAGTTAAATTTGAGCAGCCCAAAGAATGCCAATCTTAGACATAAGGGAAGTATTTTTCTGCAAAGAGAGGTGGCTGACATTTTGCTGCCCTGGCTGGCTGTTTACTGAGGGATGGAGAGGTAGGAAAGATTCCGTGCATGCCACTGGGAGACACAGGGCTCCACTGAAAATGAAGCTTTATAACCACTATCTCATTTTGGGATCCTCGTGTCAGTGGAGCAGCAGGCAAAGAAAGAAGTTGCAGTATTGGTAGGGGTGGTTGGCCCTAGCTACCGTGAAGAGATAGGGTTTCTGCTACACAATAGAAGTGCATCTGGAACCCAGGAATATCCTTTTTATGGCCCAGCAAGCACCCCTCAGAGATTAAGGTCTGAAGCACCACACCAGGCAGGCAAACTAGACCCATTGAGGTGCCAGCTGAGGAAAAGGGACATCTGGGGGTGGTGGGGGTGGGGGCAGGATGAATATAAGTTATAGCTTGGGCACCAGTTGCAGCAGTGCACATTCTAGTTTATTTGCTACATCTGTGTGTTAAGTCTGGCTGCTGAAGGCTCTGTAACAGCTTGGACATACTGTTAGGCAGGAATCTGAAACACAAAGGGTAGTTCGTTGGGCCAGGCATGGTGGCTCATGCCTGTATAATCCCAACACTTTGGAAGGCTGAGGCAGGAGGATCGCTTGAGGTCAAGAGTTCGAGACCAGCCTGGGCAACCCAGCCGAGACCCCATCTCTACCAATTTGTTTTTTAATTCACCAGGCATGGTGGTGGGCTCCTGTAGTCCTGGTTACTTGAGAGGCTGAGGCAGGAAGGAGGATGCCACAAGCCCAGGAGTTCGAGGTTACAATGAACCATGATCACGCCATTGTATTCCACCCTGGGTGACAAAATGAAACCCTGTCTCTCTCTCTCTCCTTTTTTTTTTTTTTTTTGGTTGTATTGGACACCTCTTGAGTCTGGCCTCACATCTTCTGAACTCACCCTTTTTATGCCAGTCATTGCTGAGGTGACCAGCCAGGCACAGGAATAAGCTGACCACATCTGGCTTCCACTGCATTGCATACGTCTAGTGTTGCATACCTAGCTTGCATACTCTTCCTGGAGTTTCTCTGGCACTGCCATGTGATATGCCTACAGCCTATGCAACCATTCTGAGGCATGTGTAAACCTGGAAGTATGAGGGAGTTAACCCCCATTAGGTAATCCTTGACTGTATCAATTGAGTCTTCCAGGAAGCAGATGCTGAGAGGGAGGTAGGAGTGCAAGTGGTTTATTTGGATATAACTCTCATGAAAGGTTAAAAGAAGGTGGGCTAGAGGGAGAGAAGCAGGACTGGGTAGGAAAATTCTTCAGACCACAATGCAGTTCAGACACCTGTGAAAGAAAACAGGCAAGGACACACACAGGGTTGGGCGGGGTGAGCCTCAAATGGTGAAGCAGATCTGTCACAGTCTTAACACGGAGCTTTGGAACAACGATTGCCCATGTTGAGCAGAAATGACAAAGCCCTGGGACCCCACCAAGCTCACCCATTAACTGGTGCTGCCGCAGAAGAGCATGGCTTTGGTTCAAAAGCTGCAGCATATCCTGAAGGCACTCAGCTGAAGGCTTTCAGATAAGCGCCCTTCTTGCAGTTAATTAAGTAGCAAGTTATTTCTTGAAAGGAGATGCAAGCAGTCCACCTCCATGGCTGCACATGAACCAATGGGGGAGGGAACCAGCGGATTAAATGCTCGTCTCTGTCCCTAGAGCAGACAATGCTGCATTCTCCATGGCTCTACAGAGGGTTCCCAGCAAGACTGAGCCCTAGTTGCCTACAACAATAATTAGCGCAATAATGCACACTTGGTTTGCTTTTTCCCTCCTTCTTTTCACCTTTCCTCTAGTCCTTCATGCCTATTCCTTGAGATCACTTCTCAAAATAAATTCTCTGCATGCAAGCCTTGTTCTCAAGCTGCTTTTGTGGGAACCCAGGCTGACAGCAGGCTTTACTGGATTTTCAAATTCAACAGTGCCCTCTTCTGATGATATAATGAAGTTCAGTTTCTTTAATGAATTGTGTGTGTGTGTGTGTGTGTGTGTGTGTGTGTGTGTGTGTGTGTGTGTGACACAGAGAGAGAAAGAGAAAGGGCATGCTAGTGATTCGTGATACTGTACCTGATGACACTTAATTCAGATATTTCTTCCTTCTTTTCTTTCACTACCAAGCCTTTAAGGGATGCCTCCTTCCAAGTTACCTCGCTCTCTCCCTGAAGTTTTTATGGCTCACACACTCTCTAAGGCTCTTTGTTTTGCTCAGATTTACTTAGTCTCAAATGTATTGTCAATATTTCTCTACTAGGATGGAAGGCTCTTCTTCTGATGCTGTACTCTGGGGACTGTTTTTATTTATTTATGTATGTATGTATGTATTTATTTATTTATTTTTATTTTTTGAGACGGAGTCTTGCTCTGTCACCCAGGCTGGAGTGCAATGGTACTATCTCAGCTCACTGCAACCTCCGCCTCCTGGGTTCAAGCAATTCTCTTGCCTCAGCCTCCTGAGTAGCTGGGATTACAGGAGCGCACCACCACACCCAGCTAATTTTTGTATTTTTAGTAGAGAGAGGGTTTCACCATGCTGGCCAGGCTGGTCTCGAACTCCTGACTTCGTGATCCGCCCACCTTGGCCTCCCAAAGTGCTGGGATTACAGGCATGAGCCACCGTGCCCAGCTTCTGGGGACAGTTATTTATTTTCTGCTACTGCTTGGATCTTGTTGCACTTTTCTTACACAAAATCCCTGCTTGATTCTCCACTCCAAAGGGGGCTCTAAAGCTGGGTCTGCTCCTTGCGGAGATTTATAGCCACATATATGTAAATTATCTTCCAATATAGATGTGGGTTAAGAGTAATCTTATTTGTTCTCCTCATTAATCTGCATAGTTTTTGGAGGATGTCTGTAGAGATCTTTCTTTAGGTGGCTGCAGTTCGCCAATGAGAATCAAAAGTCCCGATTTAACTTCTGTTCCAGTTTCCTATTTCTTTTTGAGTCAGTATTGAAGTTATAACCAGAAAATCATTATTTCCACATAGGTTTTCAAATGTATTGGCATAAGATTTACTTAAAATACTTGCTTACTATTTTTTAAATCTTTGCTACAGTTTTGTCCCTCTCTTCATTACTCATTTATTTGTTCCTTTTCTATTTTTCTTGATCATTCTATCACAGACTTTTCTAAAGTATTTATATTTATTATTAATTAATTAATTAATTGTTTTTTTTAACAGAGATGAAATCTTGCCATGCTGTGTGGCTGGAGTGCAGTGGCTATTCATAGGCACGATTTCTTTCTTTCTTTTTTTTTTTGAGATGGAGTCTCGCACTGTCGCCCAGGCTGGAGTGCAGTGGTGCGATCTTGGCTCACTGCAACCTCTGCCTTCTGGGTTCAAGGATTCTCCTGCCTCAGCCTCCAGAGTAGCTGGGATTACAGATGCCCACCACCACGCCTGGCCAGTTTTTTGTATTTTTAGTAGAGATGGGGTTTCACCATGTTTGTCAGGCTGGTCTTGAACTCCTGACCTCTTGATCCACCTGCCTTGGCCTCCCAAAGTGCTGGGATTACAGGTGTGAGCCATGGCGCCCAGCCTCTCACAGGCACAATTCCACTACTGATCAGCACGTGGGAGTTTGGATCTGCTCTATTTCCAACCTGGGCCAGTTCACACCTCTTTAGGCAACCAGGTGGTCCCCTGCTCCCTGGAGATCATCATACTGATGCTGAACTTAATGTGGACATCCTATCAGCCTGGCACACTACAACCCAGATCTCCTGGACTCAAGCGACCCTTCTGCCTCAGAGCCTCCTGAGTACCTGGGGCTATAGACGAGTACCAACGTGCCCGGCAGCATTTATAAATGAACAAACTTTTGGGCTTATTGACTTATGTCTTTGTTTTTCATTTCACTAACTCCTTTTAACTTTGTTATTTCTTTCCTTTTATTTTCTTTGGATTTATTTTATTATTCCTTCTCTAACTTCCTAATTGGATAGTTAACTCATCAATTTTTACCTTTTCTTCTTTTCTAATCTAGATATTTTAAGCATAAAGTTTCCTCTTAGATAGTTCTAGCTACATTTCAAATGTTTTTATATGTGGCATGTTCACCATCATTCACTTTTAAGTTGTCTTAGCCCAGGTCCTTTAGAAGGCAGAGCTTGACACAATAATTAAGATGTTCACATGTTTGGAAAGCATAAGCACAGGGCAGTGAAAGTGAGAGAAAAGAGATGAGGCAAGGTAGCATTTGATGCAATACGATGCAGTGCCCAATTGTGCCACATACTACTTCACCATGAGCCATGAACAGGCAATTGTTACCCAGCAGCTGTGTTCACTCAGTGGGTTAAATTTCCCTAGAAAGGTTGCAATGAGGGACCTCACCTCAGACGTAACTGTAGGAGAGTGAAAGAAGGAGAAATTTATTTTCCCAGCTGCCTTTTTCATCTCCCACTTCCCATTAGTCAACATTCATACCCAATTCATACTCAATACCCTACATTTCCAGGATATAGGGACTTCATTGGTTGCTCAGAAAGCCAGATCCCATACTCCACAATGAGGGGTTTCATTGAAGTCCAAAGTGTAGAGGCAACCTGGTGTGGTGGACCACTGACCAAGAGACAAAGGGGAGGTAGTTGAGAGACTGAGAAGGCACACAAGGTTTGTTTCCCAAAACCTAAGTAATATCTAATTTCCAGTGTGATTAATTTTATAACCCATAAATTATTTAAAAATATGTTTCTAAGTGTTTAAATATATGGATGTTTAAGGCCAGCATTTACAAAAATTGGTTTTATGTGTGTTTGACGGAAATGTGTATTCCCTAGTTGTTGGATGCGAAATTTCATATATGTCCATTAGATAATTGTGTTGTTCAAATCGTCAATATCTTTACTGATTTTCTGTCAGGACTGATCCATTAGTTACTGAGAAAGTGTGATAAAATCCATCACGATGGAATAATATATTTCTCTCTGTACGTCTGTCAATTTTGCTTTTTATAGATCAGGGACATTAGGTGCATATAAGTTTAGAATGCTACTTTTTCTGGTAAGTAAATCTTTTTATGGGTGATTTCTTTAATTCTAATAATGCTATTTGCCTCAAAGTCTATTTTGCTGATTTTAATATATAACTGCACTACTTTCAAAGGTAACATTTGCCTGACATATATTTTTCCCATTTTTTCATCCTTTTGCATTTGCATTCAGTCTCTTTGTATCCTTAGTTTTGTTTTGTTTTTTTTTTTTTGAGACAGAATCTCTCTCTGTCACCCAGGTTGGAGTGCAGTGGTATGATCTTGGCTCACTGCAACCTCCTGGATTCTCATGCCTCAGCCTTCCAAGTAGTGGGAATTACAGGTGTACGCCACTGTGCCCGGCTAATTTTTGTATTTTTAGTAGAGATGGGATTTCACCAATGTTGGCCAGGCTGGTCTCAAACTTCAGACCTCAAGTGATCCACCCGCCTCGGCCTCCCAAAGTACTGGGATTACAGGTGTGAGCCACTGCGCCAAGCCTGTATCCTTAGTTTTCAGCAGTGTCTCTTAACACATAGATGAATTTCTAAAAATCTAGTCTGACAGTCTTTATTTTTTAGCTAGAGCTTTTAAGACATTCATATTTATTATTATAACTGACATATGATTTTCTAACATCTTTTTTATAAATTCTATTTCTCTCACTTAAATTATTTTCTTCTTTCCTGTCTTCTTTTGAATTAAATACATTTTCATATTACATTTTTCTACTTCACTAGTTTAGAAGCTTTTCACTCTTTTTCTCACATTATAGTAATCTAGAAATGCTAACATGCATACTAATCAGTTAATCAATCTTCTTACTATCCTCTGAAAAAATAAGAGAAGCTCAGAACTCTAACGGTGACCATCCCCTTGCAACCTATGTGCTATTGTTGTCATGCTATTGTCATTCTTTTTCTAAATTTCATGAGGCATTACTATGTACTACGTAGATTTACTCACATCTTTATTGTTTTATTTTCTCATTCTTTCTCACACCTCAGATATTTCCCTTAGAATGGTTTTTCTTCTTTTTAAAGAATACTCTTAGGAATACCTTTTAATGATGGTCCTTTGTGATCAACTCTTTCAGATTTTGTTTGCCTAAAAATGAATTTATTTCATCCTTGTATTTGGAAAGTATTTTGTTATATAATTTTAGTTGTTTTTCTCTTAGCAAATTAAAGATATTCTTCCACTATATTTTTGTCTTGCATCCTTGTCTTTGATCAGATAATCATCTGTTCAGTTGTGAATTTCTGTGTCATCCTTATATGGATTTCTTTTTATTTAATTAGTTTATTTAATAAATACTTAGAGTTTTTTACTAGATGCCATACATTTCCAACCACCGCGCAAATATTAACTTATTTAAATCTCAAAACAACCTAATGAGGTAAGTATTATTAAGTTTCTGCGTATGAGGAAACTGAGGCCTAGAGACATTAGGAAACTTTCTCAACATTACATACCTAGTAAGTGATAGAGCCATGATTTCAACCAAGGCAGTCTGGACATAGAGTTTTCTTTATCAATTTAGAAATATTCAGGTTGTTTAACTTCTTGAGTGGGCTTTGGTAATTTGCATTTGTCAAGACATTGATTCATTTTATTTAAGTTTTATGTAATGTATTGTCATAAAGTTTTTTGTAGTATTCTTTTATTATCCTTTAAAATGTATGTAGAATGCACAGTGATTCTACTCTTTCATTCCTGTAATTGGTAATTGGTGTCTTCGGCTCTTTATTGACTTTCTTTGCTTGTTTTCAGTTTAATTTGGTCTTCTTTTCCTAATTTTTTTGGAGTTAAGACTACTGATTTGAAAACTTTCTTATTTTCTAATATAATTAAAGTTTGAACGCAATAAATCTCCCTCTGTGCACTATGTTAATTTTAGTATGTGGTAATTTCATTTTCACTGAGTTTAAAATATTTTCTAGTTTCTCTTTTTTTTATTTTATTATTATTATACTTTAAGTTTTAGGGTACATGTGCACAATGTGCAGGTTAGTTACATATGTGTACATGTGCACAATGTGCAGGTTAGTTACATATGTATACATGTGCCATGCTGGTGTGCTGCACCCATTAACTCGTCATTTAGTATTAGGTATATCTCCTAAAGCTATCCCTCCCCCCTCCCCCCACCCCACAACAGTCCCCAGAGTGTGATGTTCCCCTTCCTGTGTACACGTGTTCTCATTGTTCAATTCCCACCTATGAGTGAGAATATGCAGTGTTTGGTTTTTTGTTCTTGTGATAGTTTACTGAGAATGATGATTTCCAATTTCATCCATGTCCCTACAAAGGACATGAACTCATCATTTTTTATGGCTGCATAGTATTCCATGGTGTATATGTGCCACATTTTCTTAATCCAGTCTATCATTGTTGGACATTTGGGTTGGTTCCAAGTCTTTGCTATTGTGAATAGAGCCGCAATAAACATACGTGTGCATGTGTCTTTATAGCAGCATGACTTCAAACTATACTACAAGGCTACAGTAACCAAAACAGCATGGTACTGGTACCAAAACAGAGATATAGATCAATGGAACAGAACAGAGCCCTCAGAAATAACGCCGCATATCTACAACTATCTGATCTTTGACAAACCTGAGAAAAACAAGCAATGGGGAAAGGATTCCCTATTTAATAAATGGTGCTGGGAAAACTGGCTAGCCATATGTAGAAAGCTGAAACTGGATCCCTTCCTTACACCTTATACAAAAATTAATTCAAGATGGATTAAAGACTTAACGTTAGACCTAAAACCATAAAAACCCTAGAAGAAAACCTAGGCATTACCATTCAGGACATAGGCATGGGCAAGGACTTCATGTCTAAAACACCAAAAGCAATGGCAACAAAAGCCAAAATTGACAAATGGGATCTAATTAAACTAAAGAGCTTCTGCACAGCAAAAGAAACTACCGTCAGAGTGAACAGGCAACCTACAAAATGGGAGAAAATTTTCGCAACCTACTCATCCGACAAAGGGCTAATATCCAGAATCTACAATGAACTCAAACAAATTTACAAGAAAAAAACAAACAACCCCATCAAAAAGTGGGCAAAGGACATGAACAGACACTTCTCAAAAGAAGACATTTATGCAGCCAAAAAACACATGAAAAAATGCTCACCATCACTGGCTATCAGAGAAATGCAAATCAAAACCACAATGAGATACCATCTCACACCAGTTAGAATGGCAATCATTAAAAAGTCAGGAAGCAACAGGTGCTGGAGAGGATGTGGAGAAATAGGAACACTTTTACACTGTTGGTGGGACTGTAAACTAATTCAACCATTGTGGAAGTCAGTGTGGCGATTCCTCAGGGATCTAGAACTAGAAATACCATTTGACCCAGCCATCCCATTACTGGGTATATACCCAAAGGACTCTAGTTTCTCTTATGACTTGCTGTTTGATGCATGAGTTATTTCAATTTTTTGGTTTAATTTACAAATAATTTGAGATTTTCCCAGTATCTTTCTGTTGTTGATTTCTAGTTTAACTCCACTGTTGTCAGAAAACATACTTTGCAAAATTCCACTTCTTTTGATTTACTAAGTAAGGTATGTTTTATGGTTTAGAATATGGTCTATCTTGGTGAAAATTTCATGTGTACTTGAAAATAATGTATATTATGCTGTTGTCTTTTGTGGGGCATTCTATCAATGTCAGTTAGGTAAAGTTGTTTCAATAGCATTGTTCAGGTCTTTCTTTCTTTCTTTCTTCCTTTTTTTTTTTTTTCCTTGAGACAGAGTTTCACTCTTGTTGTCCAGGCTAGAGTGCAATGACAGGTTCTCAGCTCACTGCAACCACCACCTCCCAGGTTCAAGTGATCCTCCTCCCTCAGCCTCCCGAGTAGCTGGGATTACAGGCACCCGCCACCACACCTAGCTAATTTTTGTATTTTTAGTAGAGACAGGGTTTCACCATGTTGACCAGGCTGGTCTCGAACTCCTGACCTCAGGTAATCCGCCCCCCTCAACCTCCCAAAGTGTTGGGATTACAGGCATGAGCCACTGCTCCCAGCTTCTTCAGGTTTTCTGTACCATTGCTGATTTTCTATTTGTTTTATCATTACTGAGAGGTTAATGTTGAAATCTGCAACTGTAATTGTGGGTTTGTTGATTTATCTTTTCACTTCTGTCAGTTTTTGCCTCCTATATTTTGAAGATCTGTTATTAGGTGCATACACATTTAAGATTGTTATATATTTTTGGTGAATTAATAACCTGTTAATCATTATGTGATCACCCTCTTCATCCCTGGTATTATTCTTTGTTCTGAAGTTTACTTTGTCTGACATTAATATAGCCACTTTCATTAGTGTTTGCATGATATATTTCTTCTATCCCTTGACCTTTAATCTGTCTATGCTTTTATATTTAAAGTGATTTTCTTGTAGACAACATTAATTGGGTCTTGCTTTTTTTTTGAGACAAGGTCTTACTCTGTCACCCAGGCTCAAGTGCGGTGGCATGATCTCAGCTCACTGTAGCCTCTGCTTCCCAAGCTTAAGCAATCCTCCCATCTCAGCCTCCTGAGTACCTGGGACTACAGGTGTGCACCATCATCCTCTGCTAATTTTTAAATTTTTCAAAGAAACAAGGTCTCACTATGTGGCTGAGGCTGGTCTCAAACTCCTGGGCTCAAATGATCCTCTCACCTTGGCCTCCCAAAATGCTGGGATTACAGGCATGAGCCACTGCACTAGGCCTGGATCTTGATTTTAAAATTTAATCTGGAAAATTTTGATCTTTAAGTAGATATATTTAGGCCAGGCATGGTGGGTTATGCCTGTAATCCCAGCACTTTGGGAGGCCAAAATGAGAGAATGGCTTGAGGCTAGGAGTTTGAGACCAGTCTGGTCAACATAGCGAGACCTCATCTCTATTTTAAAACAAACAAACAAACAAACAAACAAACAAACAAATAGAAGTATTTAGACTATGTATATGTAATGTAATATTTTATCTGACTTATTTTTTATTATTTTAAATTTATCCCTAATGATTTGTTTTTGTCTCCTTTTATAGTCTACATAGAGTTAATATTTTACTACTTTAAGTAAAATGTAGAAGTCTTACAACCATATAAATCCCTTAACTCCCATTAAAAAATAATTTTCATATATATCTCATCCATGTATATTGGAAACCCAACCAATGTTATAATTTTTGCTTTAAACATTCATACTTATGTTAAAGAAATTAAGAGAAGAAAAGTAATCTATTGTATTTACCCATATTTTACTTTTTTCTTAGTTCTTCATTCCTAAAGTTCCAAAGTTTGCTCTGGTGTCATTAGTCTTTAGACCAAATAACTTCTTCTAGCATTTACTTTAGAGCAGGTTGACTTATGACAAATTCTTAGTTTTCCTTTACCTGATAATGACTATATTTTGCTATCATTTCTCAAAGATATTTTCCTCAATATAGAATTCTGGATTGTCATTTCAAAAAATCACTTTAAAGATGTGCCTTCTGGTCTCCAAGGTTTTTTGATGAAAACTCCATAGTCATTTGAATCATTCTTCTATATATAATGTGGTGTTTTCAAGATTTTTTCCTTTATCTTTGGTTTTCAGCAGCTTGTGATGTGTATAGATATAGTTTTCTTAGAGTTTATCCAGTTTAAGCTTTGTCTTTCATCAAATTTGTGAAGTTTTTGCCACACACATACACACACACATATACTCTACCCTCCCCTATCTTGTTTTCCTCTCTTTCTGCGACTCGCCACTCTGTTAGAACTTCCATGTCATTGGCTCACAGGTACTTGGGGCTCCATTCACTTTATAATATCTTTTCTTCTCTGTTTTTTCTTTTCTTTTTTGTTTTTGAGATGGGGTCTCCCTCTGTGACCCAGGCTGGAGTGCAGTAGCACAATCACAGCTTGCTGCAGCCTTGACCTCCTGGGATCAATCAAACCTCAGGCCTCAGACCCTGATTAACTGGGATTGCAGGCATGTGCCACCACAACCAGCTAATTTTTCTATTTTTTTGTAGAGAAAGGGTCTCAATTTGTTCCCTAGGCTGGTCTCAAACTTTAGTGATTAAGCAGTCCTCCTGCCTCAGCCTCCCAAAATGCTGGGATTACAGGCATGAGCCACAGTACCTGGCCTCTCTCTTTTCTTAAGATTGGATAATTTGTTTACTCATTCTTTCTTCTGACATCTCATTTTCCTATTACACCCATCCAGTGAATTTTTCTATTTTGGATATTGCTTTTGTTAATTCTAAAACAGTAGAACTGAGTAGTTGTGACTGAAGCCATATGGTTTGCAAAGCCTAAAATATTTACCATGTGCCTTTTTATAGGAAAACGTTGCCAATTCCTGCTCTAGGAGATGGGAAACTATTGAGGTGTTTTAAACAGTGAACCAACAAATATATCCCTTTGGCTAGTGTATCAAGCATGGATTTAAGAAGGGGCAAGAGAGAATCAGTAAAACCAGTTAGGAGGCAATCGAAATATCTATGAAATAATGGAGAAAGGCCTGAACTCAAATAGTAGGCGGGATAGAGAGGAGAAGACAGAGTTCTGTGAGGCAAAATCAGCATAAATCACTGAATAGCTATGGGGAAGTAAGGAAGAAGACAGACTCAAGGATAATTCCCTGCTTTCTAGTTTGGTGACTGGGAATATGATGGTTCCTAAAACAGCTAAATGAAAGCAAAAAAGTTATGATTGTTAATTTTATGTGTCAACCTGACTGCACCATGGGTTGCCCAGACAATTGGTCAAACATTACTGTCAGTACCAAAATCTGCATTTGTCAGAGTTCTGTGGGAGATTGTTTCTTTGTTTATTTATTATAGGAAATTAGCTCATGCAATTATGAAGACTGACAAATTCTAAGATCTGCAGTGAGCAAGCTGGAACTCAGGAGAGCTGATGGTGTAGTTCTAGTCCAAAGGCTGGCAGGCTTGAGACCCAGGAAGAGCCAATGTTTGAGTTAGAGTTTGAAGGTAGAAAACAAAAAAACAAAAACAGTGTTTCAGTACAAAAGCAGTCAGGCAGGAAGAAGTGGGGCAGTGGGTGCACGCTCATGGAACTCAATGGTCTCACCATGTTTTCTACCATCCTTAATCAGCTGGCTTGATAGAACAGTGGAATGGCCTTTTGAAGATTCAGTTGCAGTGCCAGCTAGGTGGCAATACCTTTCAGGGTTAGGGCAAGGTTTTCCACAAAGCTATATATGCTCTGAATCAGCATCTAGTACATGGTGCTCTTTTTCTCATAGCCAGGATTTATAGGTTCAGGAATCAAGGGATGAAAATGGGAGTGACACTACTCAGTACTACCCTTAATGACCCACTAGCAAAATGTTTGCTTCCTGTTCCTATGGCCTTATGCTCAGGTGGCTAAGAGATGTTTGTTCCAAAGGGAGGAATGCTTCACCAAGAGACACAACAATGGTTCTATTGAACTGGAAGTTAAGAATGACACTCAGACACGTTGCGCTCCTCCAAGTCAACAGCCCAAGAAGGAAGTTACAGTGTCAGCTGGGATGATCAATCTGGACACCAAGGGGAAATTGGACTACTGCTCCACAGTGAAGGTAAAGAGGAGTATTCTGGAATATAGTAGATCCCTTAGGATATCTCTTAGTATTATCATGCTCTGTGATGAAGGTCAATGGAAAAGCAAAACAACGCAATTCAGACAAGATTATTAATGGCTCAAACCCTTCAGACAAAAGGTTTATATCACCCCACCAGGTAAAGAACCACAAACAGCTGAGGTGCTTGCTGAAGATAAGGGAAATATGTAATGGGTAGTGGAAGAAGGTAACAAGATATGTATACGTGTGCATATGCGTGTGTGTGTGTGTGTGTGTGTGTGTGTGTGTGTTGAATATCTTTGTTTTCCTCCTCTTTTCCCCTTATCATGTAACATAAGATGTATTAACTTTATGTCATAGTATTTAAGTATTGCTAATTTTATATGATAGTATTTAAGTTTTGGTATGTCACAGAGAAGAGTGAACATAGCTCAAAGACATTGCTTCTTCCTCTGTGGAAGGGTTTATTGTGTTTTCTGTTGTACAAAGGACAGTTGTATCAGTGTAGGTGAAATTATGACCATGTTACCATCTTTGTTTGGAGATTAGCATGGTTCAAGTACATGCATATGCATGCCAAGTTGAGAAGGAGTAGACTTGTGCTGGTTAATTTTTTGTGTCAGCTTGACTTGGCCATGGGGTCAAGTTGGTCAAACATTATCTCTGGGACTGTCTGTGAAGGTGTTTTTGGAAGAGATTAACATTTGAATCAGTAGACTGAATAAAGCAAATTGCGCTCCCTAATTGTGAGTGGCCTTCATCCAATGAGTTGAAGGCCTGATTAGTACAAAATGTCTGCCCCTCCTTTAAGAGGGAAATCCTCCTGCCTGACTGCCTTGAGCCAGGACACAAACTTTCCCTGCCTTTATATTTGCACTGAAATATCAGTTCTTCTTGGGTCTCAAGCCTTCTGGCTTTTGGATGAGAACTCAACCATCAGCTCTCCTGGGTCTCCATCTTGTTGACTGCAGATCCTGGGACCCCTCAGCCTCCATCATTACATGAGCCCATTCTTTCTAATAAATCTCTTTCCAAATATATGTACATCCTGTTTGTCTGGAGAACCCTGACTAATACAAGGGTTATTTGGCGGTTTGGGATGATGTAAAGAGATTAAAAATTCAGAGCTGGCCATGATAATTCTGTGCGTCTGTTCTGGAGACAGAAAGCAACCAGTCAAAAAATAGCAGCTGAAACTCAAGAGACTTTGCCTAAAGATACAGATTTAGGAGTGTTCAGTACAGTTCTCAAAACTCAGTGAGTGCACATAATGATCTGTGCAAAGCAGACACTTAAGAGGCATGGTCCTTCAAGAGACTGGTTCTCAAAATGTAGTCCAGAGACTTGCCTTACAAATTCCTGAGATACTAGTTAGGAAAACACATTATTAGATTCCTCCCCAGACAAACTAAGTTAAAACCTCAGGGTCTGGAGCCCAGGAATTTTTGTGGGGGATCTCACCATGTCACCCAGGGTGGTCTTGAACTCCTGGGTTCAAACGATCCTCCTGTTTCGGCCTCCCAAAGTACTGAGATTACAGCCATGAGTCACTGCGCCCGGCCAGGAGTCCTCATTTTTGACAAGCATCCTAGGTGACCGTCACACACACCAAAGCCTGAGGAAGTGTGCACTGCAAGAAGGCAAACTGCTTTCCTGAGAGAGCTGTCTGACAGGGTGCAGGAGGGCCTCGATCACTAGGTGGCGCCAGACGCACATTTACAGTAATTTTCCAGTGCTGTGGCTTCCTCAGCCAGCATAGAAAAGGAAGCCTCATGGGGCTCCTGGGATTTCTGCCAGCACCTCCTCAAGGGGAGTGAAATACAGAGCTAGCAGGCTGACTAAACTGTAGTCACTGGCACTATCAGTCACCCCCACAATGGTCTGCCTGGAAGAGGCTCCAGTTATTGGCAGAGCGTAAATAAGGAGAATTCTCTGCAAAGCCACCCATTTTGAGCCACAGTGATCCAGCAGGCAGTCTTGGGAAGTAATGGTGTGGATTTCCCAAGACCGAGTCAGGGGCAGAGCTGTAAGAGGCCAGGGGTCCCCCCACATCCCAGACCACCACCGTTCCCAGTCAGGGTATCTTCAGAGAGGACAGAAGCAATCCCTTCTTCTGTCCTAGGAGACCTGATGGTGCTGCAATGGTGCCTAACACTGGCTCTGCCTGCCGCCTGTCTCCAGGCTCAAACAGTCTCCCAGCCTCTCACAGAACTAGAAGCTGACCCTTCCTCCACCCGCTGCTTTCCCCCTTGGCCCCCAGCGCCTCACACTTGAGCTGTTTCCACAGCAACGACTTGCATGCACCTCCGAGTCTCCATGACCTCCTACCAATCTGCACATATCCATGCTGGAGCTTCAAGCACTACTGTTGAGAAGTCGCACCCCTTGCCTGGCATTGAGGACCTGCATCTTCTGGCCCTTTGGTATCAGACTATTGGAGCTCCTTAGGCAGAGAAGTGCTGATGGAGGGGGACTGGGGAGTGAAGAGGAAGACCTGGGGGCCACTGGGCCTCTGGACAAGCACAAAGGCTTCTACTGGATTCTCTGGACCAGAGATAGCCACAGGGTCTGAGAGGAAGCAAGTCAGCTCTGTGCCTGGTTAGACTGGCGAGCCCACCCAGCTGCCCCCAACCCATCCGCCTAACACAAAGCCCAAGGGGCATCACTTCTGCTTTTCTCGACACAGAGATTCTCTAGGCCCTGAGACAATCCTTATGGTTATTCTGGCTACCCTCTCTTTCCTCAGGTCCCTATGCCTCAGTCTTGCTCTTCCCATATTCAGGGCCCCAGAAAGCAACCCATAGTCCAGGTAGGGACAGCAGCACTCCTGGGGCCCAGGGCAGGGTGTGGGAATCCATCCTGCAATAACGGGACTTGGTTGCGTTCCCAGAGTCAAGGAAACGACCACTTACAAACTAACAGGAGACAGGCCTGGAGTGGTTCCAAGGCTGGGGAAGGCTGTGGAAGGAAGGACTGGGGTCCTTGAGTCCTCACACCCAGATCCAGGGGCACCCACCTTGTATTGCTACAGCCAGTTCCCTTCTTCTCACATTCACAGCCTGCTCTCCTCAGACATACCACATGTTCCCTCATGTCCATCGCCACCTGGAGGGCCACATCAGACAGCCAGGTGTGCAGGCGCAGGGCTAGGAGGGCCCGAGTCTCCCCTGCCCAGAAAGCCTGAAATGTGAGCCCTATACTTTCTCCCAATGTGATTATACAGTTATACATTTTTTGTCAAAAACATTAATTAATAATTTATAAATTGCCCTTTTTATGATCCCGTTATAGCTTTTATCCATTTCTTTAAAATGTAGCAGAAGCTTCAACAGACAGAAGAGAACTGGGCCATTCTCAAATCGTGAAAGGCCCTGCTGTAGAGGATCCCAAAGAATCCAACATGGAGCAGGTGCTTGGGTAGAAGAGTCTTAGCTTGTAGCTCCTCCTCTCCCCTCCCCTCCTCTCCTCGCTAAGGAAACCTTTTGGGTTAAGAGAAACCCACACAATAAATTCTGGTCTGGCCTGGACTTGGAGCAGCCCAGCTTTCCCTTCACTTTCTCTAGGTGGGTGGGCCAGCTCTTCTCTGACACACAAGGAGGCTGTGGTCCACCCAAGAGGGGCCAGGTCTCACAGCCCAGCTTTCCTGGGCTCAGCAGCAGCTGCCCCGCCAAAATCCACACACAGAAAGCACTGGGGTCACTGCAGAGCCTTCTCCAGGAATAAACTCCTAGGCTGGGCTCAGTCACCTGGGGCACCCAGGTCCTCAGGGTCCCCAAAACACATACACCTAGCTGGGGAAAAATCACAAATCATGGGCCCTGACTTCTGGAGGTAAAAGCTTGGCAAGTAGAAGCAGTCACTGGGGATTCAAAATGTGTCAAAGGGCAGCAACCAGGTCAGGCAGCTCTTTCACTTACTAACATCATAGGCCCTGGGGATCCCAGGGAGGAAGTGATGATAATAATATAATAGCTACCATTTACTTTGTGCCAGTAACAGAGCTAAATGTTTTACAGACATTATCTACTTAAATCCTAACAACCAAACTAGAATTTGGATACTGTTTTTCTCACTCCATAGATAAGGAAAATTGAGGGCTAAGAGAGATTAGGTAAACTTGCTGGCTCACCCCAGAGAAAGGGATGGAGGATTCCAGCCCAGATCTGCCTCCCAAGCTTGTAGCACTAGGGTTTCATAACCTTATTTTTGGGAGAAGTGGGACAATCTCTCTGCCAGCAAGCAGATCGTGAGTGGGTCAATGCTACGAGGCTAAGAGGTGTAGCATTGTCAAGAGCCTAAACTTGACCTACCTTATTCCTGGTTTGAAAATCTGATCCCTCTTGAAATCTCAATTCAAATGCTATCTCTTCTCTTAGCACAAGCCATCTCTTCATTAATTCATTCATCTATCACTTAGCCATTCATTCATTACTTGGTCATTCATTCAGTCATCCTATTTTCAGCTCCTGTGTTGTGTCATGTGCTGCTCTTTGCCTTCAGCCTCTCAAGATAACTAAAAACATGCAAGTGCATTGAGAATCTCAGAGGGAGAGGTCTTCTGGATAGAGAAGGAATGAGGGAAGGCTTCCCCGAGGAGGCATTTGAGCTGGGTCTGGAAGGATGTTTTGGTTTGGTGTGGAAATCCTTCTGATGGAGAGGTTTAAGTAGAGATTTTAGGCAGAGGAAACAGCATACTACTGTTGCAGAACTTTCTCCTTAGTTCAGCTAAAACTGGGCTCTTGTCACATGACCAGGAAAGATTAGGCTTGCGAACACAACAGAAGGGTGAGGAAAATGGAATTTATAGGGCAAAAAGGAAAAAGAAAAAATAACTCTCAGCAAAGTGACAGAGTTCTGCTAGCACGTTTCCCGTCTCATAGATTGAGTCCTTGGTCACCACACAGGAACAGGAAAGGCCAGGCTCCTCCCCACTGCAAATGGCACAAATTTCCTGAGGTTGCACCCCATCCTCCTACTGCACAGGTGGGCATTATTCAGAAAGAATAAACTGGGAAAGGGCGAGCTTCATCCAGAACTGGCAGTCTGGTTTTTCAGCCTTCAGGCTATTTTAGGCTTGAAGGCGGGGTTTGCTGGGGAGTGCAGGGAACCCTTGGCTGCCTCCTGTCTCTATCATTACCCCTTCTAAAGAAGCACCTTTAACTGCTGTTAGAATAAGGATAAGGATAAGCATGAAGATTGATCTTAACTCCTTCCTGCTGACAGGGGGTGCTGTTTTGGGAAAACAGCAGTCAGATCTCCCTCAGAGGCCTATCTAAGGGTCCCTGGCAGAAGAGGCCATCATCCAAGGCTCTGGTTGCATGACTGTTTGGAGTTTGATGGCCTGAAGGTGAGAAGAGACAAACTGGGTTATTAGAAGACATGTATCAAAATGAAACAAAAGGGGTGCTGGTTAAGGAGAGCTAAAAAATTCCAGGGCCTTTTACCAGTTTGTACAGGGATGGGAAGGGGGCAAAAACTTGACTGGAAAAAAAATTTACCTTTTTTCTGGCATGTCAGGTTTCTGGGTTCCCTTCCCCTAGCCCAATTCTAACCAGTTTAAGGTTTGGGAAATTAACTTTTCCTACTTTGGAGGATGCATCCAAAGGAGTGTCCCATAGTATGGAGACACAGTTACTTATCAGTGAAGAGAGGGAAGAGGAGAAAGGAAAAAAGAAGAATTTTTTTTTCAAAGGAGTCCCAGGGGTTCAGGATGCATTCAAAAGGGGTACAGACTGAAGATGAACGGCTATTCATCTAGAAGAATGGGGAGCAAGGCATCCCTGGCTCCCTTCTCTTCCTAATGAATACCTGGGGTACATGAGGGAGGGAAAATGAGGCATTCCTCTTTCTTTTCACCATCCTTTTATCACCAAGTCCCAGTGACCGTGACAGGGTGCTGCCCATGGGTGTCAAAGTGGCTTTCACCCATGTTAACAGAGGGGCCTAAGGGGTGGGAGTATCTGCTCTTACCCACGTACACTGAATCTCTCCTGTTGTCAGTAGCCTTTGAATTCCCTAGATTTCATTTATGCAATGGACACTAGTGTGACCTTTATCCATGAAATGGGAAGCTTGGCTTAATTGGCAGGAATCAGTCACACTTACCTGTACTCTGCCTTTTAACCTCCATTATTGTCTGCCTCTGGATCCCTCAGATCCAATTTTCATTTCTAGGGCTTTGACCAAAAGCTTGGAATTGAGTTCAGTACAAAAATGTGTCTTGTGGTGGGGAGATGGGAGGGTTGTATGGACTCCTTATCATATGCTGAATGCTAAGGTGAAGCTGTGGAATTGTGTCCTCCTCCAACAAGA
This sequence comes from Homo sapiens, assembly GCF_000001405.40. NCBI lineage: Eukaryota > Metazoa > Chordata > Mammalia > Primates > Hominidae > Homo > Homo sapiens. The sequence continues at coordinate 115,591,397 of NC_000001.11, read as the reverse complement.
AAGAGAAAAGGATGTTTTGTGACATGCCCAGATAACTGGTGGCTGTAGTTATGCTTGCTAAGATTTGGGTGCATGGGGCCTGACTTTGGTCAGCACCCTTGGTCTTACTTTCCCAAAAAGGAAACCTCCGGGTGATGGGCACCCTATTTATTCACATCATCTGGCAGGATTAGCAGGATGATTACTCAGAACTAGAATATTGATCCAGATTTTTATATCATCCATCCCTTTTGTTCTTTCTGAGCTGCAGCCAGAAATTGCTAGTTGGTTCACAGGAAGAAGCAGAGTTAGTCTAAAGTGTAGGCCAAAACTTAAAAAACAGCTAATGAGTCTAGAATCTAATGACAAATGTATGATAAGTTTTGAAATATAATTTCTTTCTCTCCAGTCCTCATTTTTGTTACAAAAACAAATCATGATAGGACTGACTTCTTTGCAAAATAGAAGTTAGTCTTACACTTGGCCTGATTATTTGTATAAAGTGCAGCAATAATAATTATTTCTACATAAGGATTTTAGATTGGCTTTGATGAAACTCTGTTCCACAAGGAATCTCAGATAAGACCTTTTAAAGCCAAGCCCAGCCATTGGTTTTTTTTCCTTGAGTACCTGTGAGTTGGGTAATCCTCTTTTCTTAAGGTCCCAAGATAAACTTGGAGCTCCTGGGCCTGTCAAAAAGTGATATTCTTTACTTACCACAGATCAGGAACCCTGTACAGGGACTGCATAGACAAGGGTATGAGGTCAGTTTTCCCAGGGAGCTTTTATTGGTGCTGCAAGTTGAACTTGACTCCTTAAAGGGAAGCATACCTTTCCAGTTGAAGCCTTGGTAAAACAACCAGTTTCTCCAATTGCATCCAGTTGCAAAAGAAAATGGATTCTTATTGCACTGATGCAAACAACTATATTGCCATAAGTTAATAATATGTACAACTAGTTTCCAAATTGTGGAGAAGCCAGGCAAAGAGAGAGAGAAACAAATATGCTCCAAATTTTGTTCACAGGAGTATACCTTACTCAATTATTAAAGGCCATAAATAGTTCAAAATAAGTTTCCTTGATTCTGAAAAACATAACGAGGATCAGCATTACTCCAAACAAAAGTCGAAAAGATTGCTTCAGTGTTATATTTCAGTCCATTTAGCTAACTCTTGTTTTGCTTGATATTCATGAACATTTTAGCTCTTCAAGAGTCCTGTGTGTTTTTTCTTTATTCAAGTGTTAAAATCTCCGAATGTATCAGAAACTTGTATTTGAGAGCACCTATCAGAGTCCTATAGCTTATTATAAGCCATTTTTGAAAAGGATCAAAACAAGACAGCAATTGTCTGTGAATAACAAAATGTCCAGGGTAGTTGCAGTTAGAAACACAATTGACAAAGAAGTTCGGTTATCTATGTGGTTTATAGTAACTTAACAACCTTAATTATAATTGATAGCATACACTTTAGACATTAGAATTTTAGAAATCCCATACAATTATGAAACATATATTAGTATTATTCACCAAAATATAACTGAAAGAAGATTGAACACTATTTTGGCAGTCCCATGTAACTAAACATGTTCAAAAATGTTGTTTCCCTCTCTTCTGGATACTTCAGGGGCCCTCTGTAGCATCCAAAAGCCAGGCATTAGGAAAGACAATTTTGAAACTGAAGTTTGATTTTGGGAAACTTGTTAAATATGTTAGAGGTTTAAAATACTTGCTGTCATGAAATAGAATTCCAGATTACAATTTATTTTGCCAAAATGACTCAAAATTTTAAAAAGCAAAAACCTTATATAACCCTTTACAAATTTTGCTAAAGAGCAGATTAGTGCCTTCAGATTACATTGTTGTACTTTTATTTCAATGCTCAATTTACAGAGAAACCATGTAATACCATTTTGAATTTAGTCAATATGTTCACACATGGAATTTTTTGCAAGATTAACTTTGACAATCCTTCCATCATTTTTTTTCAAACATCCAGCTTTATATTATCTAATTAAAAGCAATCCTTTAACCCTAGGTAAGAATTTACATTTCCATGCCTTCTTACAATCTTTTACTGAAAACTCTTCTTACTGTTCTTACACACTTCACATGTAAATCTATTTCTAGTAGTTGCAATTACATGTTATAATGGTAACTCCTAGCAATTCTAACTTTAATGTAAAACCTGATAAGTTGTTTTAATTATGTGCTAGATGCAGCCAAGGTTTGACTCCTTCCAGCGTAATTAAGGGCATGGTTAATTCCATATATCCCAGTCCTTACCAATGGTGAAGCCAGCAAGTTGAAAATTCTTAAAGGCAGTTTATAACCTTAAAACATTTAGCAAACCTAGTATCTTACCTGCATAATTTAGTTTACCTATTTACATTTTGATATCTGCATTTTACCAATAATTTTTAAGGCTGTTTTTATTTCTCAAAGATTAAAGTCATGTGAACTAAAAGGTACCACAGCTTTTATCTTCCCTTTAAAAAATATTTGATCCAAGCACTTGTATTCCTTTAGGCCAATTAATTAGAGCTCTTTTTTATAGACATCACATACACAACACATATATAACTACAGAGACAGGCATAAGAAAACCCAGCAGCCATAAGATTTTTTGTTTGCCAATCTCCTAATTGGATTATTGGACTCTGAGTGGAGCCCTTTAAGAGACAAGATTAGGAAAACATTCCACTTTTAAGGCCTTTTAATAGACAGGCATAACTGTGAGTCAAAAACAGACTTTGAGAGGGATTGATCTGCCTTTAATTCCTGGGGTTTCATGAGAAAAACAGAGGTATCTCTCCTCTTGTGCATGCATGAAAAGTGGCAAAGTAAAATGGAGAAAAATAATTCAGTCAACCAAAAAAAAATCTTTTCCAGCAAAACAAGGTCAAAGTAAAGAAAAAAATAAAGGCCTTTTAAATATACCTATATCTTGTGTACCCACTTTTAATTAAGCTGAATGCTATTTAAGAAAATCCTTTTAAATCCCCTATTACCTGACTTTAGCCACACCAAGTGACCAATAATTCTGGCTTTCAAACTTTATTAAAGGCTCAGAGAAAGGAAAATCCAAGGTGATTCATGGTGGAGGGGAAGAGAATCAACAAATACAAAGGTTGCACAGATATCAAACCAGAAAGGACTCATATCCTAAGCCAAAAGTGAATCCAGCTGCCATTGTGAAATGGCAGAGGCTAAGCAAAACATTGCTACATAGTTACAGGTCATACTCCCAAGGATGTAAAACAAAATGAAAGCCTACAGCAAAGTTTGCTACTGACCATAGAAAAAGTCATGCAAAGCACACCAGATTGGCTACAGCTTAAGACCAACCTCACAAATTCTTTTTCAATATTAAAACTTTACAGAGAATATAAACAGTGATAGTTGGGGTCCCGGCCTAGTAAAATATTTTCTAAAAAGAAAAAAACCTCTCACATAAAAATTAACTGCTGACAGGGTAGAGAAAAGGAAAAAGAAATTAAAGTGCAGGGTTGGAAAGATGCCTAGGGGAAGAACTTCTTATTCATATGCCAATGGGTTCCTCTAGCAGGGAGAAAAACTTAAGAAGGGAGTTGGGGAGCCACCAGTTCACACATCCATCCCAAAAAGAGAAGGAAAAGGCCAACATTCCCTACCCCTGGGAGCAATGTTCCGTGGGGGCATGATTTCCTCTAACCTCAGAAGAAGTCCAGGGACAAAAAGGCTTAGATGCAAAAGGAAAAAAGATTTTTTGGTTTGCACGTTACTCACCCTTCCTCAAGCCCCATGTTGGGTGCCAAAAATGTTGCAGAGCTTTCTCCTTAGTTCAGCTAAAACAGGGCTCTTGTCACACACCCAGGAAAGATTAGGCTCACAGACACATATAAGGGTGAGAAAAAATGGAATTTATTGGGCAAAAAGGAAAAATAACTCTCAACAAAGCTAGAGAGAATTCTGTTAGCAGCTTTCTCACCTCACAGATTGAATCTCAGGTTGCTACACAGGAACAGGAGAGGCCATGCTCCTCCCCACTGCAAACAACATGAACTTCCAGAGGCTCCACCCTGTCCTCCCAGTGCTCAGGTGGGCATTATTCAGAAAGAATCAGTCAGGAAAGGGCAGGCTTCATCTAGGACCTGCAGTCTGGTTTTTCAGCCTTCAGGATGTTTTAGGGTTGAAGGCAGGCTTTCACCAGTTCTGGGGGCAGGGGACACTTGGCTGTCTCCTGTCTCTATCACTACAAGGTCAAATCCAAGAAACTCTCTCCACCAGACATCACCTGTGATACCTGTACATTTGAGCAAATCCCTGTCTTCTTAAGGTCCCCTAAATTTGCTAAAGTCCCAGGCTTTCCAGGAAGTGATCTTCCTTACTGCCTTTGAGAATGAGACTTTATAAACCAGGACCATATTCCCAAGGGGGATTTGTATGCACCAGCTCTATAAGTGAAGTCAACCCTTGTTCCTCAAAAGTGGCTGGTCATACTGAATTCAGTGAGGATTATTCTGAAATGTGACACTCCAGCTAATGCTGCACGATTTGTCCAATCATATCCTGGTAAGAACCTATGCAAATAACTATGTTGCCACAGAAAGCAAGGAGACTCATAATTTAGAATTTCTGATCTGGGGTTCAGGAATAATCAGGTATCATTTTAAATTTTTTACTTGAGTTTACAGAAATTGAGTTTATTAATTTTTTTGGATCCAGAAAGCTCAGGAAGAGATAGAATACATATCTATATCTATAGCTATATATTCTACATGTACATATGGAAGATAGACCACTAAAACAATATCAACAATATAAAAAATGAACAGTTACCAAAAAATTTCCTTCATCAGTTTATTCAGTCTTATGTAATTAATTTTTGTGTTAGATCTTGGGTTAGCAGTCTGCTTTCATGAAGCTATCTATTTCTAGACTAAAAATGATTCTGAAAATTCTGACTGATCCCACTGCTGTGGTATGAAAGTTGTCTAAGCAATGTCAGCACAGAATCTTGGACCTAAAAGTCTATTCTTTGAAGTATTCATAGTTTGTATAGTCCTTTTTCTCAAGGCAGGCACTGTGGTCTTCTTTATTGAAGAAACAAATGCTGACCTGTAGCTTTTAGCAGAAACTTTAAGCAAGTATCTGGATGAAACAAAAGCTATCTGTAAATGACAATGAGACAGGCAATTCTATGGACCAAACTATACAAGTGGAACTGACCCACGACTGTGGCAACCAGCCTGGGAAGCCAACGTACTTTCTGTAGCAACCAGTCCAAGAAATCAGATGATAACCCTGGAAGCAATTGTCCTCAAATGGCCAGGACTTGATTCATAATTGATAGTTTCCCTAATTTTCACCCCTGCTACCAATTTTAGAACCAACCAGAGAAAGCCAAGTATGTTCCCCAACCAATCACACAGGATGCCCCACTTCCAGCTGGCCCACCTACAACTTCTCCAGGCCAACAGCCTTTAGTAAGGGCACTCTTGAAGTCTTCCCTCTTCCCACTGTAAAGCTTTCCCACTCCTCTGCCTGCCTTTGAATCTCTGTCAAGATGCAAGTGCTGGTGGCTCCTTTGCTATAGCAAGCTCAGGATAAATAGGCTTTCCTTGTTTTCATTTGGGTTGTCTCTATTCACTTGCATAACAGAGGCTTAATGGCTGCAGTTATTTTATAACTATTTTTTTTGAGACAGAATCTCACTCTGTTGCCCAGGCTGGAGTGCAGTGGTGCAATCTCAGCTCACTGCATTCTCTGCCTCCCAGACTCAAGTGATTCTCATGCTTCAACATCCCAAGTAGCTGGGATTATAGGCATGTGCCACAACACCTGGCTAATTTTTTGTTTTTAGTAGAGATGAGGTTTCATCATGTTGGCCAGGCTGGTCTCCAACTCCTGACCTCAAGTCATTCACCCATCTCATACTCCCAAAGTGCTGGAATTGCAGTCATGAACCACTGTGCCTGGTCTATTTTATAACTAATAATTTTCAAACCTAAAAGTTCTGATGAATGTTCTTAAAATAAAAAATGCAACTGTTGAGGAAATTTGCTTGTTTCAAGGCATGTAAAGATTTTAAAAATCTTGAGGTCAACATATAATAATCCTGAGACATCATTTTTTTTCTGAGAATATTAATTAAAAAGATTCAGTAAGTATGGAGTAGGGGCTAGACATTTATATTTTTATAAAACTTCAAGAATAAGTCTGATCTGCAACCCAACTTGAGAACCACTGGCCTAGAAGATGCTTTATGCAAATTAAAGAAGTAAGATTGTGGCCAATTAAATATTTCAATAATATATAAAATTATTACAGATAAGGTGACCTAATATCAGACAAAGTACCTCCAGGACTCTGATAAGTATAGGAAAAGGCAGCAGAGCTATATCATTAGACTTTTGATTGGTGTTATTCTGAGGGTGAAACATACTATTACAGGACACTTCCAAGACGGCAGAATAGGAACAGCTGCAGTCTACAGCTCACAGTGAATTGATGCAGAAGATAGGTGATTTCTGTATTCCCAACTGAGGTACTTGGTTCATCTCATTGGGACTGGTTGGACAGTGGGTGCAGCCCATGGAGGGTGAGCAGAAGCAGGGTGGGGCATTACCTCACCTGGGAAGCACAAGAGGTCAGGGGAATTCCCCTTTCCTAGCCAAGGGAAGCCGTGAGTGACTGTACCTGGAGGAACGGTATACTCCTGTTCAAATACTGTGCTTTTCCCATGGTCTTCGCAACTGGCAGACCAGGAGATTCCCTCCAGTGCCTGGCTTGGCAAGTCCCAAGCCTACGGAGGCTTACTTGCTGCTAGCACAGCAGTCTGAGATCCACCTGGGATGCTGGAGAGGGGAGGTGCGTCCACCATTGCTGAGACTTCAGTAGGTGGTTCTATGCTCACAGTGTAAACAGCAGGGAACCTCAAACTGGGCTGAGCCCACCACAGCTCAGCAAGGCCTACTGCCTCTCTATATTCTACCTCTGGGGGCAGGGCATATCTGAGCAAAAGGCAGCAGACAGCTTCTGCAGACTTAAATGTCCCTGCCTGACAGCTCTGAAGAGAGCATGGTTCTCCTAGCATAGTATTCAAGCTCCAATAACAGACAGACTGCCTCTTCAAGTGGGTCCCTGATGCCCATGTAGCCTGACTGGGAGACACCTCCTAGTAGGGGCTGACAGACACCTCATACAGGCAGGTGCCCCTCTGGGAGAAAGCATCCAGAGGAAGGATCAGGCAGCAATGTTAGCATTCTGCAGCCTCTGCTGGTGATACCCAGGCAAACAGGGTCTGGAGTGGACCTCCAGCAAACTCCAACAGACCTGCAGCTGAGGGACCTGTCTGTTAGAAGGAAAACTAACAAACAGAAAGGAATAGCATCAACATCAACAAAAAGGACATCCACACCAAAACTCCAACCATAGGTCACCAACATCAAAGACCAAAGGTAGATAAAAACCACAAAGATGGGGAGAAACCAGAGCAGAAAGGCTGAAAATTCCAAAAACCAGAATGCCTCTTCTCCTCGAAAGGAACACAACTCCTTGCCAACAGAACAAAACTGAATGGAGAATGAGTCTGACAGAAGTTGACAGAAGTAGGTTTCAGAAGGTCGGTAATAACAAACCTCTCTGAGCTAAAGGAGCATGTTCTAACTCATTGCAAGGAAGCTAAAAACCTTGAAAAAAGGTTAGAAAATGGCTAACTAGGCCAGGCACGGTGGCTCATGCTTGTAATCCCAGCACTTTGGGAGGCCAAGGTGGGCAGATCATGAGGTCAGGAGATCAAGACCATGGTGAAACCCCGTCTCTACTAAAAATACAAAAAATTAGCCGGGCGTGGTGGTGGGTGCCTGTAGTCCCAGCTACTCGGAGAGGCTGAGGCAGGAGAATGGTGTGAACCCGGGAGGCGGAACTTGCAGTGAGCCAAGATTGTGCCACTGCACTCCAGCCTGGGCGACAGAACGAGACTCTGTCTCAAAAAAAAAAAAAAAAAAAAAGAAAATGGCTAACTAGAATAATGAGCGTAGAGAAGAGCTGAAATGACCTGATGGAGTTGAAAACCACAGTACGAGAACTTCATGAAGCATACACAGGCTTCAATAGCAGATTTGATCAAATGAAAGAAAGAATATCAGTGATTGAAGATCACATTAATGAAATAAAGCCTAAAAATAAGATTAGAGAAAAAAGAATGAAAAGAAATGAACAAAGCCTCCAAGAAATGTGGGACTATGTGAAAAGACCAAATCTGTGTTTGATTGGTGTACCTGAAAGTGACAGGGAGAATGGAACCAAGTTAGAAAACACTCTTCAGGATATTATCCAGGAGAACTTCCCCAATCTAGCAAGGCAGGCCAATGTTCAAATTCAGGAAATACAGAGAACACCACAAAGATACTCCTTGAGAAGAGCAATCCTGAGACAAATAATCATCAGATTCACCAAGGCCGAAATGAAGAAAAAATGTCAAGGACAGCCAAGGGCCAGGCGTGGTGGCTCATGCATGTAATCCCAGCACTTTGGGAGGCTGAGGTGGGCAGATCACAAAGTCAGGAGATTGAGACCATCCTGGCTAACATGGTGAAACCCCATCTCTACTAAAAAATGCAAAAAAAAATTAGCTGGGCATGGTGGCAGGTGCCTATAGTCCCAGCTACTCAGGAGGCTGAGGCAGGAGAATGGTGTGAACCCAGGAGATGGAGCTTGCAGTGAGCTGAGATCACGCCACTGCACTCCAGCCTGGGCAACAGAGTGAGACTCTGTCTCAGAAAAAAAAAAAAAAAAAAAGTTAAGGGCAGCCAGAGAGAAAGGTCAGGTTACCCACAAAGGGAAGCCCATCAGACTAACAGTGGATCTCTCTGCAGAAACCCTACAAGCCGGAAGAGAGTGGGGGCCAATATTCATCATTCTTAAAGAAAATAATTTTCAATCCAGAATCTCATATCCAGCAAAAAGAAGCTTAATAAGTGAAGGAGAAATAAAATCCTTTACAGACAAGCAAATGCTGAGAGATTTTGTCACCACCAGGCCTGATTTATAAGATCTCCTGAAGTAAGCACTAAACATGGAAAGGAACAACCAGTACATGCCAAATTGTAAAGACCATCGATGCTATGAAGAAACCGCATTAATTAACAGGCAAATTAACAAGCTAGCATCATAATGACAGGATCAAATTCACACATAAAAATATTAATCTTAAATGTAAATGGGCTAAATGCCCCAATTAAAAGACACAGACTGACAAATTGGATAGTCAAGACCGTCAGTGTGGTGTATCCAGGAGACCCATCTCACATGCAAAGAAACACGTAGGCTCAAAATAAAAGGATGGAGGAAGATCTACCAAGCAAATGGAAAGCAAAAAAAGCATGGGTTGCATTCCTGGTCTCTGATAAAACAGACTTTAAACCAACAAAAATCAAAAGAGACAAAGAAAGCCATCACATAATGTTAAAGGGATCAGTGAAACAAGAAGAGCTAACTATTGTAAATATATATGCACCCAATACAGGAGCACCCTGATTCATAAAGCAAGTTCTTAGAGACCCACAAAGAGACTTACACTCCCACACAATAATAATGAGAGACTTTAACACCCCACTGTCAATATTAGGCAGATCAATGAGACAGAAAATTAACAAGGATATCCAGGACTTGAACTCAGCTCTGGACCAAGCAGACCTAATAGACATCTACGGAACTCTCCACCCCAAATTAACAAAATATACATTCTTCTCAGCACCACATCACACTTACTATAAAACTGACCACATAATTGGAAGTAAAACACTCCTCAGCAAATGTAAAAGCACCGAAATCACAATAAACTGTCTCTCAGACCACAGTGCAATCAAATTAGAACTCAGGATTAAGAAACTCACTCAAAACCACACAACTACATGGAAACTGAACAACCTGCTCCTGAATGATTACTAGGTAAATAATGAAATTAAGGCAGAAATAAAGATGTTCTTTGAAACCAATGAGAAGAAAGACACAAAGTACCAGAATCTCTGGAACACACTTAAAGCAGTGTGTAGAGGGAAATTTATAGCACTAAATGCCCTCTATAGAAAGGAGGAAAGATCTAAAGTTGACACCCTGACATCACAATTAAAAGAGCTAGAGAAGCAAGAGCAAACGAATTCAAAAGCTAGCAGAAGACAAGAAATAACTAAGATCAGAGAAGAACTTGAAGGAGATAGAGACACAAAAAAACTCTTCAAAAAAATCAATGAATCCAGGAGCTGGTTTTTTGAAAAGATCAACAAAATAGATAGACCGCTAGCAAGACTAATAAAGAAGAAAAGAGAGAAGAATCAAATAGATGCAATAAAAAATGATAAAGGGGATGTCACCACCGATCCCACAGAAATACAAACTACCATCAGAGAATACTATTAACACCTCTATGCAAATAAACTAGAAAATCTAGAAGAAATGGAAAAATTCCTGGACACATACACCCTCCCAAGACTAAACCAGGAAGAAGTTGAATCTCTGAATAGACCAATAACAGGTTCTGAAATTGATCCAATAATTAATAGCCTACCAACCAAAAAAGTCCAGGACCAGATGGATTCATAGCCGAATTCTGTCCGAGGTACAAAGAGGAGCTGGTACCATTCCTTCTGAAACTACTCCAATCAATAGAAAAAGAGGGAATCCTCCCTAACTCATTTTATGAGGCTAGAATCATCCTGATATCAAAGCCTGGCAGAAACACAACAGGAAAAGATAATTTTAGGCCAATATGTCTGATGAACATTGATGCGAAAATCCTCAATAAAATACTGGCAAACTGAATCCAGCAGCACATCAAAAAGTTTGTCCACCGTGATCAAGTTTTCTTCATCCCTGGGATGCAGGGCTGGTTCAACATTTGCAAATCAATAAACGTAATCCATCACATAAACAGAACCAATGTCAAAAACACATCATTATCTCAATAGATGCAGAAAAGGCCTTTGAGAAAGTTCAACAGCCTTTCACACTAAAAACTCTCAATAAACTAGGTATTGATGGAACGTATCTCAAAATAATAAGAGCTATTTATGACAAACCCACAGCCAATATCATACCAAATGGGCAAAAACTGGAAGCATTCCCTTTGAAAACCAGCACAAGACAAGGATGCCCTTTCTCACTGCTCCTATTCAACATAGTATTGGAAGTTTTGGCCAGGGCAATCAGGCAAGAAAAAGCAATAAGAGGTATTCAATTAGGAAAAGAGAAAGTCAAATTGTCTTTGTTTGCAGGTGACATGATTGTATATTTAGAAAACCCCATCATCTCAGCCAAAATCTCCTTAAGCTGATAAGCAACTTCAGCAAAGTCTCAGGATAGAAAATCAATGTGCAAAAGTCACAAGAATTCCTATACACTAAAAACAGACAGAGAGCCAAAACATGAGTGAACTCCCATTCACATTTACTACAAAGAGAATAAAATACCTAGGAATCCAAATTACAGGGGATGTGAAGGACCTTTTCAAGGAGAACTACAAACCACTGCTCAACGAAATAAGAGAGGACACAAACAAATGGAAGAACATTCCCTGCTCATGGATAGGAAGAATCAATATCATGAAAATGGCCATACTGCCCAAGGTAATTTATAGATTCAATGCTATCCTCATCAAGCTACCACTGACTTTCTTCACAGATTTGGAAAAAACTACTTTAAATTTCATATAGAACCAAAAAAGAGCCCACATAGCCAAGACAATCCTAAGCAAAAAGAACAAAGCTGGAGGCATCACACTATCTGACTTTGAACTATACTACAAGGCTACAGTAACCAAAACAGCATGGTACTGGTACCAAAACAGAGAGAGATAGACCAATGGAACAGAACAGAGGCCTCAGAAATAACACCAGACATCTACAACCATCTGATCTTTGACAAACCTGACAAAAACAAGCAATGGGGAAAAGATTCCCTATTTAATAAATGGTGCTGGGAAAACTGGCTAGTCATATGTAGAAACCTGAAACTGGATCCTTTCCTTATGCCTTATATAAAAATTAATTCAAGATGGATTAAAGACTTAAATGTAAGACCTAAAACCATAAAAACCCTAGAAGAAAACCTAGGCAATACCATTCAGGACATAGGCATGGGCAAAGACTTCATGACTAAAATACCAAAAGCAATGGCAACAAAAGCCAAAATTCACAAATGGGATCTAATTAAAGAGCTTCTGCAGAGCAAAAGAAACTATCATTAGAGTGAACAGGCAACCTACAGAATGGGAGAAAATTTTTGCAATCTACTCATCTGACAAAGGGCTAATATCCAGAATCTACAAAGAACTTAAACAAATTTACAAGATAAAAATAAACAAACCCATCAAAAAGTGGGCAAAGGATATGAACAGACACTTCTCAAAAGAAGACATTTATGCAGCCAACAGACATATCAAAAAATGCTCATCATCACTGGCCATCAGAGAAATGCAAATCAAAACCACAATGAGATACCATCTCATGCCAGTTAGAATGGCGATCATTAAAAAGTTAGGAAACAACAGATGCTGGAGAGGATGTGGAGAAATAGGAATGCTTTTACCCTGTTGGTGGGAGTGTAAATTAGTTCAACCATTGTGGAAGACAGTGTGGGAATTCCTCAAGGATCTAGAAATAGAAATACGTTTGACCCAGCAATGCCATTACTGAGTATACCCAAAGGATTATAAATCATGCTACTATAAAGACACATGCACATGTATGTTTATTGTGGCACTATTCACAATAGCAAAGACTTGGAACCAACCCAAATGTCCTTCAATAATAGACTGGATAAAGAAAATGTAGCACATATACACCATGGAATACTATGCAGCCATAAAAAAGGATGAGTTCATGTCCTTTGTAGGGACATGGATGAAGGTGGAAACCATCATACTCAGTAAAATATCACAAGGACAGAAAACCAAACACCACATGTTCTCACTCATAAGTGGGAGTTGAGCAATGAGAACACATGGACACAGGGAGGGGAATGTCACACACTGGGGCCTATCATGGGGTGGGGGGCTGGGGGAGAGATAGCGTTAGAAATACCTAATATAAATGACGAGTTGATGGGTACAGCAAACCAACATGGCACATGTATACCTATGTAACAAACCTGCACGTTCTGCACATGTACCCTAGAACTTAAAGTATAATAATAAATAATAAATAATAATAAATAATAAATAATAAATAATACAGTAGCAAGGAATATTGAGAAATATCCAGGAAGTTCTTGTAAAATATATAATTCCTGGAATATTTATACAAACATCACTTTACCTATGCAAATGTATGTATTTGCATATCATTTACCTATGCATTTACCTATGCAAATTTAGCCTAGGGCAGATTGGGTGTCTTTTCTGATTTGACAACTCTTCCCATGTAACTGTTATAGTAGACGGACATCAAATAAATCTAATTATTTCTGGCTGGGTGTGGTGGTTCAGGCCTGTAATCCCAGCACTTTGGGAGGCCGAGGTGGGTGGATCACGAGGTCAAGAGATCAAGACCATCCTGGCCAACATGGTGAAATCCCATCTCTACCAAAAATATGAAAAAAATTAGCTGTGTTTGGTGGCACATGCCTATAGTCCCAGCTACCCAGGAGGCTGAGGCTAGTGGCATTTGGACATATGAACAGAAGTGTGTGGTTCCAGTACAGTGGTTAGATGTAGTCACTTTGAAAGCCAGAATGGCAAATATGACTTACCTGGATACCAGTGGCTTACTCATGGTTGGAAAGTTTTCGGTGGGCATTTAAGTGTTGTGAAGTAGTATGTTTCAGTGACTGGTTGGAAATGACAGGGACGGACTAGCCCCCAGAATCCTGCTATGCTAGAGAATTCCCACCAGGAAGATCTTAGTGACCTTTATCAAGAGGACTGTGGGAACAAAAATGTTTCCTTTTGAAAGGAACCAAACAATCACAAGTGCTAAGTTTTCTGGGAATTTCCATTAAAGTGACACAAACCTGGCCATGATTCTCACCACTACTTAACTCTGGGCTCTGTATTATGAGAGAAGGGAGCCTGAGATAGACCAAATGACATCCCTGAAGCACCTCTCAGCAACTCATGTCACTCAGTAGAACTGTCCATACCAAGCTTGTCAAGGATCTTTGAACATACATCCTTGGCAAACAACTTTAATACACCCTTTGAAATGGAGTAAATATTAAGAATGTCAAAGAAGGAAACCACAAACTTATTTTATTGGACTTGTGAATTTTTGAGTACACACTTAACTGTTACAGAAATTTGTAGAAATAAACATGTTGCTATAAAGGAATGCCTGGGCATATAATTTTCTACCCTTATAAATGAAGAAAAAAGTTTTCATATTATGTCACCAGCTGGACACTAATTGATGTCCTTTATAATACTGAGGACAGATTTAATACCCACTTTATAGCCTGTGTAAGATTTTTTACTGAACACAGTATGTTTTGAGGTGGCATGGTTTGATCAGCATTTCTCATCCATGTAAATAAGCCACATATGGCGGGACTGGAACTACAGTAAATGTTAGTTTACTTCTACCAGGTAGTATATAAAGTACCAATCAACTGCTAACATAAGAAAACAAACAGTAATAATGACTTTTATTCCTTGGCGATATATTCTTTTGAGTGTGAATAGATTACACAAAAGAAAATTTTTAAGATTGGTGAATGTGAATACCTACATGTAATTTTTGCTGGTTAGTAAAATATTCTTACCACTTGTAAGAGCAAACTAACACATTGTCTTAAAGTGATCATGGACACAAGCATTTATAAGCCTGTGTTAAGTCTTTATAATTCAATAGATTTCAGTTTTTATAATGTTAATAATAACAATTGTAAAAAAGATAAATTTGTCCTGTAAAGCACCATTATTTTTAGCCTTTCCTGTTAATGGAGCTTTAAAATTCTGTTTTGGGTTTATATAATAGCATATACATAACTATGAATTCAAATACTTAACCACTAATTTGAAAATTATCAGTGTGATACACAGGAATCATTATTCAGAATGTGGTCTGGTCTCTAGGAAGTATTAACAGGAAAGTTACCACACAATTTAGTTGATTTAGCAAAGACCTAGATGCTATTTTTCTCCCAAACTAAGATACTTTTTGACACTAAACACACACACACACACATAATTTAAATTTATTATATATTTTTAAAGACAGAGTCTCCCTCTGTCACTCAGGTAGACTGCAGTGGCATAATCAGAGCTCACTGTAATCTCAAACTCCTGGCCTCAAGAGATCCTCCCATCTTGGCTTCCCAAAGAGCTGGGATTACAGATATGAACCACTGTGCCTGGTGGACACTAAATGCTTTTTAAAAGAGTTTATCTTTGCCTCCTCCAAACAAGAAGCAACAGTCTCCAAGTCAATATAATCCCACAGACAATGGTGTTCTTTTTCTCCAGAGTAAGATGCTTGTGGCAGTCATTAAAATAAGTGACAATGTAACTAGGGATTATCCTTATTTTCCTGATAGTAAATTGATATGGTTTGGCTCTATGCCCCCACCCAGATCTCATGTCAAGTTGTAATCCCAATGTGTTGGAGGAATAGCCTGCTGGGAGGTGATTGAATCATGGGGGTGGACTTCCCTTTTGTTCTTGTGATAGTGAGTGAATTCTCATGACATCTGATTTTTTTGAAAGTGTGTAGCACTTACACCCTCACACACTCTATCTCTCCTGCTCTGCCATGGTAAGACATGCTTGCTTCCCCTTTTCCTGCTGCCATGATTGTAAGTTTCCTGAGGCCTTCCAGCCATGCTTCCTGTTAAGCCTGTGAAACTGAGTCAATTAAACCTCTTTTCTTCATACATTACCCAGTCTCAGGTATTTTTTTTATAGCAGTGTGAAAACGGACTAACACATATACTGTAGTGAATTACACAGATTATTACATGTTTTGCAAGAGCAAATTATATTTATTTGAAATGGGAAGAGAGCATTTTATTGCATTTTGTGTATTATATTTATTTTCCAGAATACGGAAAGAAAATTAAAGTAAATGTTAATAAATGCTTTCTAGAGAGTAATAAAAAATAGACACAAAAACAAAAACATCACCATTACAGATATAAAAAATCTCTTTTTCTTCTCAGTGTGCACCAAATACTTAGTTGATTTGAGATAAACGTGGACAAATAAAGGAAAAGGGGTGTCAAATGGGATTATTTGTCATCTCTCTCAAAAGAGAATAGATGTCTATCATTTATCTAGAAAAATAACCCAAATTGTGAGTGCATAAAACCAAATTCTCAATTATTGCTGCTACCAGTAGAGAATAACTTTTTGATCAAAAAGTTTCTTTGGCCAAAAACAAAAAAAAAAAATTCAGTAAAGATAAAAAACCTGGAAAAAAGGAGACTTAACGTAATACTGTAATTAATTCTTTGCTACTGGGTTTTCCATCAGTAGTAGTTTGCCTTCATAAAGCTGTTTGCTTCCTGAGTAAAACTAGACATGGAAATCCTGCTTAGCCCACTGGTACAGTCTGAGGTTCTCTAAGCTGTGTAATCTTGGAATTATGTATTCAAGAATCTATTATTTGAAATATTGTATTACTCTGTTTTCATACTGCTGATAAAGACATAACCAAGACTGGTCAATTTAAAGAAGAAGGAGGTTTAATGGACTCACAGTTCCATCCATGTGGCTGAGGATGCCACACAATCATGGCAGAAGGTGAAAGGCACATCTCATATGGTGGCAGATAAGAGAAGAGAGCTTGTGCACAGAAACTCTCATTTTTTAAAACATCAGATCTCGTGAGACTTATTCACTATTATGAGAACAGCACAGGAAAGTGCCGACTCTATGATTCAGTTATCTCCTACCAGGCCCCTCTCACAATACGTGGGAATTATGGGAGCTACAAGATGAGATTTCGGTGGGGACACAGAGTCAAACCATATCATTCTGCCCCAGCCCCTCCCAAATCTCATGTCCTCACATTTCAAAACCAATCATGCCTTCTTAGCAGTGCCCCAAAGTCTTAACACATTCCAGCATTAACTCAAAAGTCCACAGTCCAAAGTCTCATCTGAGACAATGCAAGTCCCTTCCACCTAAGAGCCTGTAAAATCAAAAGCAAGTTAGTTACTTCCTAGATACAATGGGGGTACAGGCATTGGGTAAATACAGCCATTCCAAATGAGAGGAATTAGTCAAAACAAAGGGGCTACAGGCCCCATGGAAGTCCAAAAACCAACCCGGCAGTCAAGTCTTAAAGTATCAAAGTGATCTCCTTTGACTCCATGTCTCATATCCAGGCCATGCTGATGCAAGTGGTGGCTTCCCATGGTCTTGGGCAACTTCGACCATGTGACTTTGCAGGTTATAGCCCCTCTCCTGGCTGCTTTCATGGGCCAGCATTGAGTGTCTGCGGCTTTTCCAGGTGCACAGTGCAAACTGTCAGTGGATCTACCATTCTGGGATCTGGGTGACCTTGGCCCTCTTCTCACACCTCCACTAGGTGGTGCCCCAGTAGGGACTCTGCTTGAGGGCTCTGACCCCACATTTCCCTCCCATACTGCTCTAGCAGAGGTTCTCCATGAGGGCCCCACCACTGCAGCAAACTCTTGCCTGGGCATCCAGGCATTTCCATACATCCTCTGAAATCTCGGTGGAGGTTCCCAAACCTCAATTATTGACTTCTGTGCCCTTGCAGGCTCACCACCACATGGAAGCTGCCATGGTTTGGGGCTCCCACTCGCTGAAGCAACAGCCCGAGCTGAACCTTGGCCCATTTTAGTCATGGCTGGAGTGGCTGCAATGCAGATCAAGTCCCTAGACTGCACACAACAGAGGGACCCTGGGCCCGGCCTGGGAAACCATCTTTTTCTCCTAGACCTCCAAGCCTGTGATGGGAGGGGCTGCTGTGAAGACCTCTGAATGCCTGGAGAAATTTTCCCCATTGCTTGGGGGTTAACATTCATTAATTAACTCGTTCCTTATGCAAATTTATGCAGTGGGCTTGAATTTCTCTTCAAAAAATGGGTCTTTCTTTTCTATTGCATTTTCAGGCTGTGAACTTTCCAAACTTTAATGCTCTGCTTCCTTTATAAAACTGAATGTTTTTAACACCACCCAAAGTCACCTCTTGAATGCTCCTTAGAAATTATTCTGCCAGATACCTGAAATCATCTCTCTCAAGTTCAAAGTTTCACAAATCTCTAGGGCAGGGGAAAAATGCCATCACTCTGTTTGCTAAAACATAGCAAGAGTCACCTTTACTACAGTTCCCAACAAGTTCCTCATCGCCATCTGAGACCTCCTCAGCCTAGACCTTGTTGTTCATATCACTATTAGCATTTTTGACAAAGCCATTCAACAAGTCTCTAGTAAGTTCCACAAACTTTGCCACACTTTTCTGTCTTCTTCTGAGCCCTCCAAACTTCCAGCCTCCACCTGTTACCCAGTTCCAAAGTCGCTTCCACATATTCAGGTATCTTTTCATCACCACCCCACTCCTGGTACCAATTTACTGTATTAGTCCATTTTCATGCTGCTGATAAAGACATATCCAAGACTGGAAAGAGAAAGAGGTTTAATGGGCTTACAGTTCCACATGGTTGGGGAGGCCTCACAATCATCAAGGAAGGCAAGGAGGAGCAAGTCAAATCTCACATGGATGGTGGCAGGCAAAGAGAGAGAGCTTGTGCACAGAAACTCCTGTTTTTAAAACCATCAGATCTCGTGAGACTTATTCACTATAATGAGAACACCACAGGAAAGTCCTACCCCTATGATTCAATTATCTCTCACTGAGTCCCTCCCACAACAGGTGGGAATTATGGGAGCTACAAGATGAGATTTGGGTGGGGACACAGAGCTAAACCATATCAAATATCAATAGTTGAAAATTATTGATGCAAAACTTTCCATGGGGTTCTGAAACTTTCCTTAGTTGAAAACACAGCCTCTAAAAGCTTTTTAGCTGTTTGGCAAGAATCAGAGTAAAACAAAAATTATTTGTAGATGAGAAATACTAGAAGGATGAGGCCAATTATATCATAAGGTAGGAAAGTAAAATTCCCCATTGGGGTATAATACAGAACTTTTTTTTTTTGAGACAGGGTCTCACTCTGTCACCCAGGTTGAAGTGGAGTGGCATGATCCCAGCTCACTGTGATCTCAACCTCCTGTACTCAAGCAATCTTCCCACCTCAGTCTCCTGAGTAGCTAGGGCAACAAGCACGAGCCACCATGCCTGGCTAATTATTATTTTTTTGTAGAGACAGTGTCTCACCATATTGCCCAGGCTGTTCTTCAATTCCTGGACTCAAGCAATCCTCTTGCCTTGGCCTCCCAAAGTGCTGGGATTACAGGTGTGAGTCCCATGCCTGGCCTATAACTATTTTGTATACATTTGATCAATATTTTTCCTTGAGGATAAAAACATATTATGGATAGTGAACACACTGAAAAATCTCCAGGGCCTTCACATAAAGCATATTGTTTTTGAAATATTTATATTAACAATATTTCACCCATTCAAACTTAATTCAGGGAGGGCTAAGTGTTTTCTATGTTTTCTATGATTTAATAATTCCTCCTCTGCAGTTTTTTTTTATTTTTTATTTTTTATTTTTTAAAGATGGAGTCTTGCACTGTCACCCAGGCTGGAGTGCAGTGGCACAATCTTGGCTCACTGCAACCTCTGCCTCCTGGGTTCAAGTGATTCTTCTGCCTCAGCCTCCCATGTAGCTGGGATTACAGACATGAGTCACCACACCTGGCTAATTTTTTGTATTTTTGGCAGAGATGGGGTTTCACCATGTTGGCCAGGCTTGTCTCGAACTCCTGACCTCAGGTGATTTGCCTGCCTTGGCCTCCCAAAGTGCTAGGATTACAAGCATGAGCCACTGCACCCGACTTTTTTTCTTTTTTTTTTTTTTTTTGAGACAGAGTCCTGCTCTGTTGCCCAGGCTGGCATGATCTCGGCGGCCCACTGCAACTTCCACCTTCCAGGTTCAAAAGATTTTCCTGCCTCAGCCTCCAGAGTAGCTGGGACTACAGGCATCCACCACCTCGCCTGGCTAATTTTGTATTTTTAGTAGAGAGGGGGTTTCATTGTGTTGGCCAGGGTGGTCGAACTCCTGACCTCAGGTGATCCACCTGCCTCAGTCTCCCAAAATGCTGGGATTACAGGTGTGAGCCACTGCACCCAGCCTCCTCTGCAGCTCTTACAATAAATGCTGAGCTGGTTAAGAAATACGAAGCATGCCAAGCAAACCTAATTATCCTAACATCTCTCCTAGTTATAAGGTAAAATAAAAAATTATGGCTATTTTCCATGGGCTCTTGGGGTTATCTTAATAATAGTTCTAGGTATAAATAATATTCTGAAAATATTACTTTTTATTTGTCCTAAATGTAGGACCTGATCTTGGGAGAGCAAATTCGAAAGGTCGTAGGAACAGAATTGATCACTTGATGTAGACAGGGTCTTGGGTGACTGAGGAGCAACATTTAGCAACTTAACCTAATTATAATAAAATATTAAAAAATAAACCAAAGAAAATAATACAGCTCCACAGAAACTTAGTACTTCTGTTTTTTTTAATAATCATAAAGTCAACAAAACACAGGAAATTATTCTAAGACATGGAAATTTTTATCTGTAGGCAGATTGAAGAGATGATAATTAATAACCTTTCACGTTGTAAATGAAGTCATTAATCAATAAACCCAGAAAGCAGGTCCATCAGAACTGACCAAAGTTTGCCAAAATTTTAGTAGATAATTTCTTTTCATAATTTCTTTTCAGACTCAGATGCTTTAAACCAAGGCAAATCCAATTCATTCTGCTTGAGCTTTGTCCTTCATTATGCTCTTTCTTCCTCTAACTGGAAGAAACTGTTACTTTAGGACTATTTCTTTTCATTTGAAAAATAAACATACAGGTTATTTTCCTTGTTACTATTGTTCTGATATAGTTTTAGCCACCTATATTATTATTACTTTTAATCAAAGTAATTAATTTCTGTTTTGCAGAAAATTGGGAATAGGTAATTGACTTCTGTCATATACAAGCATTTTAGCAGATCATCAAAGATCTTGAATACACAAAGCACAACTTTCTACAGCCACCCAATCCTTTTATACTTTCTTAAAGTGGCAAAAATGACTGAAAGATATAGCTGCTCTATTGCATATGAAAATAAGAAGCAAAAGAAAATAAATTAAAATTATTCTTAGTATTCAATGCTTGTATCCAATATTTTCCTTTTATTAGCTCACTTTAATATTAGTTCCATGTTTTAGGTTTTCTAAGACCTTCAAAATTATGTTTAAGCTGACATACAATAAAACATAATTTCTGCTGATATTAAAAGTTCACTCAGCAAAGAAGTTGAGGTTCCATTGCCACTTGGAAGCCACTCTGAGAACTAACAAAAGATGTGCCTGGACTTAGGCAGCTCATGGGGTGCCTGTCTCATGCAGTGCAATTCACCTGACTCCTTCAGGAGAGTCACTGGAGCAGCTTAGTGGATGATCTTCAAAAGTGCTAAGATAGTCTCAGAATGGCAAATTCATGACTCTCATGGAAATTTAAAATAAACATGTATCAACACTTTACATAACTCTTTAAATAATGAGGAAACTGGTAAGATATTAAAATCAGTTTAAATCAAGATTTGACCTCCAGTGATTTCTAGTCTCTGTGGGGCAAAATCCATTTACATAGTTATAGAGAGGAATCATTTTTACTGCTATGGAAGAAAACACTTTTGTTTGTTTAAAGGAACTTTTATTAAAATTTAAAAAGTGTAAACTATACTGATAACATTCTTTTTTACTGATATATAAAAATTATACATATTTATGGAGTACATGTGATATTTTGAGATATGCATAAATGTGTAATGATCAAATTATTTAGAATATCCATCATCTCAAACATTTATCATTCGTCTTGAGAACATTTCAAATCTTCTCCCTATTATTATTATTATTATTATTTTTAGAAAAGTCTTGATCTGTTACCCAGGCTAGAGTGCAGTGGCACCATCTCAGCTCACTGCAACCTCCACCACCTGGGTTCAAGCGATTCTTGGCCTCAGCCTCCTGAATAGCTGTGATTCCAGGCATGCACAATGATGCCTGGCTAATTTTTATATTTTTAGTGTTGGCCAGGCTGGTCTTGAATTCCTGACCTCGGGTTATCCCCCTGCCTTGGCATCCCAAAGTGCTGGGATTACAAGCATGAGCCACCGTGCCCAGCCTCTCCTCCCTATTTTGAAATATAAAACAAACTATTGTTAACTATAGTCATTGTTTTGTGGTACTAAGAACTAATAATTTATTACTTCTATCTGACTGTATGTTTGTACCCCCTAAACAACCTCTCTTCATCTCCCTACCACCCTTTCCAGCCTTTGGAAACCATCATTCTACTCTCTATCTCCATGAGATCAACTTTTTTTAGCTCCCACATATGAGTGAGTACATACAATGTCTGTCTTTCTGTTCTTGGCTTATTTCTCTTAATATAAAGATCTTTAGTTCTGTCCATGTCACAAATGACAGGATTTCATCCTTTTATCATGGATGAATAGTATTTTATTATGTATATATCACATTATCCATTTATCTATTGATGGACACTTACACTGATTCTCTATCTTAGCTCTTGTGAACCGTGCTGAAATAAACATGGGTGTGCAGGTATTCCTTTGATACACTGACTTCCTTTCCTTTAGATAAATACCCGGTAGTGGAATTGCTGGATCATAGGGTAGTTCATTTTTAGTTTTTTAGGAAACCTCTATATTTTTTCCATTATGGCTATACCAAGTTACTTTTAGGAAACCTCTATATTTTTTCCATTATGGCTATACCAAGTTACATTCCTATTAACAGTGTATGAGAGTTCCATTTTTTCCTCATCCTCATGAGTATTTGTTATTCTTTTTGTCTTTGTAATAATAACCATTCTAACTGGGGTGAAATAATATCTCATTGTGGTTTTGATTTGCATTTCCCTGATGATTAGTGTTGTTGGGCATATTTTCATATATCTGTTGGATATTTTGTATCTTTTTCTTCTTCTTTTTGGAGACAAGATCTCATTTGCTCTGTCACCCAGGATAGAGGGCAGTGATGTGATCATAGCTCACTGCAGCCTCAAACCCCTGGATTCAAGCAATTCTTCCACCTTAGCCTCCCAAGTCCCAGCCCCACCATTCAGTATGATATTAGCTATCGGTTTGTTATATATGGCCTTTATTATGTTGAAGTAGTGTTAGTCCGTTCTGTTCTCACACTGCTATAAAGAACTACCTGAGACTGGGTAATCTATGAAGAAAAGAGGTTTAATTGAGTCAGTTCTGCAGGCTGTACAGGAAGGATGGCTGAGTGGCCTCAGGAAACTTACAGCCATGTTGGAAGGGAAAGCAAGCACGTCTTACCACAGCAGAGCAGGAGAGGGAGAGAGTGAACAAGGAAGTGCTATACACTTTTAAACAACTGGATCTCACCCACTATCATGAAAACAGCAAAGGGGAAATTCACACCTATGATCCAATCACCTCCCACCAAGTACTTCTCCTAACATTGGGAATTACAATTTGGCATGAGATTTGGGTAGAGACACAAAACAAAACCATAGCAGGTAGGTTCCTTCTATGCCTGAATTGTTGAGAGTTTTGATCAGGAAGTGATGTTAAATTTTATCAAATGCTTTTTCTGTGTTTATTGAGATGATCATAAGGTTTTTGTCCTTCATTTGTTGATATGATGTATCACACAACAAATTTGTGTGTATTGAACCATCCTTGCATTTCTGTGATAAATCCCACTTGATCATGCTATATTATCTTTTTGATGTGTTGTTGGATTCAGTTTGCTAGTATTTTGTTGAAGGTTTTTGCATCTGTGTTCATCAAAGATATTGGCCTGTAGTTTTATTTTTTATTGTGTCCTTATCTGGTTTCAGTATCAGGGTAATGGTAGCCCCATGGAATGACTTAGGAAGAATTCCCTACTCTTCAGATTTTTGGAATAGTTTGAGAATAATTGGTGTTAATTCTTCTTTATAAGTTTGGTAGAACTCCGCAGCAAAGCCGTCTGCTCCTGGGCTTTTTTGTTATTGTTGGGATAATTTTATTACTGATTCAATATTATTAAATGTTATTAGTCTGTTCAGGTTTTCTATTTTATTTCTTTCTATTTCTTCATACAATCTTGGTAGATTGTATGTATCCAGCAACTTATCCATTTCCTCTAAGTTTTCCAATTTGTTAATGTGTAGTTATTCATAATGGTCTCTAATGGTCCTTTGGTTCTCTGTGGTAGCAGTTGTGATGTCTCCTTTTTTTCTGCTTTTATTTATTTGAGTCTTCTCTCTTTTTTTCCTCTTACTCTAGCTAGTGGTTTATCAATTTTTTCTTTTCAAAAAACCAATTTTTTATTTAATTAATCCTTTGTATTTTTTTACTTTTTTCATAAGAAAATATTTTTGAAGCCTTTATTTACAAAAGCTCTAAAAACAAATAATACCTCCTGTTCTGTAAATAATCTTTTGTTTAAAAAGGATTACCCAGTTACAGCACTGTAGTATCATGAATAAAGAATGTACAAGGGAGACAAACAATGTGGCTAACATTTGGAGATTTGCTAATATTACTGATTGAAGTGTAGGTAACACACATTATAACTTGTAGTCCATCATTTCAGGGTAGAGTTAATGATTACCAAAAAGTCTTCCTACAAATGCTCTGGTCTGGTCACATGTTCTGCATGGCTAAATATTTCAGTCTCTTTTGTCAATATATATATAAAATAGATTGCAAAGATATACACACACAAAACAAAGCATTACACTCCTCAGGTAATTTTATTAGCTGTATATATATATATATATATACATACATAAAAATGAATATGTATATATATGTTATATTTTGTTGTTTTGTACCAAATTTCTTCATTATTTATCTTTGCAGCAACTATGAAAGCATAATTTTTGTCTTTAATTTAATTTGGTACAAAATATACCTAAAGGCTTGTTATCTTTGGATTTTAATAAAATTGATTTGTGTAACCAACAAATCAAGAGTATCATAAGTATGGCTACAAAATGAAATAAAATAAAGGGTAAACAGTGATGGAACAAAAGAAGCAGATCAAGGGAAGTGTGCTATCATAAAATAACAGTAGCTTCAACATCTTGAGTACCAGTTTCCTGGCAGATACTAAACATCCAATCACAAAGGATTTTTCCTGAACGGTGTAAAGCTGGTTTTAAAATTCTTCAGTCACAGAGCAGCCTACACATGCCAATTAGAAACTGACAGACACTAGAAGTGCTTGGAAGATTAAACGCTATGTACAGAAACAGCACTTACTAAGCTCTTCAGTAGTTTCTTGTCTTTTTTTTGGTTTTGCTGAATTGACAGTTTGCACAATGAATGTGCTATATTCTGTGGGTCAAAAACAAGTAAATACTGTGTAAAGTTGGCAGATGGTCATTTTTCCAGCTAAGATAAAGAAAAAACAAAATTTCTGATAAAACAGAGGTTTTGAGTCAGAATCACTCTCTAAAGTGCAAAACTGATGGTTCACAATCTCAAATAGCTAAAACGCCTGCAGAATGGAAGGGAGAGATATGAGACAGGGAAATAAATTACAGTCAGTGCTAGTTAATTTACGAAAAGGGAAAAATAAACCAAATTCGAGTAGGTAAAGTTTATCAAAATATTCAATATGATGTCTCTTTCCCCATTAAATTATATTAAATTAAGGCCAAATTTAACCTGACTGTGTTTCTTTTTATTAAGATCTGAGATAGGAATGGTCATGCTTAGTACTGAAAGGCAGACAATAAAATGGGCCATGAAAGATGGGGGGAGGTACTGTCTGTTGTTCAAGGGATTCAACCAGAGATAAAATCTATATACAAGCATGTGTGTAGCTCGAAATAAAATAAAAATAAAAGGACTATTTCATGTCATGACTGAATGCTGGCTTTCTCTTCATATGCATTGCCTGTGCCATTCTGTACACAGGAGGAACCAGAACCAAGGCCATGCAAATGATCACAATATTTGGCATCATCCATATGATCTTGAAAGAACATTTCTCTCATTTTAGAAAAGGCCATTCCTGTGAGCGATGAATCAGATCCTGCCTGATGCTGTGGTCCTATCCGTTCCAGCTCTACCTATTCTGCCACCACCTTTGCAGCTCTTCATGAGCTACTTCACAGCATAAATGACAGGAAAAAACAGTCAAAGGATCTCAAAGAAGTCAAGTTCTTCTTCAGGCAAGTTAGAGTTGGTCAGGATTTTAATTAAATAGCCAAAGTCATAACTGCTATGAAATGACAACCATTTGACCCCTTCACAGAGGAGCACTCCCGAAGTCATAAGTTCAGCAAAGTACTGGGTCTCAATTCCTTCCTCCTAATGTTTTTTATACTGGATATCAGATGTTGTTAGTAGCTCTATAGAGTGCTGGGCATGCATGTCCTCCATCAAATTAAATTTAAAATTAAGCTGCCAAGTTGAAGTTCCTGGAGGGTATTCACCTTGCTCATTCATAAATGTCAGTCCTAGCTGAATTATCTTTAAGAAGTCTACATTACACTGCAATAGTTGATACTGATAGTCAGGATTGCTCCTCAATTCTCTAATAGGTCTTGCAACCACACCTGGAAACTCGGTGACCATAGCAACGTAATGATATTTTCGGATAACTTGACGAATTTTCTTCATCTCTTCATCCAAGTTGCAAGCCCAAACTTCACAAATTCTTGGGCTATGAGCTACAGTTGCTGCTGGAGTAGTGAGTGCACAAGGGGGTCTCGATGCCAAGCATCAGAATGTTATACTTGATTGAAGATTTGTTTCATAAAATGTTTTCTCCTTTATTTATGTACTTGTGTCGCTGAGCTCGCGCTCCACCTCCTCCTCCTCGCCATAGAGACTGCACCCAGCCCAGCGGCGATGGCTGTGGCGGTAGCGGCGGCGGCAGCGGCGGCGGCGGCGATCAGGCGCCATAGGCACCTCTCGCCCAGGAAGGGGGAAAGACGAGCAGGAGCTGCGCCGCGGCACCGTGCTGCGCCGTCCTTTGTATTTTTTTTTTTAATATCTATTTCATTTAGTTCTGCTCTGATCTTTATTATTTCTTTCCTTTAACTAATTTTGAGTTTGATTTGTTCTTGCTTTTCTGGATCCTTTAGGTGCATTGTTAGGTTGTTTATTTGAAATTGTTCTACTCTTTTGATGTGGACATTTACTGCTATAAACATCTCTCTAGGCACTGCTTTTACTGTATCCCACAGGTTTTGGTATGTTGTATTTTCGTTTTCATTTGTTTCAAGAATATTTTAGATTTACTTCTTAATTTCTTCATTGACTCCACAGTCATTTGGGAGCATGTTGTTTCATTTCCATGTACTTGTACAGTTTTCCAAGTTCCTCTTGTTATTTATCTCTGGTTTTATTTCACTGTGGCCAAATAAGATACTTGATATAATTTCGAGTTTAAAAAATTTGTTGCAACTGGTTTTATGGCCTAACATATTGTCTATACTGAAGAATGTTCCATGTGCTGCTGAGAAGAATGTACATTCTGCATTTGTTTTATAAAATGTTCTGTAAATGTCTGTTGGGTCCATTTTTCTAAAGTGCAGTTTATGTCCAACGTTTTTGTTAATTTTCTATCTAGGTAATCTGTACAATGCCGAGAGTGGGGTGTTGAAGTCCCCAAATACTATTGTATGGTAGTCTATCTCCCTATAGACTTAATAGTATTTGCTTCCTTATATATCTGGGTGCTCCAAGTTTGGATATACACATATATATGTATAAGATATACATATATTTATATGTACAAAATATACATGTATTTATATGTACATAAATGTACAAAAATATACATGTACAAAATGTACAAAAATATACATAAATATATATATATTTAGAATTATTATATCCTCTTGCTGAATTGATCCCTTTATCATTAAATAATGACCTTTTTGTCTCTTTTTACAGTTTTTTACTTAAAGTCTATTTTATCTGATGGGAGTATAGCCCCTTCTGCTCATTTTGAATTTCCATTTGTGTGAAAATCTTTTTCCATTTCTTCACTTTTAGTTTATATGTGTCTTTACAGGTGAAGTGAGTTTCTTGTAAGTAGCATATAATTGGGTTTTGGTTTTGTTTTTAATCTAGTCAGCCAGTCTACACATTTTAAGTGGGGAATTTAATCTGTTCATGTTCAAAATTGTCATTGATAGGTGAAGACTTATTCTTGTCATTTTGTTAATTGTTTTGGGGTTTTTTTGTATATCCTTTATTCCTTTCTTTGTCTCTTATTGCTTACTATTGCAGTCTGGTGGTTTACTGTAGTGGTAATGTTTGGCTCCTTTCTGTTTCTCATTTGTACATGTGCTGTACCGGTGAGATTTATACTTTCATGTGTTTTCATGATGGTAGATATCATCCTTTCACTTTTAGATGTAGGACTCCTTAAGCATTTCTTGTAGGATCAGTCTAGTGATGATAATTTCCCAGTTTTTACTTGTCTGGGAAAGGCTATATTAGCTCTTTTAATATAGCATAGCATTTTTTCCTAGCCTGTAAAGTTTCTGTTGAGAAATCTGATGTTAGCCTGTTGGAGATTCTGTTATATGTGACTTGATGCTGTTCTCTTTCTGACTTTTGAATTGTTTTTTTCTCTTGGACTTTTGACAGTTTGACTATAATGTGCCTTGAAAAGACGTTTCTGGGTTGAATCTATTTTGTGATCTTTGAGCTTCCTATATATGAGTGTCTACATGTCTTGCAAGACTTGGAAACAGTGTTAGTCCATTCTTTTGTTACTATAAAGGAATACCTGAGACTGGATAATTTATAACGAAAAGAGGTTTAATTGGCTCACAGTTCTTCAGACTGTACAGAAAGCATAGTGCCAGCATTTACTTCTGATGAGGCCCTCAGGAAGCTTACAATCATGGCTGAAGGTGGAAAGGGAACCAGCATGTCACATGACAAAAACAAGAGCAAGAGAGAGAGGGGGAGATGCTACACTCTTTTAAACAATCAGATCTTGTGTGAACTCAGAACGAGAACTCACTAATTGTGTTAGGCTGTCCTTGCATTTCTGTAAAGAAATACCTGAGGCCAGGAACAGTGGCTCCCACCTGTAATCCCAGCGCTTTGAGAGACTATGGCAGGTGGATTGCCTGAGCTCAGGAGTTCGAGACCAGCCGGGCAACTGAATTATAAAATACCAAAATTAGCTTGGTGTGGTGGTGCACTCCTGTAGTCCCAGCTACTCGAGAGGCTGAGGCACGAGAATTGCTTGAACCCAGGAGGTGGAGGTTGCAGTAAGCTGAGATTGTGCCACTGCACTCCAGCCTGGGTGACAGAGTGAGACCCTGTCTCAAAAAATAAAAATAAAAAAGAAATACCTGAGACTGGGTAATATATAAAGTGAAGAGTTTTAACTGGCTCACAGTTCTGCAGGAATTACAAGAAGCATGGTGCTGGAGTCTTCTTGGCTTCTAGGGAGGTCTCAGGAAGTTTACAATCATGGCTGAATGCAAAGGGAGAGCAGGCATGTCACAGGCGAAAGCAGAAGCAGGAGAGGGAGAGCTGGGGGGAAGGTGCCACACATTTTAAATGACTAGGTCTTGTGGGAACTCACTATTACAAAGACAACACCAAGCCATGAGGCAAACACCTCCCAGGCCCCACCTCCGACACAGAATTACATTTCAACATGAGATTTGGAGGGGACAATCATCCAAATGATATCAGTAAGTTTTCAGCTATTGTTTTATTAAATAAGTTTTCTATGTCTTTGCCTATATCTTCTCCTGGAACTCACAGAATTTGAATATTTGGTCATTTTATGGTGTCCCATATGTCATGCAGCCTTTTCAGTCCTTTTTTTTCTTTTTTATTATTTCCTCTTCTGCTTTTCTTTCTTTCTTTCTTTCTTGTTTTTTTGGGGGGGAGGGTTCTGACTAGATTACTTCATAACAACTGTCTTTGAGTTCAAAAATTCTTTCTTCTGTTTGATCTAGTCTGTTGTTTATGCTCTCAATTGTATTTTTTTATTTCATTCATTGATTTCTTCTGTTTTAGGATTGATGATTGTTTCTTTTCAATAATATCTATGTCTTTTTTGAATTTCTCATTCAGATCATGAATTATTTTCTGGATTTCTTTGTATTATTTATCTGTGTTCTCTTGTATCTCACTGAGTTTCTTCAATATTATTATTTTGTGTTGTTTTTCAGGCATTTCATAACTTTCTTTTGAGATCTGTTACTGGAGAATTATTGTGTTCCTTTGGATGTGTCATGCTTTCTTAATTTTTAACATTTCTTGTGTCTTTACACTGATATCTGTGCATCTGGTGTAACAGTCACTTCTTCCAATTTTATAAATTGGCTTTCATAGGGAAGATTTTTTACTTATAGATTTATCTATAGTGTTGGTCAGGCAGGGTGCTTCGGCTTTGATTCTGGGCATGTGCAGTTATATAATTTCCATGTGATTTCTTTAGTGATAATTAGCATTAGTGAAATTTGTGAGTTCCTTAGTGGCTTACACTGCAGTCGTTAGTGAAGGTTATGATGAAACTTTTCTGGGAATGGGAATATTAGGTGGGCTGATCCTCAGGCACCAGTGGTGGCAGCAATGGACAGAAAAGGCTTGCTTTCAGGCCCCTGTTTTCAGTGTCCACAGGTGCTGGCAGTGGTGAATGGGGTGAGCCAGTCCCTAGGCCCATGGATAATGTATGTGGACACTGGTGCTAGCTGCATCAGGTGGAGCAGATCGATTCCCAGGTCCCTGGAAGGTGAGTATGGCACTGGTGGCCTATATATAAATATATATATATATATGAGGGGTGGATCCCTCATGGCTTGATGCTGTCTTTGCAATAGGGAGTTCTTATGAGATCTGGTCATTTAAAAGTATGTGGCACCTTCCCCCCACAACTCTCTCTCACTTGCTCCTGCTTTCACCATGTGATGTGGTGAAATACGCACACACACTCACATGTGTGTAACATACATATTACATATATATGTAAACATCTGTATATATGTTACATATTTATATATGTAGACATCTGTTGCACTGACAAGAAGGCTGTAGAACATGGTTCTGGGATGATGCGATGAAGCAGCAGCCAGATGATGTCATCAGGGGCCCAGGCTCTGTTGGCTTTCCCCTGCTTATCTCCATGGGTGGTCTTTACCAGCTGGCTTTTCCCCTCATGGCGCATCAGGCCGCGTGTCATTACGTAGCACACTACTGGGGGTCTCTTGTCCTCTGGCTTCTGGTTGGGTTTGATAAATAGAAGACTTTAGCCGAAGATTTAAGGGGTGAGTATGGGCCTGAAAAGTCCCACGATCTGTTGTCTATAAACTGGAAGACCAGGAAAGCTGACAGTGTAATTTATTCTGAGCCCAAAAGCCTAAGAACCATGGAAGCAAATAGTGTAAGCCCTGGTCTGAGTTTGAAGGCCAGAGAACCAGGCACGCCTATGTCCCAGGGGCAGGAGAAGATAGATGTCCTAGCTCAGGCACAGAGAGTGACATTTGGGAAGAGATATTTTTATTACTGTCAATTTTCTACAGTTTAATCTCTACTTCTACAGAACTGTAAGACAGCCTAGTTAATCAAAGGCAATCAAAGGTATACAATCCTATAGAATCAGATCATCCCTGAAGGCCCTACTAGACAAAGCCAGCGTTTCATGGAAGACACCGCTAGTGATCACTTTTCTTCATTTTCAAATCTTTAAGTTTTTCTCCCTAAGAAGCTAGGACATTTTTGGAAGAGTTAACATGTATGTGTGTATGTATGTGTGTTGGGGGTTGGAGGGGGTATTTATATATCACCAATTAGACCAGATTGTGAAAGCCTTCTCTGGCATGCTAAAAAATCTGGGCTTTACTCTGTGCAATAATAAGATTCTGAAACAGGGAAGTGACATGATCACTTTATATATTAAAGTGATCAATCTAGTATCAGTGGAGGATAGTTTGAGAAGAAAGAGATGGAGATTGGGAGTACAGTTAACAGGTTGGTGTAATGGTTCTGAAAAAGAACAACCAGGTGATTCAGTAAGCAGATAAGATGAAGAGTTTAAGGGGTAAAACATGGTATTGGTTTTAAAAAAAGTTTAAAACCAAGGTAAAAACACCCACACTTGGCAAAGCATTAGGTTTAGGAGTCCAGGCATAGGATGTATCAAAACTACTTAAGGTTTCTAGCTTGTAGCCATTGTTGGAGTCTGGGAATACAGGAGGATCAGTAAGTTCCAGAAAAATAACTTTGGTTTTAGACATACTGCATAAGAGAAGACCTATAAACTTTCAGTAGTAACATCTAACAGATAGTTGAAAATATGGGTGGGAGTTAAGGAGAATGGTCAGGGTTGGGAATTAGGTGTTAAAGCCAAATGAATAGATGCATTACCTAGTGAGTAAGTAGAAAAGAGGGTGGAAAGTGAGTACTGGCAGAAAGGAAAAGGAGCTTATGAAGGAAGCTGGAAAACAGTGGTCACTGAAGGAAGAGCATAATGGAATAGTTCTTTCCTCTGACCCTTCATTCTACCACTTGGGACATTTATTACTGCAAAGGTTTGCAGGCCTAGTCCAGTGAGACAGAATCCATGATCAACAAGTTAGTCAAAGCAGATTTGTTACTGACAGATAAACAGAAAAAAAAAAAAGAAAAAAAGAAAGAAAAAGAAAAAAAAAAAGAAACCAAGGATTTGGTCCAGCAAGGCTCAATACAACTTTCCAGGGCAGATGGAATCTTGTCTGCCTGTGTTCCATGTCACTCTGCAGCTGAGAGACTCTGCAATCGCTCTGCTATGGGTTTTATACCCTGAGCATTTCTGGGCTCACACAAGGATTGTAGAACACAAGGACTGCAGAACACCCTGTTCTAGTAGGAACAAGGGCATAGTTTGGGTTGTTCTGGACAGTTCCTCCTTATCCCAGGACATTGCATTCTGTAAGTGACAAGGGAGAAAGCTGGGTTGGCCAACGCTGTCCAGGTACCTGTTCTCCTAGATTAGCACTCACTACTTTTTTGAGAACTATTTAATGATATCTGTCTCTTAACCAACTGCATTTCCACTGTATAACTCCTCTAGCGTGGGGCCTTGAACACACCTGCCATTCAATGCATTTTGAGTAAATTAATGAAGAGAACTATGAAACAAAAAGGACATTAGAGAGAATTGCTAAGCCACATAGGAGAAACTGAGAAAATGGTCTGCTAGAAATGTCTAAAGAGAAACATCAGGCCCAGCTAGAAAACTGTGGGGTTGGGGTACAGACACCCCAGGGAGGCACCAATAAGGATGGGGATAAACAACAACTAACTCAATTCTCCAGCTGTCAGAGTCTGCTGGAGTGATGGTGTCAGCAGTTGGCCACAAGCCAATGAATTGCTTTTTAATCACTTGTGTAGTGTAGATCCTCGCAGGGAGGCTCCCTTAGAAAGGAACTAAGGCTCCTCCTTCTGAGTCTGCCCACCTGGTGAGATCATTGATTGCCCAGAGTACTGATTCATTATCACCAATGAAGATGGAATGGTATCCAACTCACCAGGAAACTTAAGTTCCTACTTTTGATTTCACCCTTGTGAGCAAGATTATTAGATTCTTGGTCAATGTAACAATTTACTCACACTCTATTTCCCTTGCCTGTTCTGTTACCGATTGATGCCCTTCTCACTTTATAGTCATTGTCACTTCAGAAAGCAGATATGAGGATAAAGAAACTTTATGTTACGTCATTTTACATTCTTGGCTTCATAATTAAAAACATCATTTTAAAGTAGAGATTATATATTTGTCGGTTGCCAGCTTTTCGGATTGTTGCATTGTTCAAAGGTTAACTTTTGGTACTTTAAAAAATTATTATAATTTATTTAACAATCTAGGAAGTTCACAGTCATCAGCAATTCTGGTGCAATTTGAGGTGCAGCTGGGAATTTGAGAATCTCTGTGGAGCTGTTAGTGTAGTGACCATTGTATGTAACATATATGCATATATATTTTTTAAAAGACAAGGTCTTGCTCTGTTACCCACTCTAGAGTGCAGTGGTGTGATCATAGCTCACTGCAACCTTGAATTCCTGGGCTCAAGGGATACTTCCACCTCAGCCTCCTAAGTAGCTGGGACTACAGGTGTATGCCACTGCACCCAGCTTATTTTTAATTTTTTTGGGAGAGACGGGGTCTCACTCTGTTTCCCAGGCTGGTCTTGAACTCCTGGGCTCAAGCAATCCTCCCACCTAGGTCTCCCAGACTGCTGTGATTATAGGCTTGAGCCACAGCATGCAGCTTACATGCATACTTTTGATAGCACATGTGAAGAGATTTCTCTAAAACTGACCTCACTGATTTCATTTTCAGCAAGCTGACCTGGGCCACTCAACATAGCCTTTATTGTTATTGATGTTACTGCATATTCTCTTTTTACAATAACTTTGTGACCACTAGATGATATCAATTTGACATACATGGCATCAGGGCCTTCACAGTCACCATAGGTTTTTTTCCTTCCATCTATATGTTCTTATCAAATTCTACATTGCTTCACCAGGAACTTTAGTAGTTTCTTGGCAGCCCCACAGCCGCTGCAGCTGTGTCCATGTGCACTGCCACAATCACTACTCCAGGGCTGCCCCCCTACTCCCAGCTGCCTGCCCCCACGGGTTCCTGACTTTTGGTGCTTTATCCTTGATTTCTGCCACATTAAAGCCATAGGAGCCAGGGGTGGGCTTGATGCATTCAGGTGACATAGTCCGCCTTGGATGAGAAATAACAAATTCCACATTTTATTCTTTTAGCAAAGGAGCAATAATGAATTAACTTTTTAAACATTCTTTATTTAACACTCATGATCCTAAGTATGGTGGAAAACATAATAAACATTAAAGCAACATTTGCCAAATATGTCAAATCTCATCCCAAACATCAATGAGACCAAATATTTTAAATTCCTAGCAGATGGTGCATTTATTTAGAGGTTCCCATCCTTTTTAACTACAGAGATCTCTTTACAATGTCAGACAATTTAATGGATTCTCAGAAGAGTATCTGAAGTTTTAATGAAAATTCTGATGATTGAGAAAATATCTGATGAAAACCTATTATGGATTCGGCAACTCCTTTTTTGTGTGTGTTTTTTTTTGAGACAAGGTCTCGCTCTGTCACCCCGGCTGTAGTGCAGTGGCACGATCTCGGCTCACTGCAACCTCCACCTTCTGTGTTCATGTGATTCTCCTGCCTCAGCCTCCCAAGTTGCTGGGATTATAGGCGCGCACCACCATGCCCAGCTAATTTTTGTATTTTTAGTAGAGACAGGTTTCACCATGTTGGCCAGGCTGGTCTCAAACTCCTTACCTCAAGTGATCCACCTGCCCATCTCAGCCTCCCAAAGTGGTGGGATTACAGGCATGAGCCACAACGCCCGCCTCAATAACTCCTTTACATGAATTTACAAATAATTAATTACAACATTGTAGATTGTTACACTGTCCACAGAAAATCAAACCTCCTGGTTCAATTTCTTGACACATTAATTATGGACTTTACTGTGTTAGCACTGTGACCAAGGGGACATCAGTAAACTTGACACAAGCAGTGACTTGCTAAGTACTTGCACACTGGGGTTTGCCTTGGAACCTGGCTGCCGTTATGTGAGGAAGCTGATCTAGTCTTCTTGAGGATGAGCCATCAGCCCAATCACCAGCTTCTCTGCTGATTGAATGCAGCTGTGTGAATGATCCCAGACACAACCAGCAGAACCACTTAGTTGATGCAGAGAATTCTGAGAAATAAAAAATCATTGTTGTTTTAAACCATTAAGTTTTGGTGTGTTTTGTAACACAGTATAGATAACTGAAATATAATGGCATTTACGGAATTTGAAATACAGCAGTATATAAATGAATAAGTGAATACTTTTTCACTCATTCATTAATAAATATTTTTTCCAGGGCCCAGTAAAAGCACATTGTCCAGTCTACCCTAAAGGCTGGCTTTGCACAGGATCTATGGACCCTTTATAAAAATTCTGTGGCCTCAGAAAATCTGAAACCCACAAGTAGAGAAGGAAGTCCCAAATTTGAATAACATTCTATATGGAGCAATTTCTTTTCTTTCTTTCTTTTTTTTTTTTTTGTTTTTTTATATGGAGTTTCCCTCTTGTTGCCCAGGCTGGAGTGCAACAGTGCGATCTTAGCTCACCGCAACCTCCACCTCCCGGGTTCAAGCGATTCTCCTGCCTCAGCCTCCCAAGTATCTGGGATTACAGGGATGTGCCACCACGCCTGACTAATTTTGTATTTTTAGTAGAGGCAGGGTTTCTCCATGTTGGTCAGGCTGGTCTCAATCTCCCGACCTCAGATGATCTGCCCACCTTGGCCTCCCAAAGTGCTGGGATTACAGGCGTGAGCCACCGCGCCCAGCCTTATATGGAGTAATTTCAAAGTTTAGATGAAATCCAGAGAACTGTATAACAGGAAGAGAACCGTGTGTAAACTGTGGACTTCAGTTAATAATATACTAATATCTAGATTATAATTAATAATGTATCGAATTAGTTAATAACAAACTGTAATAATTTAGCTAATGTATCAGTATTGATTTGTTTATTGTAACAAATGTACTATACTAATGGGAGATGTTATTAGTGGAAACTGCTGAGGTGTCAGGGGAAGAGAGGGAGGGGAAGTCTATGGGGACTCTGTACTCTGTTCAAGTTGTCTGAAAAAATAAAACTGCTCTAAAATTAAAAACAACAACAACAACAACAACAAACTAGACCCACCTTCACCCCCCAACAACAGGTCTATGATGCAAGCCAACATATTACGTTGGTAGTTTGAGCACTGGTTCGTAAACACTGAATTGTGGTTTTGTACCTGCCTGAGCAAATCACTTTTGCTTTGCTCTACTATTTTCTGTACTGTGAGTTCTGGTCCAAGCAGTCTGTGTTAATGTGGACCTTTACAGCTTATAAAGTGCTCTTCATTTTGCAAGTTCTTTCGTGTACATTATCTCATTAAACCTTGCAACAATCTAGGGAGATTTTTTGCTCCAGGTCCCTTGGTGCAGACGTATCCATGAAGGGTCAGTGCAAATCTGTCGCCACTGCTAGACAAAGGATTTTGAACACAGATCTTTCAAGTGGTTGAATGTTTTTATAAACTTGTATTAAAGATGATGCCCTCATAATCTTCAATCTCATAAAGATGAAGAATGACATATTAATAATACAATTGAAAAGGTGATACTCATTTACACATGGAATTAATGCCTTTTCAATTCAAATTTTGGGTCAATTTCTGTTTTGTTCCCTGGAAGTTTTAATTAAGACAGAAAAACTTTAATATGTTGCACCCTTCACAATAACCATTAAAGATTTGGATTTTTCTCTTTTTGAGGCCCCTGTTCCCCCAGGGATATTTTAGCAGGAAGAATGCAATTCAAAGATTTCCAGATGTTACTTCTTAGATGTGTTTCAGCATGCATCTATAAACCTTCTGGTAGCAGCAACAGCTGGATTGGGTCCAAACATAAATGTTCATGCAGGTAAAAGGGTATTAATAGAAAAAATTGAACTGATCAGTGGTTTGTCAACTAAGTTTGTGATACTGTTTAATCATTTGTTGAAATGATCTCTCAGTAGCCAAGACAGGCTTTCAAAATTCTGCAGTCAGGCTTCCTGTATGCTTGAGGGGGTTATTCCTCACCTGTATTATATTCCAAATCTATGGCTGAGTCAGAAATTATTTGTATTTAGTCTCAGAGGATATTTAAGTGGTCTGCAGTATTCCTAACATTGCATTCACATATTAAACATGCTTGCAACTTCGTGCTCTTTCCAACCAGTGAAAGAAAGGGCTGTCCCTGAAATGTGCTGGGGAGCAGGGGTGAACACAATTAGTGGGTCTCTGGAGTGTACACCTTGATCTTTGAGCTTCTTCTGACTCAGGAAACGGCAGTAAACATAAGCGAGGGGCAAGATTCCCACCGCCTCCCCTTGTCCCTGGAATGAAAGATTATATCCCTCAGTCATCTGAATCTGGGACCTCCAACAGGGTAACATCATCTCATTAATTCAGCTCCTCTTTTTTTGGAAGTTGTGATAATTATGCCAAGAGCTGAGCTGAACTTTTCCTTGCTATAGATCAAGTTTTAATTCTGCAAATTAACAAAAATGAAGACAATTTATAGAAAGTATTAAAATTAATAACAACTTTTGCAGGAAGAATATTCAATCTGCATTTTAAAAAAGTACTTCCAAGTACCTGAAAAGTAGTTGATTTCCCAATTTAAAAATGGTAATAGCAAACATTTATTAAGTACTCACATGTTAGTTATTTTACTAATAATTTATAGAGTATCTAATTACCACAGTGAACCTATGGGTTCTCTTATTAATCCTAATTGTGTAGACAAGAAAAGTGAGCCATAGGGCATTATGATATGTGCCCAAATGAACAGATCTTGTAAATGACAGTTGAAATGGGATTTTAAATGAGGTGGATTGATCCTAGATCACAGACCCTTAAACAGTCAATTATTCAATTATAATATCACACAATTATTGTCATTAATTCATTCATTCAACAGAAGCTTCTGAAGTACTAGAGAGTCACAGTTCAATACGGCTCAGTCCCTCCTCTTAAGAAGTTTGCAGCTGGTGGATGAGACCAGCAAATAAATAAACAATGGGAAGACAGAACAATACATGCAACAATAGATAAATACATAATGTGTGCTGTGAAAGTACCAATGGGGTTGGTCAAATCAATAAAGAAGGCTTCTGAGAGAAAAATTAACTTTGGGAGGAGTCTGTGATGGTTATAAAGAGAAGAGGGGAAGGGCTTAGTAGGAATGTGCAGAAGCATGAGATAGCCATCTGGGAGCTTCCCTGGACTTTCCTATCTTATTTCCTGTGACTTTGAGTTTTATTCATTCTGTAATCTGGGGAAGAAATAGGAGGACTTTAAGCAGGAGGGCAGAGGGTACAGGTGGAGACAGGATCAGAATGTATTTTAGAAGAAAGTATTTGGAGGCTGGGTGTGGTGGCTCATGTCTGTAATCCCAGCACTTTGGGAGGCTGAGGCGGGTGGATCACTTGATATCAGAAATTTGAGACCAGCCTGGACAACATGGTGAAACCCTGACTCTACCAAAAATACAAAAATTAGTCGGGCATGGTGGTGTGTGCCTGTGTTCCCAGCTACTTAGGAGGGTGAGGTGGAAGAATCGCTAGAGCCTGGGAAGTTGAGGCTGCAGTGAGCTGTGATCATGCCACTGTGCTCCAGCATGGGTGACAGAGCAAGACCCAGTCTCCAAAAAAAGAAGAAAGCATTTGGATAGTTTTCTAATTGTTGTGAGAATCCAGGTCAGGTGTGGTGAGGGGCAGAATTAAAGTAGTGGCAGTGGATGTGGGAGGGGTGGGTAAGAAAGAGGAGGAATAAACAGGTCTTGGGACTTGCTGACTGTGGAGCAGAGAGGGTGAAGGATTGGGTGGTTCAGGAGAGATGTGTCTAGGAGGAGCCATTCATTTCTGGCTGGAGCAGTTGCATGAGTGGTAGATGCCTCTCTCTAAGACCAACCTCAAAGGAGAGTGAGGAGAAGGAGGTTTGGTGGAAAGGGGGTGCGTTCATTGTTTGGTCATGGCAATTTTCAACTTTGAATGTTGTCTTAGTCCATTTTGTGCTGCTATAACAGAATACCTGAGACTGGGTGATTTATAAAGAACAGAAATTTATTGGCTCCTAGTTTTGGAGGCTGAGAAATCCAATAGCAAGGTGTTGACAACTGGCAAAAGATGCTGCATAATTCCAAAAAAGAGAGTGATAGAGAACGTTCCTTTTATAGGAGATCCACTATCACAATAATAAACTCTCTCCCTTGATAATAGCATTAATCCGTTCATGATGGCAGAGCCCACATGGCCTAATAACCTCTTAAAGGTCCAACCTCTTAACACTGTTGCAATGGCAATTAAGTTTCAACATGCATTTGGGAGAGGACAAACTTTCAAATTCCAGTAAATAGGGCACTGAGTAAGCTAATATTTTATAAAGTGCTTAGAACAGTGCCTGCCACATAGTATATAAGTGTTTGCTGAATAAAAGTTGAGCTGTCCAGTAGACAATTAGATTCCACCCAGGGGAGAGGCCCGGAGATGGAGACATGATCAGGGGCTCATCAGCATAAAGATGGTGGTGGCCACACGGGCCTATAGAGAGGTACCCAACAGGGCTGTACTGCATAAAGAGAGCAGAGGACTGAGGACAGACCTCAAGGCTATGCTCTCTAATGAAAGCATGGCCCCAGGGACATGGGGCTTGGCAATGAAGATCAAGAAGGTGGCAGTGAAGTGAAGCCAAGGCCCCAGAGCCCAAGGAGTCCAACACATTTCAAGGCAGAGGAGATGGAGAGGGAACACACAGAGAGGTGTGAGGAGAAATAGGAAGAAGTGTTGTTTCGGAAGCAGGGCAGGAGGCGATCGTAAGCAAAAGAAATTAATTAATATTATCAAATGACTTACAGGGCCAGATAAGATACAGGCAGAAAATTGCCTGTTGGACTGAAAAGTATGGAGAGCATCAGTGAACCTAATGAGGATAGCACTGATGAAAGGGACAGCAGTAAGGAATGAATGAAAGGAGATGAAATGGACACAGATAAGTTCCTCAAAGAGTTTGAATGTGGCATAATAGAGAGTGAAGACAAGATTTGGATGCAGATGTAAGATTGAGGGAGGTTGGTTGGTTTACATTTTTAAGATAGAAGAGTCTTGAGCCTCTTCATTGGCTGAGGATTAAGACAGGAGATGGGAGACTGATTGAGCGAGGGGGCAGAAGGGGATGGGACCCAGAGTTCAGTGGAGAGATGAATATGGCTGGCAGAGGAGGACCCCGAAAGGAAGACAGATGCCAATGGACCAGTGGTGGCCTGAAGGAAGTTGCCTGTTGGACACCCCATTCAAAGTAGCTTGCTCAGGTCTTATCTCTACAACAGCAGTTCCTCATGGGATACTACTACCAATCTTTCCTTTTGGAAAATCTCTCCACTTGTTACTGTTATACAGGGATGGGCTGGTTCTCCTCCTCCCTCTCAGAATGAGTTGGTTTTACCTTCTCCTCAGTGCTTCTTTTGACCTCCCAGTTCATGGGTGTGCCCTGAAGAGTCATCCTTAGCAGTGTTCTCTATCTCAGCATTCTCTTTGGATAGTGGTATTCATGCTTTCAGAGTTACCTACCACTTCCCAGATAGCCTCTCCACCGGAATCTCCCCATATTTAGTTACTTCTTTCCAGCCTACTTTATGCTTCACTCCAAGATTGACACATTTCAAGTGTTCGTACTAGGCTTTTCCCTTGCTCAGAAATTCTTGGTGACCAAATTCAACCTATGCTTCCAAACCCACTTTCTACCACTTGGGAATTCTGCCTGTCTCAATTATCAGTGCAGGGTTCTTTGCTCCCGTCACCCCTCTTGCCTCTCACCATCCCTATCCTTAGTGCATTTTAGCATGATAAGGAATCAAAGCTATGAGAGGCAATCGGTTTACTAGGAGAGACACCAGCTTGCCTGGTAGAGGCTGCTCTTTAATGAAAGCATAGCTCCAGGGACATGGGGCTTGGCAACAAAGGTTAAGAAGGTGGCAGTGAACTTAAGCCAAGGTCCTAGAGGCCGAGGAGTCCAACATGAAGGAGGAAGACTAGAGGGGAAAGAGACCTCCCAGTAACTCTTTGAGGGAAAGGCAGCTCTACTCCAAGGTAACAGTGAAGAAATGTTTGTTCTGACTTCTGGATACCTAGTATACCCATGGTTGACAACAAGTTAGGTCTTTCTGGAAATGGACTACAAGTTTGTATTTTCCACCATGATGGGTTGTATCAGTAGGACACTCCTGCCCTCTAATTGGACTGAACAGCTCAGAGTGTCCTATACACACTCCAGGCCCCCCTCCTTCTGTGTCTCTACCCATGCTGCTCCCTTTTTCAGGCCTCTTTCACACACTGCTGTGCTCTGTCAATCCAAGCCAGCTTCAGAAGCCAGCTCAAGTGCCAGCTGATGCCAGCTGATGGATCACTGTCATAGCCCAGGGGTCGAATTTAGTATGAAAGTGAACAAAGTGTGTGGCAGTAGGCTGGGAGTGGGAGAAGTGGTCTGTTACATATTTTGAAAGATTTAACAACCAAATGCATCTTTGATTGGATCCCCATTTCTAAAAATGTTACAATATATATTCTGGAAATAATTGGGGAAGTATTAACATGAACTAGATAATAAATGATATTAAGGAACTATTAATTTGGTTACTGCATAATATTGCTGTAATTATATAAACAATGACAACTTTTAGAGATGCTTGGTGAAGTATTTGGGAATGAAGAACCAATATGTCTGTAATAGTTTAGCAAATAGATATGTGTGTGTGTGTGTACATGTGTACATATTATACATACATATATATGCATTCATGTTATAGTATGCCAGAGTGCTGATAATTGGAACTAGCTAGTAGATTCTTCATTATGCCATTCTTTTTACTTTTCTGTATGTTTAAAAATTTTTATAATAAAATTTTAAAATAAAGGAGTAAAGAAGTGACACAAGACTTCTTGGCTAGGTAGAGTCAAGAAACTAGGACTAGGATGGCCTGAGTCCTGCCATCATGCCAACAGAGTGGTTCTTGAGCTTGGGTGCAGGCCCCTCACCTGTGGCGATGCTATTTCTCTTCTTAATGGCGAGAAGAGAAAATGAAAGAGGACATCTTCATTTTTTTTCACTTCGGAAATTCATTTAATATTTGATAAAAGCTTACTCTGTTCCAAATACATCCACACATACTCACTTATTTAATTCTCACAATAATTTTGTGAAGTGATTTTTGTTCTTGCTATTCCCATTTCATAAGTGAAGACAATGAAGCCCTGAATTTCAGTGATTTTCTTTATATCACAGAACTAGTACATGGCAGAGTGAGATTCGATCCCGGTTCTGCAGACTCCAAGTCTTGGATCATCCTAAGCCCCTGCATTGTCCTTTCTGAAATTATAAAGATCAAAGCCCTCAGGCCAGAGCCGTAAGCCTGTGGAGCTGGTCCTTGACTGGATTCATGGGAAAAGCCCCTACTTGGGCCATCCCAAGCATCCTTTGGGTATGATACTTTGCAACAATAGACCATCAGACCTATCTGGAGGACCACAGTGTTTCCTTGCTTCATCACAGCATCTCCTGAAATTGAGAGTTTGCCAACCGCAATGTATAAAAATGTTTGATGAACCCCTGTCTAGCCACTGGGTCAGCATGTACCACACAGGGACTCCTCTGATTGCACCAAGGAGGAAGTGCTATCAGCGATTTCCAAAAGCAGCAAGGAAATCCATCTGCAGTTGGTAGTCAGGTTCTCATAAAAGAGTGATTTCTGAATATGAGCAGATAACAGACACCTGACCACATAAAGGGGGAAACAGACTTTTAGGCAGACGTTGAGTTGCGACGTTGGGGAATGATGACTGATTAGTGAACCACAGAGTGGGACATGCTTGGCTCCTCAACTGAAGCAAAGAGGAGCCGTGAGGCTGGAAGGTGAACCAAAGAAGGCGGGAGGCATGAAGTGTCAGGATCTATGAACATCTGGGGATGCTTAATAGAGAGGAAATGTAGACCTCCCACACGGTAGCACTTTTATGAGCTCTGATTATACACTAGGGTACAGAAAAAAATAACAGAAACTAGCACACTGGTAAATAAGAAATCTTCTTGATCTGTAAAACATGCTGCTTTCTCAAATCTTTCCCCTTCACACAACATATTTCAGAGGCAAATGATGCTGAGTGTATCAATGTGACAGGAAGGAAGCTAAGTGGGTATCTAGACATTGACATCTCCTGAAGGGCCAAGGCAGATGGCAATGCCCCAGCCAGCTTAGTGTCCTGAGGCACTAAGGGGAGTGATGGCCCCAATGTTCCTTTGGGAAATCTGCAAAAATGTAATTCTGATCTTTCAGTCTCAGAACCAGCACATGAGTTGGGAGGGCAGGGTGGGAATGGAGGGTGAAAGATGAGGGGGAGAGGGAGCAGGGCCTCAGCTTACTCATCCACTCACTCTTCATTCATTCATTCATTCATTCAGTACAATGTGAAGGTGTGTATTCTGGAGTCAGGCACAACTTCATTAAGATCTAAGGCCTACAGCTTGAGAGCTCTATGAACTTGGGCAAGTTACTTAGTCTGTTTAGACCTCAGTTTCCTCCTGTGATAAAAGGAAGTCCCTGACTCATAGAAGTATAATGAGGACTAAAATTCACCGCCTAGTAACATAATAACACCACTGGGTCTGGCAGGTAATGGGTGACCAACCAACATATGCTACAATTGTTGCTGTGTCTTTCAATAACCAGGTGACCAGCTCTGTGCTAGTTGCTCAGTGCATGAAGACGGTGGACTTGGAGACACAATTTTACCCTCCACTTGTGGAATGACACCTTGCCAAACTTTTTTTCCAGG
The DNA here is from genome assembly GCF_000001405.40 of Homo sapiens. Classification (NCBI taxonomy): domain Eukaryota; kingdom Metazoa; phylum Chordata; class Mammalia; order Primates; family Hominidae; genus Homo; species Homo sapiens. Next base: position 115,546,847 of record NC_000001.11, on the reverse strand, counting down.
CCTATATTTTTCTTCCCTTCTATTTTTCTTCCCACTTTCCCATATACAGAAAAGTTCATGAATGAAACAGAGAAAAGAAGACCTATGGTCAGAGAAGAGATGAGAAAATAGAAAACTTCTAGCATTCTATTTGTACCTGGCACACAGTAGGCACTTGATGATTGAATAAATAATGTGCTCCCAGGGACCAAATTTTCAGGAGAATGAACACTTTTACCTAATTTTCTTGGTGTTTTCATTAAAATGAAGTCACTCATTTGGAATTCAGGGGTTGTAGACTGATGGCTAATGGATCAGTTCTGGCCTAGCAACATGTTTTGTTTGATCTGCAAAGTATTTTAAAAATGGGAAAATGTCACATAAAAACCCATGTTTCTGGCTTCTACTGGAAAATGAGAAAATCTGGCAACCCTGGGCCTGCATTCCCCCACAGGAATGGTCAGAGGGATTGAGGGAAAGGCTGCCCGCATTCCATGGGACTTTCCCTCCCTATGGCCTTGGGCACCACTGCCCTCTAGTGTATTACAGCCTCCTGTGGCTAGGGCACTTCCTCCTGCGTATGTATTCCAAGCAAGGCAGTTTCACTGGGTTGTTTTGGTCATCTTGTGAGGGATCGCAGGTGAGGAATGTGGAGCAGGGAGGCCTCCTGGCACAGCCCTTTCTCAGCCCCACACTCACTCCCAGCCCTGTGCTCCTTCCCGGGGGCCTCTCTGCTTGGGCTTTGAGCCTGGATGACTGACTGAGATTTCACTTTCCATCCAGATATGTTGGCCCCATGTCAACACCGCTGACACCACCCTTCCTTTATGATTACTCCCCTTCTGGGCAACAAGAAAATGATTGAATGACAATTATTGTGGCATCTGATACAGGGGTAATTTCCCTCTGGTTAGCAAACCACATGATGGAACATAACTGCAGATTCTTCGCATACCTTCACCATGACTGAGAGTGATCCCACAGCCACGGCTTTACTGATTCTGAGATCAGAGCATTCAAAGCGAAGACAGAGGGTGCATCACCCTCCCGTAGTGCTGTGGCCTTCAAGCTTGCCCTGTCTTTTTGTTATCAATGATCAGTAGTACACTTTTATTTATTTTTTTCTTAAATGAACTCCAAAGAGACCTGATGAAACTAGAGCTTACCTTGGTCCTATATCCTCGGATCCCAGGAGGCCCAGAGAGCCCAGAGAGCCCAGATGGAAAAACAGTTGCCTCGTCTCTTTTACAAAAGGGGGCCTGAAGAGGGAACGAGACTTCTCCAGGCTCACGGAGGGAGTGAGGGGCACGGGGCACTCAGAGCGGTCTCATTCCAGGTCTGACGCCTTTCGCCTGTGCCTGCTGTCCTGAGTGATAGTCCCAGAGTAGCACCAACAGCCGGACCTCTGGCCTGTGGCTCCTGTGGAGCAGATACAGGCTTCACTTTGCAACATTTGAGCCAGGTCCCTGTTTGGCTGAGTGACAGCACTTTGGCAACCATCACTCTGAATTTCTGGTTTCTGGGTCTGTCAAGCCTGCTTTCTGCTGTCTCCACGGGGCAAGCAGCCTCCTCAATGGCTCCCGGGGATCCTGCCGCCTTTGCATTCCCCTCCAACACTGTCCCAGGGTTGGTCTGTGTCCTCACACGGCAGAGAGAGGAAACAAGCTCTCTTGGGGAGATATTACTTCCACTCAAGCGGGCTGTGCCCTCATGACTTCATCTTATCCTAATCACCTCCCAGAGACCCTGCCTCCTGCTATCGTCACATTAAGGGGCAGGGTTTCAAAATGTGAATTTGGGGGGACACAAGCATTCAGACCATAACAGGCATCCTTAGGAAAAATTCGAAATACAAGCAAAAATTTAAATGTTTGTCTTCCTACAGCTAAAATATGATTCTGAGGACATTAAGGGAAAGTTGGAATTAATCTGTGTTGTTTACAAACATCAGAATTAACCAAACCATTGTGTGTATAAAATACCTGCCTCCCACCACACATACACATAACGTTTATCAGGGGTTTTTTTTTTTTTTTCCTTTTTAAAGAGCTGCATATGGAACCAAAGATAATTTGTTAAAATTGAGATACAATTCATATATCAGAAAATCACCATTTTATTTTATTTTAATTAATTTATTTTTGAGACAGAGTTTTGCCCTTGTTGCCCAGGCTGGAGTGCAATGGCACGATCTTGGCTCACTGCAACCTCTGCCTCCTGTGTTCAAGCAATTCTCCTGCCTCAGCCTCCCAAGTAGCTGGGATTACAGGCACCCGCCACCATGCCTGGCTAATTTTTTAATATATATATTTTTAGTAGAGACAGGGTTTCACCATGTTGGCCAGGCTGGTTTCAAACTCCTGACCTCAAGTGATCCGCCCACCTCACCCTCCCAAAGTGTTGGGATTCCAGGCGTAAGCCACCATGCCTGGCTGAAAATCACCATTTTAAAGTATCCACTTCAGTGATTTCTAGTGTCCTCATTATGTTGTGCAACCAACACTACTATCTACTTCTACAACGTTTTTATCATTCCAAACAGAAACCTCACCCTTGTGCCTCCTTCCCACCATTCCCTGGCAATCGCTACTCTACTTTCTGTCTCTGTGGATTTCCCTATTCTAGACATTTCATGTAAATGGAATCATACAATATGTGGCCATTATGTCTGGCCTCTTTCACTTAGCATAATGCTTTCAAGGTCCATTTGTGTCTTAGCATGTATCAGTACTTCATTCCTTTTTATTGCTGAATATTTCATTGTATGGACCGACCACATTTTGTTTATCCATGCATCATTACTGGACATTTGGGCTGTTTACATTTTTGTCTATTTTGAATAATGCTGCTATGAATATTTGTGTACACATTTTTGTGTGAACATATATTTTCAGCTGTCTTGGGTATATATCTAGGAGTGAAATTGCTGGGTCATAGGGTAATTCTAGATTTAACTTTTTGAGGAACCACCAAACTGTCTTCCATAGTGGCTATAACATTTTACATTCAAGATGAATATTGTTAATCTAGCAAACAGTTTAACAACTGGACAAAAATGAAACATTAAACCATGCATAAAATTGCGACCTAGAAAAATTTACATCATATATTCAAGTCTCTACTTTTGACTTTTCATCATTTACTATGTGGCTTAGCATTGCAGACTTAGGTCTAACAGTTGTAGTTGAGCTTACTAGTTGTATCCTGATAACCATTTTTCCCTTTTTAGTAATCAATTTCTTAATTTTAAGCTGGTCACTTCACTGCCCAAAACAAAGGTAACATTTTTTAGCTTCCCATGCAGCTAGTATGGCCATTGACTAAGTTATGGCAAATGACATGCAAGTAGAAGTTTGGTATGTATCGTCTAAAAAACGCCCCCAAAGGAAGGAAACATGCCCTTTCTCCTCATCCTTACTCCTGCTGGCTGGAATGCAGATGGAATTGCTGAGCTCAGGCTGCCACTCTGGACCCAGTGGTGGAAACATTGTGCTAAGGAGGACAAAGCAAGAACACTGCAGATGCCTGAACCCCTAATAGAATTCACTAGCCACAACTTGACTACCTCTGGACTTCTTCATGTGAGTGGAAAATAAATTTGTATCTAATTTAAACTTTTATTATTTGGAGTTTCTGGTTATACAGCTAAACTTAATCCTGAATGACCAAATTCTTAAGGAGTAGTGGTTAAAAGTACAGTTATTTGGAGACTAACAGACCTGAATTCAGATCCTTGAAAGTAACTGGGTATGGTGGTATGTTCCTGTAGTCCCAGTTACGCAGGAGGCTGAGGCAGGAGGATCTCTTGAGACCAAGCGTTCAAGGCCAGCCTGGGTGACATAACAAGACCCCCATCTCTAAAAAATAAAAATAAAAACAAGTCCTTGAAAGCCTTCCCTTTCCTTCTACTCCCATTCAATCACAGTCCTATGGTTTCATCTTCTTACTCCCTCTCAAGTTTTTCATTTTTTCCATTTTCACCACTACCCCCAAACCACTACTATGTTCTTCTGGGCTTTTAAAATAGCTGGCTGTGTGGTCACTCATCTCCAATCTTGCCTCTCTTCAATGTGTTCTCCACACAGCACTCAGTGTGATCTTCTTAAACTATGATCTGGTTCCTATCACTTCGCTTAGAACTCACCAGTGGCTTTCCATTGATCTAAGGATAAAGACCAAAGTTCTCAAAGGCCTCGCAAGGCTGCCCGTTTTCTCTTTGGGCTTGTCTGGCTTTAGGCCCCTACCCTTCTGTCCATTCCAGCCTCACTGGCCTTCCTTCAGCTCCTTTAATAGGTTGTGCTGTGTCCTACCACACGCTTCGCACAGACTAGCCCCTTGGCTGAGATTCTCTTGCATATTCTGTACCCTCCTGATCTAGTTAACTCCTGGCCACACTATAGACCTCCTAAGAGAAGCCTTCCTTGAGCATCCTGGTTTGTGTCTGTCTCCTCCCTGCACAGGTCTGTGCAGAATTCTGCTCACTATTGTATCCAGCACTGGTCTGGCATACAGCAGGTGCTCAAAGAATGTTTGTTAAATAAATCAATATATGACACCCGCCATGTCTAGTTGTATGAACTTGGCACTTAATGTCTCCGTTCCTCAGTTTCATCATCTGAAAATGGATGCGATGACAGTGTCTACCTCCCAGGGTTCTTGTGAATATTAAGTGAGAAGATGCTGGTGAAGTGTGCTTAATAAATGTTAGCCATCATCATCACTGTCACCATCACTAAGGGTTCTCACTAACCAGGTGTGAGCAAGATGGTTGAACAGAGAGTAAGAGCACCATTTGAAAAGACAAGGAGACTTTCTTCTCCTGATCTCTCAGGGTTACAGGGGATAAAACCATGGCCCCCTGCACATGCCACAGGGAGGCAGAGGAGGCACGTGACTGACACACATGTTTATGTACCTGTAACTGATATGAGATTCTTATCAGCCATAAAGGCCCCATAAGAAGGGTAGATATTAGAGAGACAATAAAATCTAACGGGGAAAAGTCAATTAAGTTCATTCAGGATTAAGTTCAGCTGAGTGTAACTGTTTTCTGTTGTCAGAAAAACCTGAATTCAGACATAAGCTCTGTCAACCCTAGAAAGTCATATATATCCCCCTGAACATCAGCTTTCTCATGTGTGAAATGAGGAGGATAATATAACTTACCTGATAGCACTGTGTTGAGGATTAAATGTGAGAATGCTCCACTGCCTTGTGTATAACAGATGCTCATAAACAGCAGCCAGTGCTAGCTACTGGCGAAGACCCCAAGCACTGTCCTATTTGATGAGCTTGCTCCTTTCCGGGGTGATGAGGTCAGGGTGGTGGGCTGGGGTGCTGGCAGGCAGTGTTCAGGGGCAGCAGCAAAGGCTCTGTCTTGAGCAACACCTCAAACCTAGGCAAGCCAGGTGAGGACAAGCCACGTGAGGTCTCTGGGCCCTGATGTCCCTGGGACCCGGGCCAGGGCCTGTGCTGAGAAGGAGAAGGAGAGTCTGTTGGTAAAGGTGGCCATGCAGGTGCTCATCCCACAGGTGGCTGGCCTCTGCCTCGCTGAGCAGTACTCATCCCTGTGTTTGAGGCCTGTTCACAGGGCCATTTCTTGTCACCTCCCCTAATTAAGTTTCATTCAGTCCCAACACTCATTATTTTCCTCCATCCCCCCACTCCCGCTTCCTGATCTTACCAGAACCAGCAATAAATTCCAACAAAGCTGCCCCTCTTCTTTCTAGGTCCTGTTCCTGTAGGAAGGAGGGAGAAGACAGATGATGAGGAACAAATCTAATAGAGATTCACAGACCTATTCTGTTAGTGGGGACAAGACAGGAAGACCCCCTCGCTCCCTCCACTGAAGATTTTCACAGAGCCTGAAGCATCCTCCTGACCTGGCAAGCAGCCCTGCTGATGCGATTTGCATGTTAAAAAATTATTAAGAATTTCGAGATGGTGATAGCAGAGCATTGAACCAAACGCAGGGCCCTTCTAAGCATAAGACCCCGTGGCAGCTTGCAGGTCATGCCAAGGAAGCTGGTCTTGCCCTGCAAATCTATATTAGTGCAGCTGTCAAGTGAGGCTGCCAGAGAGCTTCCCTGGGAGCGGGAACATCCCCTGAGCTGTGCTAATGATTGGAATGGCAGTGGAAGGAGTGAAGGTGGAGGGTACTCATGGGCAAAACTCCTTGGAAGGCAAAGCCTACGTGTCTGCATGCCCATTTGCCTGAAGGGCCCAGGACTGAGCCCTCATGTGTGCCACCTTCCCGTGTGGGTGGCATGTCCTCATGGGCATCCCCATTTATTATGGTGGGGTGGGAAGAACACAGGCTCTGCTGCTTAGCAGCTAGGTGAGACTACATCGCCCATGGGGATTCCCTTTCCTGGCTGGTTTTTTGTAGTCTGTTATTTTCCTTTATCCCAGCTGAAATCTTTTTTCTCCATCTACTTCAAGAAGGAGGACTCTGAACATTCCACAGTTACAGAGGGCAAGCCAAACACAAGGCACATTCTGTACTGCAGACAGAGGATGGGGCACCTGATGGTAGGTGATATGGTTTGGCTGTGTCCACACCCAAATCTCAGCTTGAATTGTATCTCCCAGAATTACCACGTATTGTGGGAGAGACCCGTGGGGAGGTAATTGAATCATGGGAGCTGGTCTTTCCCATGCTATTCTCCTATAGTGAATAAGTCTCAGGAGGTCTGATGGGTTTAACAGGGGTTTCCACTTTTGCTTCTTCCTCATTTTCTCTTGCTGCCGCCATGTAAGAAGTGCCTTTAACCTCCCGCCATGATTCTGAGGCCTCCCCAACCATGTGGAACTGTAAGTCCAATTAAACCTCTTTTTCTTCCCAGTCTCAGGTATCCCTTTATCAGCAGCATGGAAACTGACTAATACAGCAGATTTAGGAATGCTACCTCCCACTCACTCATATGCTCCCTCCCCTCACAAACACAGAGATCACACACACACACACACACACACACACACTCTCTCACTCTCTCTCTCTCATGGTTTTGACTTACCCAACTCTTCTCTGGAGACAAATCACAAGACCATTTAAAAAGGGAAAGTCAGAAGATGGTATGGAGTATAAAATCTTCCTTTCTGGGACAGCTCTCTTCCCGTCTTCCCCCACCAAGTCTTTGTAAAATTCTACCACCACTCCCAAAAAGAAAACTAAAAAAATGAAACCAAGCAGCCAAAAGTTCCAGACTTTCTCACTCACGGGCTCCAAACCTTGGGGTGGCTGGCTGGGGCCTCTTTGAAGGAATGTACATCTAACTCCTCCATCTGGGGATTGGCCCTAAAACGGAACTTGTGTTTAAGCTGAGGGATTAAAATCTTTCCGAAATACCTGGAGAGATCTGACGATGTAGGGGCTGCATCCATGTGGAATATTCACAAGACATTACTTCACATGGATCACAACAATTTTCAAGTTATAACCAAAACCAAACACCCAATCGTTAGTCACAGTATAATAGTAAAGAAAACAGAAGAAGGCCTGCTAGCTGCCCAGACAAAGATCTCATTCAACTTTCTGATCACACATGTTGAAATCTTCATCCTCTCGTAACTCTTGAAATTGCCTCAGCACGTTATGGGGCCAGGGATCACTCCCTCTGGACGCTTACACAAATAGCCAAGTTCCTTAGGTGAGGGTCATCATTGGGTTTGCTTCCTACCAGATGGTTTCCAACCGCCTGGATGTCATCCCTCCCACCTCCTCGCCTGCAGCTGAAGTGACCACTCTCGCAGCCAATTCCACTTTGTCTCTTATAAGCCTCACCCTTGGCAACTCTCCTAAGAAAAGTGAAACTTGACAATGGAGTTTAAATTAAAAATAATTAGCAATAAAAAATCAAGTTAGGAGGCACATAGAAAGTGCTTGATAAGTACTTGAATGAATGGATGAATTTACCCCATTAATTAAATACTTAAATTTACCCCATTAATAAGAAAAAAAAAAACCCTATATTGCAAGGTTTTTTGAAATTTGTTCCTTGGAACACCAGCTCCAGAATCAGCCGGTAGGTTTGGTAACACTACAGATTTCTGGGTCCTTCCCCAGACCCACTCAATTAGAGCCCTTGAGGGACATGACTTGCTAACAAACTGCTCACAAACTCCTCAGGGAATGTCTTGGTTAGCAAAGTTTGCACAGCAGTGACCCACAGGCACTGTAGCCTCATGAATTCTGAGAAAAGACTGTCAGTCAAGGAGTTCTGCCATCATGATTAATGTCAAGTGGTTCATTTCCTTGAATAGTGGTCTGGGGAAATATTAATAGATACTCACTTTAGTTTGTGGGCTGGTTAAATCAAAAAAAGAAAGCCTAGAAGAGCCAAAGGACTCATAAAAGCAAGTGAATGAAATACGCAACTTCGCTTTTTCAGTAAGAGAGAACTCAGTGACTGCTAGTACCCAGAGGAAAACAGATGATGTTTAACAACACGTTAAGATGGTGCCTGGTTAGTGGTAATTTCACAGAGGACTCCTGGTTTTACTTCTTCTAGACAGCAGGCAGAGAGCAGGGGTGGGGGAACTTGCTTACAAGAAAGGATATAAAATCACTCATTTTACCTCAGTGTGAATTTAAAACGCTTAGTCCTCAAGGGTGTTTTCACCTTAATCCTTATCTATAATTGTGAATAGAAGTTAGTCCCTGCTTGAAAAGATGTAGACATCACTGGTGTTAACCTTAAATAATGAGATTCAAAGAATATGATTGGGGCCAGGTGTGGTGGCTCATACCTCTAATACCAGCACTTTGAGAGGCTGAGGTAAGAGGACTGATCAAATCCAAGAGTTCAAAACAAACCTGGGCAACATAGTGAGACCCCCTCTCTACAGAAAAATTTAAAAATTAGCTGAGTGTGGTGGCAGGCACCTGTAGTCCCAGCTACTCAAGAGGCTGAGGTGGGAGGATTACTTGAGCTTGAGAAGTCAAGGCTGAAGTGAGCTGTGATTATACCACTGCACTCCAGCCTGGGCAACAGAGTGAGATCCCATTTGGAAAAAAATATATGATTCAGAATGGAGTTTTTTCTAGTGCAAAGCTTTAGGATGGTCACTTGGAAACACCAACTCCAAATGAATGGGGTCAGCAGTCATTTGGAGTACAGAAGTGGAGAAGTTAAGGTTTCACTTATGTAGGCAGACAGAGAAGTTCCAGCAAGATTGCATTTTCCATATAAGACCAGTGCATACACCACAGCAATTTGATTGGTTGCAGATTGCTACATTCCAAGGAAGATTACCTTATTACTCCATGAGGAGGGGCAGTGATATGAAGGGGTCTTATCTCTGGTGCCACTTGTTCTTCCTAATTATTTACAGATATGAAAGGCAGAAATTGTAGCTACTGAGTACATGATTCAGGCTGCATAGCCACATTCCTCCCAAGGCTCAGAATAATGAAAAGTTCTAACAGCTTTATATTTGAATTATTTTAAGTTTGAATTATTTAATTTCTAACTGAGTAGGATGAGCAAGCATTTTGAGATGCAAAGGGACAGATTGTTCCTTGTGGCCCAGAGACTAGTGAAAAATAGAAAAGACCTATCACAGCACTTATCATACAGTACAGTTGAAGGAGAATATTCTACTTCCCCTCAAGATACACTTCTTTGACATATTTTGAAATGTCCGTTCATGTTACTGGTGGCAAATATCTGAGTCTCATGGCAGGTATCTGACTTACCGGTGGCGAATCCATATGGGTCTGCAGCAACCTCAACTCTTGCCTCCTCAGAAGAGAGAATTCGACTGAGGGGAATAGCCAGAAAAAGAGACAAAGGCAAGTTTCAGAGGAGGAGTGGAAGTTTATTTAAAAAGACCTTAGAACAGGAAAGAAAGAAAAATACACTTGGAAGAGACCCAACGAGGCATCGAGGTCAAGAGTGGTGTTTAACCTTGATCCCAGGACTTTATAGGCTGGCCGACCTCCTGCTTCTCACGTCCCCCTTTCCCATGATTCTTCCCTTAGGGTGGGCTGCCTGCATGTGGAGTGCCCTCCTTATGCTTGGGAAGTGAGCACACGCAGTGTATTCAGGAGGTTGTACACAGGCACATCTCAGGTCTTCTTCTCTTTTCTGGTGGACTGCCCCCGGAAGGTCATGCTCTGCCATTTTGTCTCCTAATCTACGTGTCTAGACTCATTCACCCAATACCTGAGATTTTATTGGAAGTTATTTTTGCTTCTCCCTGGTGCCTGCTGCCAAATTATCATCTGTAGAGAAGCAATGTGCTAATCGTTGAATCATCACCTGACATTCCTGGTGGGTTGAGGAGAGCCCTCTCCTGCCCAGCTCATGCCTGTCTAACTACCTGTAACATTCAGAGGGTCTGCAAACAGAAGCAGCTCTGTAAAACTGTGTGTTGAGGCGGTGATTTGCATCTGTAGAGAATCTACATTGATGCAGCCAGGCTTTGTCAGATCTAGGAAAGATTGGCCAAGAGTCTGACACCTTTAAAAGCCTAAAATAAACATTTACCATCTATTCTTTCTGAGGGCTGAGGCCTGTGAGGTTTCATCCACAGAACAAGATCACCTTTGCTAGCCAGGCCTCCTCTTCTCCCCCTCCTGTAATTAGTTTTGCCATGATCCAGACACCTATTAGTTCTGTAACCTCGACATGGCATAAGTGGGTCAATCATTTGCCTTTTTAAGAGATCTTATTTTGTAAGACGCCTATAGCATGTTAATAGAATGTGTGCTTTTTCTTGTATTAGTCTACTTTTTGTCAGTTGATTTTCAGTGAACTTTCAGAGGATGAAGGGGACTTGGCCCTTACACAGTATTATAATAATCTGTTTATTTGTCTGATGTCCCATCTTTGGTATAGCCCTTAAATGCAGAGATCATGCTTTATTTATCTCTATTTATGTTTAGTATCTATAGAATTGGCATATAATAGGCACTCATTAAATATTTGTTGAGTGGATGAATAGAGCAGTGATTAAAAGAATGGAGAGGGGTAGGGGGATAAGCCAACCAGACCATGACTAAAGTGTTAATAATCTAATCACCTTGAACTTAATCAAACGCTTAATGGAGGGTTACCAAGAAGCAATAACTCTTGGAGGTGTGAATAGGAGAGATGTGTTCATAAAAAGCAGTGAGTCCTTTCTATACCTGCAGGCCTTTAAAGACAATATGGCAGCTCTTAATTTTGCACATAAAATATATGGAATAATCATTTGAAATAGTGATTTTACTGTAATATAAAAACCATTTGATGTATTTTTAATGAATAGAAATGAAATTCTAGGCAGGGCGTGTTGGCTCATGCCTATAACCCCAGCACTTTGGGAGGCTGAGGCAGGATGATTGCTTGAGTCCAAGAGTTCGAGACCAGCTTGGGCAACACAATGAGATACTGTCTCTACAGAAAGAAAAAAATAAAAGAAGAAAAAATTCTAAACCATTAATTATGCTGTGTGGTGAATTGGCTATTGTTCAAAATGGCCAAAAGAGTAGCTTCTTCTCTTCTCCTGAACATATTGTACAACCCCTTTTCCCTGGCCATAGTTGCTTGTCCAGAGATAGGCATGAACAAAGCATAATGAAACAGGAAATTTTCCTTGATCCCTTCTCAAGCCTTGTGACAGGGGTGCCTCACTTACTCAGCCCGCAGCTTTCAACCCCTCGTGGGAGGGGGAGCATGCAGGTGAGCAGGTGCAGAAGCTGGAGTGAGTGCTTTTGGGTACTGGAAGGAGCAAAACTCCGTGTAGCCTGATGGCGGTGTCTACGGGACTACCTGTTACCCCTGAAGCACCAGAGGGAGTGTGTTACAGTGCTCTTTTAGCTTTGCTGTCTGCAGACAGCTTCAGTGTTTAATAGCTCAGTGGACCCTCTGCCTTTTCATGAGGGCAGATGGTTAGTGTGACAGTTTTCTGTATCCCAAGCTCTTGTCTGGTGTCCAGGAAAAACCAGGTTGCACAAATTCAAGGATAGTAAATGTGGGGGATTTTATTGCTGATGGAAGTGGCTCTCAGTGAGAGGGGGAGCTGGAAAGGGGATGGAGTAGGAAGAAGGCATTCTTCCCCTGATGTCCCAATGTCAAGTTGTCCCTCTGAAGTGAAGCTGCTTCTCTCTTATGTCAAACCAGAGTCTTCAATGTCCAGCTGCTTCTCCTCTTCTCCCCTTCTCTGCTGTCTGCCAGTGGAGCCTGGGGTTTTTATGGGTACAGGATTAGGGGTGGGGTGGTTTTGGAAAAGGCAACATTCAAGCAGGAAAATGGATGTAAAGTTCTCACTTTGGTCTGCGGTTCCAGGCCTGTGGGTGGGGTCCTGGCCAGGGACCCTGCCCTTTTCTGCCTAGAATTTTTCTGTCTCCTGTTCTCATCACTAAGATGGACCAATGGGAGCATCTTCCAGAAATTACTTTGTGAGCCTCAGATCTCTGGGTGTAGAGATGTCAGCCTATAGGATGACTGTATCACAGTGCAAAATAAATGGATGCCAACTTGCAAAGGAGCTTGATGGGCAACCCTGGGGCCCTTCTGTGGCAGACCAGGTCTCAAAAAGGCTGAACAGGCAGGACTCCTTAACAACTGTTTCAGCACTGACTGAATGGTTAGGTTAAATATTAAAGGCTGAGAGAGCCAGAGTCTTTACATAGAGGCTGGAATGAGTAATAAAGGCCCACCAAGAGTCTCGCTCAGGCTGACATGGGCCTTGAAGCATGACAAGATAAGAAAGGAATTCTTACCAGGACCTGTTTAGGATTAAACAAATTTTACTGGGGGTCTGAAGAAACTCCCCAGACCTCCACAAACAAATTTTATTAAGAACTCCCCAAACCTCCATGATTTAGCAGGAGACAAGATAAGGGTAATCACTCCCGGCACCTGGACCCATCTAGATTAAATTTACTGAGGCTCTGGAAGAGGATCTTCAGGACTCAGACCTTAGTTATAGATTAGAAAAAGTTACTCACTTATGTCTTTAGATGAATGCACACTTACACGTAGACTTAGAAGGTACATGAGCTTTGGAAAACTTTGTAATTTTGAGCTGGTCTGGCAATATTTTCCTGGCCTTCTCCCTGAAGCTGGTTGCAGAAATAAACTCTCTTCTTTCCCAGTTCATCTGCATCTCATTATTGGGCCATGAGAATAAGCAGCCTGACCCTTGGTTACGTCCAGGAACACTTCCTGCAGGCAGATGAAACCTCTGTCTGACGAACAAGTTTGAATAGGTTCTGCAACCAGAAGAATCCTGATATACTCAGCTAGATGCCCCAATTTCAGGTGAGGTTAGTTCTATTCTTGCTATGAAGGATGACTTTATTGCATTTACATGTATTATCATTGTCCTCATGCATTCATTAGCATCCAGCTGTTAAAACAAGTAGCTCCCCCTGTAATTAAACTTCTTTTGGAACCAAACACAAATGGCTTATTTTCAAAATTCAGGTTTGTTTTGAAAAATACAGTTTTATTTTTTGTCATTGCAATATTTTATTTTGACAGTTCAGGAATTCAGTTTGAAACTTTCAAATGACTATCTGCATTAATATATTTCCTAGGCTATGTTAATCAAATTGTGGTCTCTGTTTTTTACGTATCTTTTGTCCTCTAGGACCCTTTACAGCTGGCTGCCTTAGCTTAACTACTTTACAAAGGATATCTTTCCTTTTCTGTAAACCAAATAAATACAGAGACTGCACTGAGCTGCTGCCCTCCTTTCATGAATTTCTTAAATCTGTGCCACATATTTCTGTTTCATTTCTGCCAAAAAGACTGGAGAAAACCAGAAGTAGTGAAACAAATAATATCTATGTAAAGAACATGATTTTTTTTGTTTGCATGCAAAAGTAGTATTTACCATCAATTATCAAAACTATCAAGAAAGTTAATTCAATCATAGGCCAAATAAAGAAACATTTTCTGTAATAAGAAAGGTGATTGATAGTTCTCTAGATTTCATTTATCAGCCCAATCTAGATTGTTATCATATGCAATTCAGGATGTCATACCTGAAGAGTGATATTCACAAAATGATCAAGGTCTAGTGTCTAGGAGGCTGACGATCTGAAGTGTGTGACATTTTCAAGAATGGTGAGAATACTAAGGCTGAGCCAGAAAAGAAAATAAACTGTGAGAACATTGAAGGAGCACAGAAAACTTCATTCTAAAATATGACCCCCTGGTGTAATGAGTGTTTTAAATGAAAGACCTTTAGAAATCAACAGATTCTGGAGGAGATTTTTCCCCTATCTACATAAAAACTGAAGGGACCCACCAAAGAGAACACTGTTTTTCCTTCCTCTTCAGGTTTTCTCATTATCTGTCACAGAAAAGAAGACCAAGAAGGTAATCACGCCTGAACAGGTGCATTCACAAGATAATGTCCCTCTCTCAGGCTCAATTTCCAAAGAGAAACATTTACAAGTTAATCTCTGTTGCTAGACCCATTCATTCTCCCTAGTAATCATTTATTGCCTTTAAACAGAATTATCTTTATTCCCCATCTTCCCCCTTTACTCTGAAATAAGGCTAAATAAGTATTTGAGCCTCACTGGGATATTGGGCAATTATTCTGTGACTCTCCCCTGCGTGCACATTAATAAATTTGTATGTCTTTTCTCCAATTAATCTGCCTTATTTCGGTTGATTTTTTGGCAGACCTTCAGAGGGTGAAGTGGAAGTTTTTGTTTGGCCCTGACAACATGATTAAGAAGGTCCTGTCAGACTGAAGAGAGTAACTACTATTAAGAGTCTTATAGAAGAGATTCATGCATAGCATAAAGATTTAGACTTCTAGAACGTCTTCGATTCATGTTTCTGCTATAATGTTACAACAAAGGTTTCCCAATCTGGACCCCCAAGAGAGGATTCTTGGACTTTGCTCAAGAAAGAATTCGAGGCAAGTCCACAGAGTAAAGTGAAAGCAACTTTACTAAGAATGTAAAGGAATAAAAGAATGGCTACTCCATAGGCAGAACAGCAGCTTGGGCTTCTTGGCTGATAATACTTATAGTTATTTCTTGATTATATACTAAACAAGGGGAGGATTATTTATGAGTTTTCTGGGAAAAAGCTGAGCAATTCCCAGAACTGAGAGTTCCTCCCCTTCTTAGACCATATAGGTTAACTTCCTGACATTGCCATCGCAGCACTGTGGAAGTGTTTTTTAACATGCTAATGCATTACAGTTAACATATAATGAGCAGGGAGGACGACCAGAGGTCACTTTCCTTGTCCTCTTGATTTGGTGGGTTTTGGCTGTCTTCTTTACCACAACCTATTTTATCAGCAAGGTCTTTGTGACTTGTATCTGGTGCTGACCTCCTATCATCCTATAACTTACAATGCTTCGCCTCCTGGGAATGCAGCCCAGCAGGTCTCAGCCTCATTTTACCTAGCAACTAGTCAAGATGGAGTTGCTCTGGTTCAAACGCCTCTGACATTTACAAAAGGGCAGCTTTTCAGAGCTACCACTGTGTCTGCAGTTTCTCAAAATAACCTGCTCAAAATATACAAAAGAAATATTTTTTGAGGTGGTATACTCTGATCTCTTATAGTCATATTTTGATGTGTGTTCTGAGCCCCAGCAGCTCCTAGCTCCACCACATATTATTTATATAGTTCTGGGCAAATTTTTAACTTTAGAGAGTCTCTATTTCTTTACTTATTAAAATAGTAATAATCATATTAAGCTGCTGTGTTTTATGAAAATCAGGATAAGGTAAGTACCATCCAAATACTCCAAAGTTATTCAGCCTTCTGGGGTCCTTTACCCTTTCCTTTTGTCAAAGCACAATTTTCAAAAGCTAAAAACAGACCTCTCATACATAGAATGTACATGTGTCAGAGACCTTTTAAACTCATTAATGATGGAAGCATCAGAATTGTAAAACTGGTACAAAGGAGCCTGGTAGAGAGAGAAATATTTATTGTCAGAAAGAAATAATACTAGAATAACATTGCTAAATTAAGTAACAACACTGGCTAATAATCCACAGGTCAATAAGACTGTAACTTTTGGGAATTATATTTCCTATGGGTGGAAATTGTTTTCATTATTATGAGACAGAAAATATTTGCATTGCAGACAGATAAGAATCATTTTCAACATATTACCTTCCCCCTGACAGGGTTGTAGAATCTCTTAATCAATAGTAAACAGTGTGTGAAACAAGTGTGCATGCCTCCAGAGAATGAGCTAATCCTTGGGTGGACCTACTAGATGGTGCTCCAGAAGGGTACTCACAGGAAATGCGGTCATCCTGCTGCCTGTTTCCAAGTGTTGATCTTTTTTTTTTTTTTTTAACACACTAACAGACAAATGGTCTCAAGTTCTATCTTACAAACATCTGGTTCTGTTCTCAATATTCAGAGGACTCCTGTGGGGCTTAGATTCTTCTGGGCATCACTCTGAATTTCCTGCCTGTGATGTTTAGGTTTATGTGTCAGCCTGGCCAGATTATAGTAACCAGTTAGTCTATTAAACATAAATCTAAGTGTTGCTATGAAGGCATTTTGTGGATGTGGTTCACATCTACAATCCATTGAATCTGAATAAAGGCAATTGCCTAGATAATGTGGGTAGGCCTGATCCAACCACTCGGAAGGCATTAAGGCCTTAAGAACAAAACAGGTTTCCTGTAGGGAGAAGTAAATCTGCCTAAGACTGTAGCATCAGCTCCTGATGGAGGGTTTCTGATCTGCTGACCTGCCCTATAGATTTTGGACTTACCAGCCTCCACAATTATGTAAGCCAATTCCTTGAAATAAATCTCCTAACTCATAGATGTGTATGTATATAGATATGTGTATATACATATACACACACAGTCATGCACCCATAATGATGCTTCATTCAGTGACAGACTGTATATATGATGGTGTCCTCTAAGATTACAATACCATCATATTTTCACTGTACCTTTTCTATGTTTAGATACACAAATAGTTACCATTGTGTTACAATTGCCTAGAGTAGTCAGTATAATAACATGCTGTACAGGTTTATAAGTTAGGAACAGTAGGCTAAATCATATGGCCTAGATGTATAGAAGGCAATTCCATCTAGGGTTGTGTAAGTATATTCTGTGATGTTCACACAATAACGAAATTGCCTAATGATGCATTTCTCATAATGTATCCTTATTGTTAAGCAATACATGACTTCGTGTGTGTGTGTGTGTTTGTGTGTGTGTGTAACATATCTCCTCTCCTACTGGTTCTGTCTCTGGAGAATCCTGACTCATACAATACTCTTGCTGAATACCTGACACCCCCTTCCCATCCCCTTCCTTCACCACCTGCAAACCCCTTACCTCCTGTGACTGCTGTCCTTGTCTGCACCAGTTTGCTGCATTCATAGGCACTACCACACTTTATTAACTCAAAGCTGGGTGTGTCACTCACTTCAGCAGATGCTTTGAGGATAACAGAGGATAATACAATAGAGCAGGAAATTGGACTACTGGGTTTCATTATTCTTAATAGCCATCTGTGAGTAACACAAAGGGATTTCTCACTGGTCATCATTTTCTTAATCCCAAATTGTCACTATGTTGGAATCCATCTTTCCCCCATATCTGTCTTTCTTAGCTTTTTTCTTGGATCCTGGGCCTCTAAACTTCAATCTCCTCCAACTGCCAATGGAAAACTCAAAATTGCCCCTGGGGGGTTATGGTGGCTTATGTCTGTAATCCCAGCACTTTGGGAAGCCAAGTCGGGTGGACCACTTCAGCTCAGGAGTTCAAGACCATCCTGGGCCACATGGCAAAACCCCATCTCTATAAAAAAAATACAAAAAATTAGCTGGGTGTGTTGGAGTGTGCCTGTAATCCCAGCTACTCAGGAGGCTAAGGTGGGAAGATCATTTGAGCCAGGGAGGTGAAGGCTGCAGTGAGCTGAGTTTGGGCCACTGCACTCCAGCCTCAGCAAATCAGAGTGAAACCCTGTCTCAAAAGAAAAATAATTAAAATTAAAAAAACCTCAAAATTGCCACCAGTTTATTATACAAAGAATATAAATTTCATGGAGGCAGGAATCTTTGTCTATTTTATTTCCTGATGTATCCCAAACACCAAGAACAATGGCACACAGTAAGGCACTGCATTCCACAGTTGCAGTTACCCATGGTGAGCTGAGGTCTGAAAATATTAAATAAAAAATTCCAGAAATAAACAATTTATAAGTTTTAAGTTGCACACTATTGTTAGTAGTGTGATCAAATTGAGAGGAGGGGCCAGCTGGGCTTCCTGGGTCAAGTAGGGGCTCAGAAAGCTGTGAAACTCACTCATTTCCTGCCTCAGGACTTAGTTCAGTCCTGGATGAATAATACTGAAGATATATGCTTAAAATATTCCTAACAAAGGGATTTGTGCATGTGTTTTCTTCCCCAAGAAAGCTGTAAACAGCAAAAATTTTGCTGTAAATTTCCCTGTGTCCTCTCTCCCTCTCTCCCTTCCCTCTCCCCCGAAACTAAAGTAAAAGGAATGTTAACTGCCCGTTTTTCTGTGACCAGCGGACCTTGTCTATACTTCCAATTCCAATTCCTTGTAAACATACTTTGTAAAGTCCTGTAAGATCCTGTCTCCTTTGCCATGCCACTGCAAGGTCATAAAGTAGATAAAACCTAAATTGCAATTCCGGTTTTCCTCAAAATCTAGGACATGTCACAAAATAATTTACTGCCTTTGTTTCTTGCTCTGGTAACATCTTCCCGCTGCACGTATTTCCCACCTTAAAGAGTTTAAAAGGCAATCGTATAATCTAACTCTGGCTACCTGTTTGGGACCCCTTCCATGCTGTGGAAACTTTGTACTTTCACTCTGCTCAATAAAGCCTACAGCTTTTTCTCTCTCTCCATCCGTGTCTCTATCACTTGCCACAGTCAGCCGCCACACCAATTTTTTGGCGTGGCTAGGCAAGAACCTTAGGTGTTACAAAATCTTGCACCATCCTGCTCTGTCCTTGCACCATCTTGTCCCGTCCTGCCCTGGATGTGAGTCTTCCCTTTGTCCAGCTTCTCCACACTGCCTATGCTGCCTGTCCATTAGTTACTTAGTAGCTGGCTTCATTATCAGATGGCTTGTTGTAGTAGCACAGTGGTTGTGTTCAATTAACTCTTATTTTACTTAGTAATGGCACCAAAATACAAGAATAATGATGGTAACAATTTGGATATGCCAAAGAGAAGCCACAAAGTGTTTCCTTTAAGTAAAAAGGAGACAGTTCTTTGCTTAATAAGGAAAAAAAAAAAGAAAATCCTATACTGAGGTTGCCAAGATCTATGGTAAGAATCAATCTTCTGTCTGTGAAATTGTGAAGAAGAAAAAAGAAATTTGTACTAGTTTTGTTGTTGCACTTCAAACTGCAAAAATTACAGCCACAGTGTGTGACAAGTGCTTAGTTAAGATGGAAAAGGCATTACATTTGTGAGTGCAAGACATGAACAGAAATGTGTTTCAGCTGATGACAGTCAGGTTTGGTACTACCTGTGGTTTCGGGCACTCACTGGGGTTCTTGGAACATATCTCCTCCTATAGGAAAAAACTACTGTACTTGTTGAATGAATTGAATGAATGGAAAGCTTTCTTCTCTCAATGACTCTCATTCTAGTTTAGTGCCAAATGGCCTATTTACATAACTGAAGAAGTCTATTAACAGTCTGTTTAAAATAAAATGTCCCCTACCTTTTTCTGGATGGCTGGTAGTAGTAGGTGTAATGGTCAGTTTTATGTGTCAATTTAGCTTGGCTACAATCCCCAGTTATGCAAACACTAAGACAGGTATTGCTGTGAATATATTTCATAGATGTGACTAAAGTCCATAATCAGTTGACTTTGTAAGAGAGATTATCCTATAGATAATTTGGGTGGGCCTGACTAAAGTACTTTAAAGGCTGAAAGAGCAGAGCTGAAGCTTCCCTAAATAAGAAATTCCATGTGTGGAATGGCCCCTTCAGCCCATGCCCAAGAGTTCCAGGGTGCTCTCCTGATAGCCTGCCCTGTGGATTTCAGATTTGTCTAGCCAACCCCACAATTGCATAAGCCAATTCCTTGCCATAAGTCTGTTACTACATACCTTCTGCTTATCCTGTTTCTTTTATTGAGCCCTGATTGATATAGTAAGTGTTGGGTTGGTGGCTGCTGTAATATTTTTTTAAATGATTCTTTTTCCTTTTGTGTGAATCAGCATTCTCCAGAGAAACAGAACCAACAGGATATCTAGATAATAGATAGATAGATAGATGATAGATAGATAGATAGATAGATAGATAGATAGATAGATAGATGATAGATAGATAGAGAGAGAGAGAGAGAGAGAGAGAGAGAGAGAGAGATGAGAATATGCTGTCTGCAAGCTGGTGAATAAGAAAAGCTGGTAGTGTAATTCAGTTTGAATGCAAAGGCCTGAGAACTAGGGGAGCTGTAAGTCTCAGCTGGAGAACTAAGAGCTCTGACATCTGAGGGCAGGAGATAGATGTCCTGGTTAAAGAAGAAAGAGAGAGTTCACTCTTCCTCTGCCTTTTTGTTCTACTTTTGCCATCATCGGATTGGATGATACCTTCCCACATTGGTGAAGGAAATCTCCTTGACTCAGTCTACTGATTCAAATGTTAATCTCTTCTGGAAATGCCCTCATAGACACTTTCAGAAATAATGTTTTACCAGCTATCTTGGCACTTCCTAGCCCAGTCAAGTTGACACATAAAATTAACCATCACACTTTTTTATGTTTAAAGATCTTGGCATGGTGCCTAATAACATAATGAGCGTAATATAAATGGTAGCTGTAATTACTATTCTAGTACTCAGAGAGAAAACCATCTAAAACAGAATTTACTTATATTTTAGTGGTCTTTAAAATTCTAATTATCTATGCCAGATAAGCTGCCCACACTTAATTAGAGAATGATTAACTAAGGGATAATTCAGATCACTGCTAGCAATCATCTTCAGTCTGACACAAGCTCAACTTTAGAATACGTTTTTTCCTTGACAAAATATGCTTAATTGAGTAGGATCCCAGTGGGAGAACCTACAGCACTGTGTAGTAGATAGCTGTCATTTACAACTGTCCCCATCTTTAAACAACACACCCCACACTTTGGTATTTTCCACATTGTGAGTTTTACTTTCTCAAGTAAGAATTTTTTTTTAAAAATCCTTATATTTCTTAGCCTCCTTTGCTGATAGAGGACAGACGTGTGACTTAGGTCCTGCAGGTCAGATTTACCTGAGCATGGCTTGGTTTACAATGAGTGCTAAAAGGCTGGGCCTGGGTAGAGGCAGAGGAAGTGTGGGGGTTTGGGATGGTGGTGGCGATAACTTCCTCATCACAATTCTGTGGCTCTAAGAGATGTTGCTGGAAGTCTGATCTAGAACTCAACACTCCAGTTCTCCCAACAGTTCTGTGAGTTATCCAGTATCTTACAGCAAATCCCTTGATGTTCAAACTGACAAAGTGGTTTCTACCAGCAGTAACTAAGCACCTAGACTGATACAAATGACTTGGGACATAGGAGATGCTTTACATAACTCTGTTGGATTAATTATATGTTTTATATTTAAATGTATTTTAAAATTGTAAGTGTAAATTATGCAAGTTGGTAAAAATTTTCCGTGAGTGTAAATGAGTAATAAGTAAAAAATGCCTCCCCCAACAACTTTCCAGTCTCCTTCCCCAGAGGTCATAACTCTTAATAGCTCACCCCCATGACACAAGTTGACCTATGTAATGAAGCTACATATGTACCCCTGAACTTACAGTGGAAGTTAAAAAAAGAAAAAATTATAGTGTATATGTACATACATACCCCTAATTTTTTTAAAACACAAAAGGAACATACTACACTCTTCTGTAATTTGATTTTTAAAATTTAACAATGTCTTAGACATCTTTCTGAATCAGGACACATAGATCTATCTCACTCTTTTTAATGGCTGTGTGGTAATTTAGTGTATGAATGTGTCTTCATGTATTTAAGCAGGCCCTATTGATAGGCATTTATGTATTTCTAGCTTCCTGCTCTTACAATGTTGCTATCAACACACTTTATAAGTTGGTATGATGATATGTCTATGGACACACACACACACTCACACACTTGCACATTTGTGCAAGTTTATTTATAAATTCCCCAAAGTGGAATTGCTACACAAAGGGTGTACACATTTTAAATGCTGATAGATATTGCCAAATCCCCCTCTAAAAATGTTACTGATATGTGATTTACACTCTCCTCAAGGATTAATGAGCTTTAAACTGTAGCAGCTGGAATTTTGTTTGTTTGATTGTTTTTAGAATTTTGCCTCTTAAGCATTGCTTCCTGGGTTTATTTCCTTCCTCAAACAAAAGAGCAGAGGCAAGGGGATGAAAATGAATCAGAACAGGAGTGGACAGACAGGTTCAGGGCTAAGGACTGACAAAGTTCAAGGCTCAAGGAAGGAAGTTTGCACTAGAAATATGGTGACCAGGAAGCTCCTCAGACAAGAGCAGCCTGCATAGTTTGCTTCAAATCATCCCATGTGGTACTACAGACACAATAGACTTAATTTGGTGAAACATGTTGATACACATCACATAGAAGCTGCATAAAAGCAACCCACACTTACATAGCACTTACGTATCATATCCCAGGATGTGGTCTAATATTCAGTAATGTGAACAAAATGAGCTATGCATGTTCCACAACTTTGGTGCAACACCCGAGCCCTAGATTTTATGAGTGCTACAAACCTTCCCATATCACCCATATTTTTAAGTTCACCAGCTAGGGTGAACAAATAGCATTGACAACCAGGCTCTGTTGCCTCTTGCTTTTCAGGAAAATGAACTCTCTTCAAAATCCTTTCAAGCAGTTCTGACTTCCTCAAGTGTTGCCTGCACATGCTCAGGAGATTAATCCTTTTGTGTACACTGTGGAATCATCTTAGAGCCTCTTCTACTTCTCTGGATGACTTTGGTGGTGTCTTCTGTGGCTGTCAACATTCAAATAAGCAATTATGCTATTTGCAGATTTATTTTAGAAATGGTCCCTTTGCAGTTGTAGAAATCTACTTCCCCACCCTTTGAATCTGGGCTGGCTTTGTGGCCTTCCCTGGCCAACAGAATGCCATAGAAGTTAGGTCTGAGGCTAAGCCTTAGGAGGTGTCACATACCTCTCTCTCTCCTTCAGATCCCTGCTTCCATCATGAGAACAAGCCAGTACTGAGCTGCTAGAGGATGAGAGACCATGTGGAGCAGAGCTGAGTCAGTCTAGTTGGCCCAGCTGAGCTGCAGACATGTGAGAGAGCATAGCTAAAATCAAGAAAGCTACAATTGACCCATACCTGAACACAGACCTGAGCCCTGCTGAACTCAGTCAAGACTGGAACTGTCCAGTCAATTTATAAATGTATAAATAGTAATAATTGGTTATTGTTTTAAGCCACTGAGTTTTAGGGTTATTTGTTAGGTAATGTTATTGTGGCAATTGATAATAATATGTGCTACCAATGTCCGTCAAGACTGCTACAGTGTTAATGGTCTTGCAGCTGTTGGTGCTTTTCTGATGTCTATGCTGTGACTGCAACTGAACTGAATCAGATGTGGAAAAAGAGAGGGAGGATCTGTAGAAGCCAGTGTAGCTGTATCAAGTACCTCTCTTTGAGTTTAGACTTCAAAAGAATAGTACAATGTGCAACTGAGCTAAATAGGACATGTTGACATGAACCTGTGTCAGGAAAGTTAAAACCTCAAATGTACTGAATTGTTTTTTGTTTTGTTTTGTTTTTTGAGACAGAGTCTCACTCTGTCGCCCAGGCTGGAGTGCAGTGGCGCCATCTCGGCTCACTGCAAGCTCCGCCTACCGGGTTCACGCCATTCTCCTGCCTCAGCCTTCCGAGTAGCTGGGACTACAGGCGCCCACCACCACGCCCGGCTAATTTTTTGTATTTTTAGTAGAGACAGGGTTTCACCATGTTAGCCAGGATGGTCTCAATCTCCTGACCTCGTGATCCACCCGCCTCGGCCTCCCAAAGTGCTGGGATTACAGGCGTGAGCCACTGCACCCAGCCAATGTACTGAATTGTAAAGAAAAACTGTAACAAAAAAAGTCTTTGAAATACAAGTTCTTATTAAAGCAAGAAAAGAAGAAGCTAATATGTCCCCCATTTGGGCCTGACAGTGCAACACTGAGTAATAAACAGTGGAGCTCCTTGGATCTTGCTTTGTTCCTGCTTTTCTTGTCCAAGAGAATGACATTCATGCTGAAAATTAACTATAAAGAAAGGATAATGGGAGTCTTTGAGGAATGACAAAATTGTTAGTGAGCAATCATGTGTTCTACATTAGAGCTGGCCTGTTGGCCCAGGAAACTGAGAGAAATTGCAAAATTTCAAATGTAAACTTTGAAATATACTTGAGGGTTATTTCTGCAGTCTAAAAAGAGTTCCCAGAAATTTATTATTTTTAACAAATAATACTTTATTAAAATGACACATTTAAAAATCCCTTCTCCTGCTTA
The DNA here is from genome assembly GCF_000001405.40 of Homo sapiens. NCBI lineage: Eukaryota > Metazoa > Chordata > Mammalia > Primates > Hominidae > Homo > Homo sapiens. Next base: position 115,522,397 of record NC_000001.11, on the reverse strand, counting down.
TGGTTTAGGTTCAACTTATAAACCTTATTCATTTATTTATGCATTGAAAAATATCAGTTGACAGTCTTTGGTCTAGGCACTGGGAATATCAGGAACAAAACAGACAAAATATCTGCAGTTGACCCATACACATACTCATAGTATGAAGCTTACATACTAATGGACAGAAGACAGAAAATAAGCAAAGTAAACAAACAAATTATCAAATTATATGCTATGTTAGAAGGTGGTAATTTCTTTTCTTTTCTTTCTTTCTTTTTTTTTTTTTTTTGAGACAGAGTTTCGTTCTTGTTGGCCAGGCTGGAGTGCAATGGTGCAATCTCAGCTCACTGCAACCTCTGCCTCCCAGGTTCAAGCGATTCTCCTGCCTCAGTCTCCCAAGTAGCTGGGGTTACAGGCATGCGCCACCATGCCCAGCTAATTTTTTTGTATTTTTAGTAGAGACAGGGTTTCTCCATGTTGGTCAGGCTGGTCTCGAACTCCTGACCTCAGGTAATCCGCCCACCTCGGCCTCCCAAAGTGCTGGGATTACAGGCGTGAGCCACTGCGCCTGGCCTAGAAGGTGGTAATTTCTATAAAGTCAATTAAAATAGGGAAGGTGGAATGGGATATGTTCTAAAATAGGGTGGCAGGGAGACCCCACTTCAAATATTTTAAACTGCAGTTATGAATTTAATATATTGGGTTTCTGGGTTTCTTTTCAAATAGAGTAATTGTGTGAAAAATCTTTTCATAAATCTAATAAACTAAAACAATAAAGATGGCTTCTTAGTGTCTCTCAAATATTGGAAAACTATATAAACAATAAAATTTCAACCCAAAATTACAAGTCTAAATCAATTAGTTATACATTTCAGTTTGGAATCACAGACTGACCTCTTAACTTTTAAAGGCCAAGTCTCCTAAAACACCTAAACCAAATATACACAAGTTTATAAACCCAAAGTATTACTACCATACCCTTGATTCTCTTAAATTCTATACTTGATGAGAAATTATTCATAGCATGGATGTTGTGCCAGAGACTAGCATTACATAGACCAGCTGACTTTTCTGGTCTGTTCCAAACTTCAGATTCCACGATGCTGACCAACAGCCATGTCTGGGAACTTGGTAGCAGAGCATGTGCTACTGGGTTTGGGGGGTGGCCCTGGTCTGAGAAATGGTGAAGATAGACAACCCAGACAATAAGCAACCAGGAGCAAAGAGCAGGGCAGCAGAGGTAGGATAACAAAGAAATCAGGGTCTTAGAGGATAAATAAAGAGTTGAAAGAATTTAGAGCAACAAAAAGTAGAATAAGGAAAATGAGTAAGGACAGAAGAACCAGAACCATGAGTTCAAGTTGTTGAGAGAGCAGCCCACAGAGCATGTGTGTCAGTCATCAAGGTCTCTGGGTGGGAACAGTGCCCAGGGTATGAAAGAGCAGAGGAATCAAGAATACAGAAGATTTATTGAAACAAACGAGAATAGAAACACAACATACCAAAAGCTATGGAATATAGTGAAAGCAGTACTCAGAAGGAATTTTATAGCTGTAAGTACATACTTAAAAAAAAACTTCAAATAAACAACCTAATAATGCATTGTTATCAGAACTAGAAAAGCAAGAGCAAACCAAATTCAAAGTTAGTAGAAAAAATAAATAATAAAGATTGGAGCAGAAATAAATGAAATTGAAACAAAGAAAAACCATACAAAAGATTAACAAAATGAAAAGTTGGTTTTCTGAAAAGATTTAAAAAGTTTGACAAACCTTTACCTAGACTAAGAAAAAAAGAGAGAAGACATAAATAAAATCAGAGATGAAAAAAGAGACATTACAACCAATACCACAGAAACTCAAAAGATCACTAGAGGCTACTATGGGCAACTATATGCCAGTCAATTGCAAAACTTCAAAGAAATGGATAAATTCCTAGACACACACGAACTACTAAGATTGAATCATGAAGAAATTCAAAACCTGAACAGACCAATAACTAATGATGAGATAGAAGCCACAATAAAAAAAAGTCTCCCAGCAAAGAAAAGCCTGGGACCTGATGTCTTCACTGCTGACTTCTATCAAACATTTAAAGAAGAACTAATACCAAACTAATACCAGTCCTACTCAAACTATTCCAGAAAATAAAGGATGAGGGAATACTTCCAAACTCATTCTCCAAGGCCAGTATTACCGTGATACCAAAACCAGACAAAGACACATCAAAAAAAGAACACTGCAGGCCAGTATCATTGATGAACATTGATATGAAAATCCTCAACAAAATACTAGTAAACTGAATTCAACAGCACATTAAAAAGGTCATTCATCATGACCAAGTGTGACTTATCCCACAGATGCAAGGATGTTTCAAAATACAAAAATCGATCAATGTGATACATCGTATCGATAGAATGAAGGATAAAAACCATATGATCATTTCAATTGATGCTGAAAAAGCATTTGATAAAATTCAACATCCATTTATGATAAAAACCCTCAAAAAACTGAGTATAGAAGGAACATTGAATCTTAACGTGATAAAAGCCATATACAACAGACCCACAGCTAGTTTCATACTCAATGAGAGAAAACAGAAAGCCTTTCCTCTAAGACCTGGAATATGACAAGGATGCACACTTTCACCACTGTTATTCAACATAGTACTAGAAGTCCTACTTAGAGCAATCAGGCAAAAGAAAAAATAAAGGCGTCCAAATTGGAAAGGAAGAAGTAAAATTATCTTTATTTGTAGACACTGTGATCTTACAGTGAAAAAACCAAAGACTCCACTAAAAAACTATTAGAACTTATACATTCAGTAAAATTGTGGTTACAAAATCAACATACAAAAATCAGTAGCATTTCTATGTGCCAACAGCAAACAAACAGAAAAAAAAATCATGAAAGTAATCACATTAACAACAGCTACAAATGAAATTAAATACCTAGAAATTAACCAAAGATGTGTAAAATCTGCACTATGAAAACTACGAAATATTGATACAAGAAATTGAAGATGACACAAAAAATGAAGATATTCCATGTTTATAGATGTGAAGATTCAATATTGTTAAAATGTCCATATTACCCAAAGCAGTCTACAGATTCAATAATCAATATTGTTAAAATGTCCATACTACTCAAGGCAATCCCTATCAAAATACGAAGGACAATCTTCACAGAAATTAAAAAAAATCCCCAAATTTATATGAAACCGCAGAAGACCTCAAATAGCCAAAACTATTCTGGATAAAAAGAACAAAACCGGAGGAATCACATTACCTAACTTCAAATTTGACTACAGAGCTATAGTAACCAAAACAGCATGATACTGGCATAAAAACAGAAACATAGACCAATGGAACAGAACAGAGAACCCAGAAATAAACCCATACATCTACAATGAACTCATTTTTGACAAAGGTGCCAAAAACACACATTGGGGAAAGGACAGTCTCTTCAATAAATAGTGCTGGGAAAACTGGATATCCATATGTAGAAGAATGAAACTAGACCCCTATCTCACGCCAGGTACAAAGTCAAAACAAAATAGATTATAAATTTGAATATAAGACCTCAAACTATGAAATTACTAAAAGAAAATATTGGGGAAACTCTACAGGACATTAAACTGGGTAATGATTTCTTGAGTAATACCCCACAAGCACAGGCAACCAAAGCAAAAATGAATAAATGGGATCACATCAAGTTAAAAAGCTTTTTTTAAAAAAAGCTTTTAAAAACAATTAACAAAGTGAAGAGACCACCCACAGAATGGGAGGAAATGTTTGCAAACTACTCATCTGACAAAGTCTTAATAACCAGAATATATAAGGAGCTCAAACAACTCTGTAGGAAAAAATCTAATATTCCAATTAAAAATGGGCAAAATATCTGAATAGACTTCTCAAAAGAAGACATACAAATGGTAAACAGGTATATGAAAAAGTACTCAACATAATTGATCATCAGAGAAATGCAAATCATAACTACTATGACATACCCTCTCACCCCATTTAAAATGGCTTTTATCCAAAAGACAGGCAATAACAAATGCTGCTGAGGATATGGAGAAAAGTGAACTCTTGTACATTGTTTGTGGGACTCTAAATTAGTACAGTCACTATGGAGAACAGCTTAGATGTTCCTCAAAAAACAAAAAATAGAGATACCAGATGACCCAGCAATCCCACTGCTGGGTATATACCCAAAAGAAAGGAAATCAGTATATTGAAGAGATAACTGCACTCTCACGTTTATTGTAGTAGTATTCACAATAGCTGAGATTTGGAAGCAACGTAAGTGTCCATCAACAGATGAATGGATAAAGAAAATGTGGTACCTATACACAATGGAGTACTATTTAGCCACAAAAAAGAATGAGATCCTGTGATTTGCAGCAACATGGATGGACCTAGAGGTCATTATATTAAGTGAAATAATCCAGACACAGAAAGACAAACTTCACATGTTCTCACTTACTTATTGCAGCCAAAAATTAAAGCAATTGAGTTCTTGGAGATCGAGTGTAGAACAATGGTTACCAAAGTCTAGGAAGGGTAGTGGTGGGTGGAGGTGTAAAGAAGCATAGGGATGGAAGTGGAGATGGTTAATGGGTACAAAAAATAATTAGAAAGAATGAATTAGATCTAGTATTCAAAAGCACCACAGGATGACTATAATTGATAATTTAATTGTACATTTTAAAATAACAAAAAGTGTGTAACTGGGTTGCTTGCAACACAAAGGATAAATGCTTGAGGTGATGGATACCCCATTTACCCTGATGTAATTGTTACACATTGTATGCCTGTATCAAAATATCCCATATGCTTCATAAATATATATGCCTACTGTGTACACACAGAATTTAAAAATTAAAAAAATTCAAAAGAGCATAGATTGGGGGGGGAAAGATATGGGAAAGTGTGGGAGATGCAAAATTTCTGACTAATTATCCAATGATATTTTACAAGCATAGATGCTTTCAGGGATTATACCATTAATTAACACATTAATTCAGAAACAAAAGGGTTAAAATTATGGACCATCACTACCTATATAAAATTATGCTAGAGAAATGTTAGATTTGCCTCATCTCTACCGTCCGTACATCCATCCATCCAGCCAGCCAGCTATCCTTGTCCTTTCTCCCTCTATGAGGTTGAGGCAGTGAAAAATCATACTTTATCTGCACCTAACAGTGTAATACCATAATCAATGAGTTGTAGATAAAACAATCCAATGATGATTAATGGTTTTTCTTTTGAGTAGAGAATATATTTTTTCTGTGGCTCTGTTTATTTTGCATGACATATGAGTTTACTTTTTCTGTGTGATTTCTGCCTCCCCACAAAGGATATTAACTCTGTAGGTCAGTAGTGTAGCTAGAGAAAATATCAGTTTTGCCTACTTAAAAATTTTCTACTTAAAAGCAAAATCTTATTTAAATAGGCTTTAGAAACCTTATCATAAATGTCTACAATATAATATGCTAATGAGGTATGGTATAAAGAATGTGCAAGAGTACTCTTTTCTCCCTATCTAAATCTAAAAATAGCCTTAAATATTTAATTTTTTTAATTTTAATTTAATTTTATTTTTATTTTTTGTAGAGACAAGGTCTTGCCATTCTTCACCCAGGCTAGTCTCAAACTCCTGGGCTCATGCGATCCTCCTGCTTCTGTCTCCCAAAGTATTGGGATCACAGGCATGAGCCACCATGCCTGGCCATAAAATAACTTTGGGGACAACTTTTCTTTTTTTAAAAAAGGTATTTAAGATCAACTTACCTTTTGTGAAACTACTATTTCCCTTTTATAAATTAAAAAAAAAAAACCTCATATGGAAACCCAAATAAATTTCCTTTAAATAACTGGCTTGGTATAATTTGAAAAAACAATAAACTATGTAGATTTAATTTAATTAAATATTGCATATTAGGCTTAATCCTCATGTTGGCATGGTGAAATATCATTGACTATATTGAATAGTAAAGCTACCCAAATCATAAGCCAAAGCCACATTAATAAAAGCATAGCCCAAAATATAATTTTATTTGAGATTTTGAAAAAATATTTTCTTACTGGGACATGATCAGGCTCAAAATAGGCCCAATACTTACAAGATTCTTATACACATATGTTGCATTCTAGGCTTAGTATTTTCCTCTCTCATCTTATGACTCATCTTCAAATATGGTCATATTGGATGGTCAGACATGTGTAAAACACCAAGAAGAAATACTTAAAATTAGAAAAATACAAAGAGTAGAAAAACATCACAATACAATTCACTTGGGTCCTACAAAATTCATGGGTTTATAATGCTTACAACAATAGTATAACAACAGGGAGGTAAATGAGCACATAAAAATTCCTTCTTAAAATGAAAATTTCCCAGGGATTTGCTTTCACCCCAGGAGGGCTCATTTGCTCAGGTACAGCGGTGAGGGGAAGGGTAAGTCTGCAGAAGGTCATTCAGGAGAGAGAGGCTGAGGCCAGCAGACTCTCATTTTATCAGTGCAATACAGCACTCAGCAATTATCAACAGTGCCAAACCCTGAGAATGGATTCACTCAAATGGACTTGATCCTACTGCACACTACCACATAGGGCTGAAAGACCTCTAATGAAACTGCAAACTGGGCTGCTCTGTCACAATCCATCACTGTGAGTGCTAGCATTGGCTTACATGATCAGATTTTAAAAGTGATGCTTATTTTTGTTTAATCAAGATATAAAACCTGCAACAACAGCACTAGGATTCCATGGAACTCCACTTGAGAAACTCTGTTCTAAGAGTTACTATGAGGGTTAAATGAGTTAATGATATACTCAAAGCTCTCAGAAGATTATTTGGGCTGGGTCTAGCAGCTCATGCCTGTAATTCCAGCACTTTAGGAGGCTAAGGCAGAAGGATAGCTTGAGGCCAGGAGATTGAGATCAGCCTGGGCAACATAGCTGTCAGGCCTCTGAGCCCAAGTCTGCACGTATACATCCAGATGGTGTGAAGCCACTGAAGAATCACAAAAGAAGTGAAAATGGCTGGTTTCTGCGTTAACCGATGACATTCCTCCATTGTGATTCATTCCTGCCCCACTTTAACTGATCGATTAACTTTGTGAAATTCCTTTTCCTGGACAATAAGTCTCAGAAACTCCCCCACCCAGTACCTTGTGACCCCTGCCCCTGCCTGCAAGAGAAAAACCCCCTTTGACTGTAATTTTCCACTACCCACCCAAATCCTATAAAACTGCCCCACCCCTATCTCCCTTGCTGACTCTCTTTTTGGACTCAGCCCACCTGCACCCAGGTGATTAAAAAGGTTTATTGCTCACACAAAGCCTGTTTGGTGGTCTCTTCACTTGGACACATGTGACATTTGGTGCCGAAGACCCAGGACAGGGGGACTCCTTCAGGAGACCGGTCCCCTGTCCTTGCCATCACTCTGTGAGGAGATCCACCTACGACCTCGGCTCCTCAGACCAGCCCAAGGAACATCTCACCAATTTCGAATTGGGTAAGCGGTCTTTTCACTTTCTTCACCTGCCCAAAAATTTCCTCTTAGAGATGTGGCTGGAGCTGAAGACGTAGTCAGGGTGCATGTGCCTTTTTCTCTATCGGACCTCTCCCAGATCAGTCAGTGTTTAGGATCTTTCTCAACAGACCCCACTAAATATATACAGAAATTCCAATATCTAACTCTGTCCTACAATTTAAACTGGAGTGACTTAAATGCCATCCTAACTTCTACCATCTCCCCAGATGAACGGGAAAGAGTTTTTTCTCTAGCCCAATCTCACTCTGACAACTGCTGGCTTCATGAGCCAGACCTCCAGGAAGGCATTAGAGCAGTTCCCCAAGAGGATCCCCAATGGAACTATCAGGCAGTTTCCCCAGGTATAGCTAGGCGAGATTACATGATTTCCTGCCTAGTTGAAGGGCTTAAACAGGCAGCTTACAAAGCTGTTAATATGACAAACCTAAAGAAACTACCCAAAGTAAAGATGAAAACCCAGCCCAGTTCATGGCTCGTTTGGCAGCAACCCTGAGATGCTTTACAGCCCTAGACCCTGAAGGGTCAGAAGGCCGTCTCATTCTAAATATGCATTTTATCACCCAGCCAGCTCCTGACATTAGAAAACAGCTTCAAAAATTGGAATCTGGCCCTCAAACCCCACAACAGGAATTAATCAACCTCGTCTTCAAGGTTTACAATAATAAGAGAGGAGGCAGCCAAACAACAATGCATCTCTGAGTTACAGCTACTTGCCTCCACTGTAAGACAACCCACAACCACGTCTCCAGCATACAAACACTTCAGAACATCCAAGCCACAGCTCCCAGGGGCTCCTTCAAAACCTCCTCATGGATCTTCCTTCAAATGCCAAAGCCTGGCCACTGGGCCTCGGAATGCCCGCAGCCTGGGATTCCTCCTAGGCCGTGCCCTGTCTGTGTGGGCCCCCACTGGAGGTCGGACTGTTTGACTCACATTGCCGCTGCTCCTAAAGCTCCTGAACCCCAAACCCAATTGTACCTTGGCTGACTCCTTCCAAGATCTCCTTGGCTTAGCAGCTGAAGACTGATGCTGCATGATCGCCTTGGAAGCCCCCTGGATGACCATGGACACCTAGCTTCAGGTTACTCTTACAGTGGAGGGTAAGTCCGTCCCCTTCTTAATCGATACGGAGGCTACCCACTCCACATTACCTTCTTTTCAAGGGCCTGTTTCCCTTGCCTCCGTAACTGTTGTGGGTATTGACAGCACGCTTCTAAACCTCTTAAAACTCCCCAACTCTGGTGCCAACTTGGACAACATTCTTTAATGCACTCTTTTTTAGTTATCCCCACCTTCTCAGCTCCCTTATTAGGCTGAGACATTTTAACCAAATTATCTGCTTCCCTGACTGTTCCTGGACTACAGCCACATCTCATTGCCACCCTTTTCCCCAGTTTAAAGCCTCCTTCGCATCTTCCCCTTGTATCTCCCCACCTTAATCCATGAGTATGGGACACCTCTACTTCTTGGTGTCCAATCATGCACCTCTTACTATCCCATTAAAACCTAATCACCCTTACTCCACTCAACCCCAATATCCCATCCCACAGCATGCTTTAAAAGGATTAAAGCCTGTTATCACTCGCCAGTTACAGCATGGTCTTTTAAAGCCTATTTAAATTCCCCCTTTTTTTACCTTACAATTCCCCCATTTTACCTGTCCAAAAACTGGACAAGTCTTACAGGTTAGTTCAAGATCTGCACCCTATCAACCAAATTGTCTTGCCTATCCACCCCGTGGTGCCAAACTCATATACTCTCCTATCCTCAATACCTCCCTCCACAACCCCTCCACAACCCATTATTCTGTTCTGGATCTCAAACATGCATTCTTTACTATTCCTTTGCACCCTTCATCCCAGCCTCTCTTCACTTTCACTTGGACTGACCCTGACACCCATCAGCCTCAGCAACTTACCTGGGCTGTACTGCCACAAGTCTTCAGGGACACCCCCCATTACTTCAGTCAAGCCCTTTCTTATGATTTACTTTTTTTCTGTCCATCTGCTTCTCACCTTATTCAATATTTTGATAATCTTCTAGTTTATAGCCCCTCCTACAAATCTTCCCAATAGGACACGCTCCTGCTCCTCCAACATCTATTCTCAAAAGGACATTGTGCATCCCCTCCAAAGCCCAAATTTCTTCCTCATCTGTTACCTATCTCAACATAATTCTTCATAAAAACACATGTGCTCTCCCTACTGATTGTGTCTGGCTAATCTCCCAAACCCCAACACCTTCTACAAAACAACAACTCCTTTCCTTCCTGGGCATGGTTGGATACTTCCGCCTTTGGATACCTGGTTTTGCCATCCTAAATAACTATTATATAAACTCACAAAGGAAACCTAGCTGACCCCATAGATCCTAAATCCTTTCCCCACTCCTCTTTCCATTCCTTGAAGATAGCTCTAGAGACTGCTCCCACACTAGCTCTCCCTGACTCATCCCAACCCTTTTCATTACATACAGCTGAAGTGCAGGGCTGTGCAGTCAGAATTCTTACACAAGGACTGGGACTGTGCCTTATAGCCTTTTTGTCCAAACAACTTGACCTTACTGTTTTAGGCTGGCCATCATGCCTCCGTTCAGCAGCTGCCACCACCCTAATACTTTTAGAGGCCCTCGAAATCACAAACTATGCTCAACTCACTCTCTACAGTTCTCATAACTTCCAAAATCTATTTTCTTTCTCACACCTGACACATATACTTTCTGCTCCCTGGCTCCTTCAGCTATAATCACTCTTTGTTGAGTCTCCCACTATTATCACTGTTCCTGGCCTGGACTTCAATCAGACCTCCCACATTATTCCTGATACCACACCTGACCCCCATGACTGTATCTCTCTGATCCAACTGATTTACCCATATTTCTTTCTTTTCTGTTCCTCACCCTGATCACACTTGGTTTATTGATGGCAGTTCCACCAGGCCTAATTGCCACTCACCAGCAAAGGCAGGCTATGCTATAGCATCTTCCACATCTATCATTGAGGCTACCGCTCTGCCCTCCTCCAGTACCTCTCAGCAAACCAAACTCATTGCCTTAACTCAGGCCCTCACTCTTGCAAAAGGACTATGCATCAATATTTATACTGACTCTAAATATGCCTTCCATATCCTGCACCACCATGCTGTTATATGGGCTGAAAGAGGTTTCCTCACTACGCAAGTGTCCTCCACCATTAATGCCTCTTTAATAAAAACTCTTCTCAAGGCTGCTTTACTTCCAAATGAAGCTGAAGTCATTCACTGCAAGGGCCATCAAAAGGCATCAGATCCCATTGCTCAGGGCAATGCTTATGCTGATAAGGTAGCTAAAGAAGCAGCTAGCGTTCCAACTTCTGCCCCTCATGGCCAGTTTTTCTCCTTCACATGGGTCACTCCCTCCTACTCTCCCACTGAAACTTCCACCTATCAATCTCTTCCCACACAAGGCAAATGGTTCTTGGACCAAGGAAAATATCTCCTTCCAGCCTCACAGGCCCATTCCATTCTGTTGTCATTTGATAACCTCTTCGAAGTAGGTTATAAGCTGCTAGCCCACCTCTCATTTCCTTTCCATCATGGAAATCTATCCTCAAGGAAAGAACTTCTCAGTGTTCCATCTGCTATTCTACTACTCCTCAGGGGTTGTTCAGGCCCCCTCCCTTCCCTACACATCAAGCTCGGGGATTTGCCTCTGCCCAGGACTGGCAAATTGACTTTACTCACATGCCCTGAGTCAGGAAACTAAAATACCTCTTGGTCTGGGAAGACACTTTCACTGGATGGGTAGAGGCCTTTCCCACAGGGTCTGAGAAGGCCACCACAATCATTTCTTCCCTTCTGTCAGACATAATTCACTTTCTTCCTCAGCCCCAACCTCGTTCCAGACACCAGTCCTCTAGGCAACTATCTTCTAGTCCTCCAGCAGGCTAGACAGGAAATTTGCCAGGCTGCTAATCTTCTCTTGCCTACTCCAGATTCCCAGCCATATAAAGACACCCTAGCCGGTCAATCAATTCTTATTAAGAACCTGACCCCTCAAACTCTACAACCTTGATGGACCGGACCCTAGTTAGTCATTTATAGTACCCCAACTGCTGTCCACCCACAGGACCCTCCCCACTGGGTTCACCATTCCAGAATAAATCTGTGTCCATCAGACAGGCAGCCTGATCTCTCCTCTTCCTCCTGGAATTTGCAAGTACTCTCCCCTACTTCTCTTAAACTCACTTGCATTTTTGAAGAGCAGTAATAACCCTTATGAGCCTAATACATCCCTTCATTCTATTAGGTCTATTCGTCCTTACCCTACTTTTTGCAACAGGACTTTACACAGTCACCCCTACTACTTGGACTGTTCCCCAAAAACTTGTCATCCCTACTATCTTCTGTCTAGTCATACTCCTATTCACCGTTCTCAACTACTCATAAATGCCCTGCCCTTGTTTACACTGCTGGTTTACACTTTTCCTCTGAATCATCATAACGGGTATCTCCTGGTTTTACCTCAAACCACCACCCTTAAGTCTCTCTTAAAGTGGATAGAAGATCTTCAGTGGCAAGGTACACTCCAATACTTTTACCCTGATAAAGTCCTATTTTTTACTTTTATACTCACTCTTGTTCTCGTTCCCATTCTTTTGCCACCCTCTACCTCTCCCCAGCTATCTCCACCACACTATCAATCTCTCTCACTCTGTCCTAGCCATTTCTAATCCTTCTTTAACAAACAATTGCTGGTTTTGCATTTCTCTTTCCTCCAAAATCGCCAAGGCCTTGACTTACTCACTGCTAAAAAAAGGGGACCTTGTATATTTTTAAATTAAGAGTGTTGTTTTTACCTAAATCAATCTGGCCTGGTATATGACAACACAAAAAAAACTCAAGGATAGAGCCCAAAAACTCACCCACCAAGCAAATAATCACACTGAACCCGCTTGGGCACTCACTAATTAGATGTCCTCGGTCCTCCCAATTCTTAGTCCTTCAATACCTGTTTTTCTCCTTCTCTTATTTGGACCTTGTGTCTTCCGTTTAGTTTCTCAATTCATACAAAACTGCATCCAGGCCATCATCAATCATTCTATATGACAAATGCTCCTTCTAGAACCCCATAATATCACCCCTTACCACAAAATCTTCCTTCAGTTTAATCTCTTCCACTCTTGGTTCCCACGCCACCCCTAATCCCGCTCAAAGCAGCCCTGAGAAACATCACTCATTATCTCTCCATAACACCCCCAAAAATTTTTGCCACCCCAACACTTCACCACTATCTTGTTCTTTCTTATTAATAAAAAAAGACACGAATGTCAGGCCTCTGAGCCCAAGCCTGCACATATACATCCAGATGCCGTGAAGCAACAGAAGAAGTGAAAATGGCTGGGTCCTGCCTTAACTGCTGACATTCTTCCATTGTGATTCGTTCCTGCCCCACTTTAACTGATTGATTAACTTTGTGAAATTCCTTCTCCTGTACAATAAGTCTCAGGAGCTCCCCCACTCAGTACCTTGTGACCCCTGCCCCTGCCTGCAAGAGAAAAACCCCCTTTGACTGTAATTTTCCACTACCCAACCAAATCCTATAAAATTGCCCCATCCTATCTCCCTTGCTGACTCTTTTTTCAGACTCAGTCCACCTTCACACAGGTGATTAAAAAGCTTTATTGCTCACACAAAGCCTGTTTGGTGGTCTCTTCACATGGACGTGCGTGACAATAGCAAGAACCCATCTTTACAAAAAAAAATTACCTAGGTGTGGTGATGGCACGCACTCATAATCCCAACTACTTGGGAGGCTGAGGTGGGAAGATCACTTCAACCCAGGAGTTGAGGTTGCAGTGAGCTATGATCATGCTACTGCACTCCAGCTTGGGTGACAGAGCAAGTTTCTGTCTCAAAAAAAAAAAAAGTATTTTGTGCAGAGTGGTAGCTATTACTATACTAGGAACAAAGGAATTTAAAATGGAAATGAGATTAGCATTAGTACCAAAAATTATGATATAGTAAAGTCATTGTTTTAATCAAGGCATATACGAAGCTCTCTGGACACACTGAGAAGCAGCGCCTAAGTGCTCTAGGGAGTTAGCTTTATTGAGTAGATGGCATTTGGCTGAAATGTAAAGAATGATGAGGACTTTTCCAGGCAGACATTGGAGAGACAGGGTGCTCTAGACAGAGAAATTGCCTGGGTGAGTAGTTTCATTATACATAAAACAGATGATCATTTGTAAGGGAAAAATAAGAAAATGTATACATTGTGTTTCTATTTAGTTTTCAGTTGACACAGGTAATTATTTCCACATACATTTCTGCCTTGATCAGAATTGTTGAAGTTTTAAAATATTTGCTAAGTCTTACCCCTGATGTAAACTAGACAATTTGTAAAATCCAAACAAATTTTAGTTTACTAATGGCCACCTTCAGAGCAAAAGTATGTACTTAATAACATTCAGTTGAGGAAAAGACAAACAGAAACACAATAAAGTGGCACTTAAATTGGCATTCAGTAATTTGCAGGGAACATGCAAAGTGTATGGAAGTGATGCATTCTAATAATGTTTCAGGAAATTCATTACCGTATTACAATGTTCCTACCGAATTTTCAAAAACACTTTATAGCGAACAGACTTGATGCTATTTCAAGCACAACTTGTTGGGATTTGAAAGCAAATCTTCGTTCTTGAGAAGAATGAGAGAGATTTAAGGAGGTGTGGAAAGAATGTTGAACGGAATCCAAAATCTCTTTGTAAATGTATTTTGAAAGAAATAATTCAGCATTGTTTTAAAATCACAGTTTCTAAAATGGGGAATAAAAATTGGCAAGTCTCAGTCTCATAAGATGCAGACTTGGCCAAAATCGTCTTTCCCTCTTTGAGGGTTTGGTTTTTTTTAAAGAAACATTTTAAGTGAAAACTCTGCTGCTGGCTTTAGCTTGTGAGTTCTTTGGGTAGAGTCCTTACACTGGTTGGAGAACAATAAAAGATTCACAGTGGAATTCACATCAGAGAAGGTGGCCCCCCAGGATGTGAGTTGAAACCAGAGTGTCCTCCTTCACTGCCATCTTCTCACCACCTGCAGTGGTAACACCCAGTCCTGCATCCATGGCACCATGATGGCCCTCATCCGAGACCAGAGACAGCACAGCCTCAGCAAGCCAAGTTTCTGGTGCCATCCAAAGGACATCAGTGACATAGAGCACAGGAGGAAGGCTTGTTTGAGGATAGTAATTGTTTGACTTCCCACAGATTATTTTGTCCAAAACCCTAAGGACTCCATTGCAAAAAAATACTGCGCCAGGAAGAGTAGATAGAGGAAGAAAAGGGAATAAGTGTGGGGTGAGAAAGGGCATGCCATGGAAGAGAAGGGAGCAGAGGGAAGAAGAGGGCTGAGGGGAAAGGGGAAAAAGGGACTGGGAATTCCGCAGGGTCAGAGGACCTTGCCAAGACCACCATTTGTTCGAAGCATGCTCTGCCCCTAGATGGTGCTGTGTAATTAGCAAGTTCAGGAAATAACCTCACTCAGCACAGAATCCCAGCTTTCCCTGTGGTGCGTTTATGTATGGGGGCTTGTTTGCATCAGTTTCCCACACAGCCCCAAATTAACTTGTGCGTGCTCCTGGCGGCTATCCTGTGTCCTTTTCTTCCCCTCCATTCTCCGTGCTCTTTTTCATCTGCTGCGTGCTGTGCTAGGTGCTCCTTGTATCTTACCTCCTGCATGCTCACAAGAAGCCTGTGAGATAGGCAGCCTTATCTGCTTCAAAGATGAAAATAATGAGACTCAGATATGTACCGTGAGAAGCTCAAGCTCTCTGAATCTTAAATTCAACAGCTGGAGCCCAGGTTTGAATCTGGATAAGTGGGACTTGCAAAGTCCATGAGCCTGAGAGTGGGAAATCTGGTGCCTAACTCTCCGTGGCCATCCCTGTGTGTCTCTGAGCCTGGTTGCCATCATCTTTACCGTGCTCTAGCCAACGACCAGCCTGTCGGCCCTCTGACCCCTCAGTCAATCAACAGTCTTGATTCATTGTGTGAAGACCACGTTGTGTACAGAGACTTGCCTGAGCCCTGTGTCAGTGAAAGTCACAGGTGGCTTCCCCGGAGGGAGATAGGTTGCTGTGAGTTATTACTTCCCCCAGGAGGAACCCAAGGTGAGTGTTTGGCTCACTGGTCATCGCAGTGACATAGCTGGGTGTGAGTAACGAGAGACAGAGAGGGAGGGGAGAAGGGAAAAAAAGGAAGAACCGAAATAAGCTAAATCATCATGAATGACTTCTGTTCTGACCAGGAAGATATTTTATTTTCCATGTAAATTTACACCTCTCAGAGCATGTGGAAGCAACAGGCTAAGAATCCAAACAAAAATCCTGTTCTCAAATAATTAGTAATCAATAACTAATTTGTACGAAACTCAAAATAAAAATTACCAATGTTATTTAGCTGGTAATAATAATCTTTGAAAAATAAAACATGACGTTTTGATTCTACGTTCTAATTTATTTTAAATTGAGAGAAACTGAAAAGAAAAGAGGGAGAGATAAGGAGGACACAGAAGCAGAGGAATGACAGAGGAGAAGGAAAACAAAAAGGGACAAAAACAGGTTCCCTGCACCACCTGGGCACCTGTGTCTTTCCTCATGACCCTGTGGCCTTTATTCTTGCTTATTTTCCTTTGTGCCTCCCTGACTCTTCTCTCTACACATATATTTAAAAATAAATAGGGAAATAAAATAGAATTCAAAGGTGATTCCCTTCCCCTGCCACAGCATATTTCCATTATTTTAATGACATAGTAATTTTCATTGCACTGAAAAAAAAAGGATTGATCCATCAATTATCAATTCAGGCAACAAACTAAAATTGAGATAATTGTAGTCTGGATTAACCACTTTTAAAAAAAATTACAAAGCTGTCAAGTGAGCTTTGTGTAGCTGAGTAGATACAGAAAAGAGGAAAGAGTGTTGTGATGCTGATAGTAGTGATAACAAGAAGATGCCTTTTAAAAAAAGTCTTAATATACCTGGCACTGCGTTTAGCAACTGGCAAGAATTAAGGGAAAAAGCAGAAAAGGATAATATATTATGAATATGTTTTCTTACCTTTAAGTCCTTCAGGACTCATCAAAACAAAGGACAACTTCATCTTCCACGAGAACAGAAGAACCGCTTCTGTTACATCTGGTAAGTTCATCTGTTATGGAAGTAGGTACAGCGAAGTGTTCAGAGAAATAACCTTCTCTAGGCCTTTCTGTAAACTGGATTTTATTAATGGTCTTGACTTCATAAAGTAGAGCAGTGTGAGAGGCAGGCATCCAAGTGAGTTAGTATCTGACTGTCAGGGCATGCATAGGCAAAAATCCTTGAGTCAAGCAGCTGTGACCCATGAATAGGAGGCCCTCAAAATCCATTTGGCTAGAGTGCTAAGACCAAGCAAGAAAACACTTAACTTTAAGTGTCAGTGCTATTGCAACCTCAATGAGATTTTATCTGTGGAGTGAATGATTAGGGGAGACCAAATTTATTGTCATCCAGAGGAAGTATTTATAAACTTGGCAGAGCCACATGTGAGAGTAGAACAAAGGCTGCCAAAGAGGTTCATAAATTGAGATGAATGATCTGCAAGTATTTTCCATTGCCTACATATGGTTATATATACACTGTGTGGCTCAAGCTCAGGATTGAATTGCCTCACACAAATGCTGATGCTGTCTTCTTTGTGGATATGGGATGGGGTGGGGAGATTGAATCAATGTCAGAGTTAGAATTGGAATGGAGAAGAAAGGATGCTTTGAAGAAGAAGCTGCATAGTTGGGGAGGAATGGAAAAAAGTGGAAGACTGCAATGAGGAGAGGTTGCTGTGGGGGCAGAAGATCCTTCATGGTAAGTTGCATGAAGGGTAAGAAAAGCCACAAGGGTTAGGTTAGAGGTAAAGTTGCAAGAGGAGATATAATTGATGTGAGGAATGACACCAAGGAAAGAAGAAGAGCAAGAAAAAAGGGAAAGGATTTAGTAGAGTGAAGAATACTCTTCGCCAGTAAGGTAAATGGGCCAAACCTGGACCACAGCCTGATTTTGCTAATAAAGTTTTATTGCAACAGTGATGCTTATTTGTTTAGTAATTGTTTGTGGTTGTTTTCATGATGCAGTGGCAGAGTTGTGCTAATTATAACAGAGACCATATCTCCCAAAGCCTAAAATATTTACTATCTGGCCCTTTATGAGAAAACTTTGCTGAGCCCTGGCCTTGATTATGGGATGTACACTCCTCTCTGCCACTCAAATGTTACTGCTCTCTGCCAAAGTTTATTTGTATTAATGGCAAAGCCTGATTCTACTCTACATGACATCTATTTGTATTTATTTTGTATAGGCTTTAAAGCTTCACCCTAGGTTACTCTTGGGAAAATGAAGTTATAAGGTATGCCATTGTTTTAGTTCATTCTCATGCTGCTATGAAGAAATACCTGAGACTGGGTAACTTATAAAGGAAAGAGGTTTAATTGACTCACAATTCCATATGGCTGAGGAGGCCTCAGAAAACTTACAATCGTGGTGGAAGGCACTTCTCCACAGGGTGGCAGGGGAGAGAATGTGTATCCAGCGAAGGGGGAAGCCCTTATAAAACCATCAGATCTCATAAGAACTAACTCACTACCACAAGAATGGGATGAGGGAAACTGCCCCCATGATTCAATTATCTCCACCTGATGCCTCCCACAACACGTGGTGATTATGGAAACTACAAGATGATTTGGGTGGGGACACATCCAAACCATATCATTCTGCCTTTGGCCCCTCCTAAATCTCATGTCCTCACAGCTCAAAACATAATCATGCCCTTCTAACAGTCCCCCAAAGTCTTAACTCATTCCAGCATTAACTGAAAAGTCCAAGTTCAAAGTCTCATCTGAGACAAGGCAAGTCCCTTCAACCTATGAGGCTGTAAAATCAAAAGCAAGCTAGTTACTTCCTAGATACAATGGGGTACAGGCATTTGGTAAATACATCCATTCCAAAGAGAAATTGGCCAAAACAAAGGGGCTACAGGCCCCATGCAAGTCTGAAATCCAATAGTGCAGTCATTAAACCTTAAAGTTCCAAAAGGATCTCTTCTGATTCCATGTCTCACATCCAGGGCACACTGTTGCAAGATATGGGCTCCCACAACCTTAGGCAGCTGTGCCACTGTGGCTTTTCAGGGTACAGTCCCCTGCCTGGCTGCTTTCACAGGCTGGCATTGAATGTCTGCAGCTTTTCTAGGCACATGATGCAAGCTGTCAGTGGATCTACCATTCTGGGGTCTGGAGGATGGTGGCCCTCTTCTCACAGCTCCACTAGGCAGTGCCCCAGTGGAGACTTTGTGTGGGGGCTCCAACCCCACGTTTCCCTTCCACACTGTCCTAGCAGAGGTTCTCCATGAGGGCTCCACCCATGCAGCAAACTTCTGTGTGGACATCTAGGCCTCTCCATACATCCTCTGAAATCTAGGCAGAGGTTCCCAAACCTCAATTCTTGATTTCTGTGCACCTGCAGGCCCAACACCACATGGAAGTTGCCAAGGCTTGGGGCTTGCACCCTCTGAAGCAATGGCTTCAGCTGTACATTGGCCCCTTTTAGCCATGGCTAGAGTGGCTAGGATGCAAGGCACCAAGTCCCAATGCTGCACGCAGCAGAGGGTCCTGGACTCGGCCCAGGAAACCATTTTTCCTTCCTAGGCCTTGGGGCCTGTAATAGGGGAAGCTGTCATGAAAGTCTCTGAAATGCCCTGGAGATGTTTTCCCCATTATCTTAGTGATTAACATCTGGTTCCTCATCACTTATGCAAATTTCTGCAGCCAGCTTGTATTCCCCCCAGTAAATGGGTTTTTCTCTTCTGCCACATTGTCAGGCTGCAAATTTTCCAAATTTTTATGCTTTGCTTCCTCTCGAATGCGTTTCTGCTTAGAAATTTCTTTCACCAGATGCCCTAAATCATCTATCTCAAGTTCAATGTCCCGCAGATCTATGGGGAAGGGGCAAAATGCCACCAGTCTCTTTGCATAGCAAGAGTGACCTTTACTCCAGTTCCCAACAAGTTCCTCATCTCCATCTGAGACCGCCTCAGCCTGGACTTCATTGTCCATATCACTATCAACATTTTGGTCAAAGGTATTCAACAAGTCTCTAGGAAGTTCCAAACTTTCCCACATCTTTCTGTCTTCTTCTGAGCCCTCCAAACTGTTCCATCTTCTGCCTGTTACCCAGTTCTAAAGTTGCTTCCATATTTTCAGGTATCTTTGCAGCAGTACCCCACTACCCAGTAGCAATTTACTGTATTAGTCTGTTCTCACGCTGCTATGAAGAAATACCTGAGACTGGGTAATTTATAAAGGAAGGAGGTTTAATTGGCTTACAGTTCTGCATGGCTGAGGAGGCCTCAGGAAACTTACAATCACAGTAGAAGGCACCTCTTCACAGGGTAGCAGGGGAGAGAATGAGTGTCTGGTGAAGGGGGAAGCCCCTTATAAAACCATCAGATCTTGTGAGAACTAACTGACTATCATAAAAACAGCGTGGGGGAAACTGCCCCCATGATTCAATTATCTTCAGCTGATCCTTCCTACGACACATGGGGATTATGGGAACTACAATTCAAGATGAGATTTGGGTGAGGACATGGTAAAACCGTATCAGCCATAAATAACAGGAGTTGCACATGCAGAGGGAGAATGCCTTGTGGAGACTGGCGATGCTTGTAGAAGGCAAGGATTACTGAAGGTTAACAGCAAACCACCAAAAGCTAGGGGAAAGGCATGGAACAGGTTCTTTCCCTCAGAGCCCTCAGAAGGAACCAACCCTAACACCACCTTGGTCTCATACTTCTGGTCTTCAGACTTGGAGGCAATACATCTTTTGTTTAAGCCACTCAGTTTCTGATACTTTGTTACAGCAGCCCCAGGAAACTAACAAACACAGACTCACAGTCCCAGGTAGACTTTCTTTGCTGGCACTGACCATCTCCCAATGGACCACCTTCTTTCCCATGTGGACACTAACATCCTTGACGTGTTCTTCAGCCCAGACATCATGAGCTCACAGAAGTCTACACAGCTTTGCCTTCTTCCTCTCAGAAAACCTCAACTTGACTGGTGAGCCTTCTAGTGACTGGCCTTCAGCTCTAGGATTGCCTGTTTCCAACAGTTCTTCCTTCCACCAAACCCCAGAACAGTCACAAGCTTCCTTTTCTATGCCATCATGCAGAACAAACAAACCACAAATGCTTTATCATCTTTCTACAAACTAATCTTTAGTTATCAGCCTACTCTGCAAATGCCCTATTGTATAGAGGCATGGTTGCCAACATGAGGGTCCTGGGTCCCCAGTGGGCCAGGAATTATAGCCACTGACTTACAAAACTATTTGTGCATCAAACTTCGTTTGGCTTAGTGCGTTTTAAAAAAGTGCTGTATTTCTACTACCATCAGATCATGACAACATTTTTATCCTCAAATATTAAAAATTCAAGTAATAGTTTACATATTGGTTTATGAAGTTGTTTGACATTTAAAAAGGAGGTCCTTATATGTAAGTGAAGCCTGTGTTTTAAATAAATTTTCCCCTTTAAAATTATTGATCCTCCCATATTTGTGTGATGAATATTCTAAACATGTATAGGGTTACTCTACTGGGTCCTAGGACAAGAAAGGAACAGACACACACTGTGTTCTCAGTAGCTCTCAGCCTAGTGGGAAAGGCAGAGAAGAAAAGCAAGGATGAACTACAGAGAAGCCAGGACCATAGTAGAAGCATGTGGGTGGGAGAACAGAGGTGGATGCTCAGCACAAAATGGTGATGTGAATACAAAGAGTTGGAACAAGCTCTTAGAGTCGTGTGTGTTTGAGTTGTGAATGAGAGCTAGTCTGATAGTAGAACAAGGGCTTTCCAGAAAGAAGAGTTCATATTTTGTGAACACCTGCTATATTCCGGAATCATGCCAAATATACATTTATGCCTTCACTGTGACCTTCTAAGACAGGTACTTTACATTCTGAGACAAGTTATTTACAATTTTTTATTGTGCTAAAATATGCATAGCATAACATTTACAATTTTAATCACTTTTAAGTGTATGGTTCAGTGACATTAAGTGCATTGCCACTGCTGTACAAATAGTTCTACCATCTACCTCCAGAACTTTTTCATCTCCCCAACTGAAACAATGTTCCCATTAAACAATAACTCTACATTCGTCCCTTCCCCCAGCCCTGACAACAACTTTTCTACTTTTGGTATTTACGAATTTTACTACTCTAGGTGCCTTATTTACCTGGAATCATGTAATAGTTGCCCTTTTGTGACTGGCTTATTAACTTTGCATAATATCTTCAAGGTTCATCTATGTTCTAGCATATGTTATAATTTTTTTTCTTTTTTTAAGGCAAATAGTATTCCATTGCATGTATGTCCCACATTTCATTTATCCACTAATCCAGGGGTCCCCAACTTCCTGGGCCACAGACCAGTACTAGTCCATGGCCTGTTAGGAACCAGGCTGCACAGCAGGGTGTGAGTGGTGAAGCTTCATGTGTATTTATAGCCACTTCCCATTGCTCACATTACTGCCTGAGCTCCTCCTACTATCAGATCAGCAGTGGTATTAGATTCTCATAGAAGTGCGAACGTTATTGTGAACTGCACATGCGAGGGATCTAGGTTGCATGCTCCTTATGAGAATCTAATGCCTGCTGATCTGTCACTGTCTCCCATCACTCCCAGATGGGACCATCTAGTGGCAAGAAAAGCTCAGAACTCCCACTGATTCTAGATCATGGTGAGTTGTATAATTATTTCAATATATATTACAATGTAATAATAATAGAAATAAAGTGTGCAATAAACGTAATGTGCTGGAATCATTCTGAAACCACCCACCCCCACCTGCCCCTGGCCCATGAAAAAATTGTCTTCCATGAGACCTGTCCCTGGTGCCTAAAAGGTTGGGGACCACTGCACTAATCCATCCATTGATGATCATTTGGTTGCTTCTACCTTTTGGCTATCATGAATAATGCTTCTCTAAACATGAATGTACAAATACCCTTTCAAGTCTCTACTTTCAGTTCTTTTTTGGTTTATATCCAGAAGTGAAATTATTGGATCATATAATAATTCTGAGATTACTTAGGAAAATCTGAGCACAGCTTTTTAATTCTTTGAGGAACCATCATATTGTTTTTTACAGTAGCTTGCAGTGTACATTCATACCAGCAACACACAAAAGTTTCCATTTCTCCACATCCTCGCAAACATTTGTTATTTTCTTTTCTTTCTTTTTTTTTAAATAATAGCCATCCTAATGTGTGTGAAGAGGTATCTCATTGTGGTGAGATAGGTACTGTTATCTGCACTTTTTCAGATGAGGAAACAAAAGTTTGGAAACTTGCCAAATGTTCTATGGCCAATTAAAGGCAGAATCAGGATTTAAACCAGAGCCCATCCTATCCTGCGCTGTGTT
Organism: Homo sapiens; assembly: GCF_000001405.40. Lineage (NCBI taxonomy): Eukaryota > Metazoa > Chordata > Mammalia > Primates > Hominidae > Homo > Homo sapiens. The sequence continues at coordinate 115,499,366 of NC_000001.11, read as the reverse complement.
CTGAAGCACTACTGAGGCTGCCCATTAAAGAACTTGGGGAAAGTAGAGGGATGGATAGGTGGGGGTGTGAATGAAGATGGGGCTGTAAGAGTATGCAGGGGCCAAATCATAAAGACCTTTGTGTTTTTTTCCTAGAGAAAGTTTCAGTTCTTATAAATAGCTTGCAAGCATAAAATGTATATAGTAATTATATTAACCCAAGGATAAAGAAAAGGAAACATGAGATGAGTCCCTAAAAACTCCATTTCTCAGAAATGTAATCAGAATAGCTGTAGGTTAAGGCCTAATGTAAGAAATAACTTATTTTTCCATCAAAGCACAACTGAAAATAACCAAGAATAATATGATGTTGGCTTCACATTTTTCCATTTGTATTGAGCAAGGATATTTTGGGGCATCTTATGGAAAATATAACTTCAAGGGTTAAGAGAGCATTCATCAGGCATCTCAGCAAATTGTGAGCCAACATATGAGGAATCTGTGCATGTGCAAGGCTAAGTCCCCAGCACACAGTCCTGGCTGAGTGACCCAGAGGAAGGAAAGGCCATACTGTACAGTCTTGGGGTTCAGACTGTCCAGGCATGTTCAGAGAGTGAGCACTGAGGGGTGAGGGAGGAAAAAGGGATCTCTGCTTTTGAGGGGCTGAGGCAGAATCTTAGAGGATGGAACACATGGAAAGAAGATGCTGAGGTCCTGGAGCCCAAGGACAAGGAGGCTTCAGCAGAGTGAGGCTGCTCCTGAGAACAGCAAGGCTGTGTGCTCTCACACCGACCTCCAGCTGGCCACCCACTCCTGTCTCTGCCCACTCCCCCAGGGAATTTACCAGAGCCTGGAGGAGTGACCATGAGGAGGTCGTGCTTTATGGCCTAGTAATGGAGGGTAACCAGGTTGGGCAGGGGTCTGTTCACAAGTATAGCCCAGCAGTGGTGGTCAGAGACATGCCAGCAATGACACGGGAGACCAAGGATGGTCAAGCTAAGCAGTACAGAGGCCTGCGGTGCCCCAGGTGCTGACACACTGGTCCAGAAGGGGCAGTGGACATCACTGCCTATGAAAACCTGGGTTGAAAGTGGTACATTTTCCCCACCAGGGACACAGCTGCTTTGCGTTTAGGACCCTTACAGAGCTTGCCCTATATGTCTCTCCCTTTGGCCGGCTCTGATTTGTATTCTTTTCCTACAATAAAAGTGTAACTGTAAGTAGAACTCCTGAGTTCAGTGAGTTGTTCTAGCAAATTATCAGACCTGAGAGTGTAGTGGGAACCCCTTAATTTGAAACCAGCTGGTCAGAAGAGAGGGTGGTCTGGGGACCCCAGAGCCTGTGACTGGTGGACTGAGGAAGACCACTTCCTAGACCAGTATTGCTGCCAGCAATCTAGACCAGCACAGTGGCCTAACCTAATGTCCCTCACCAAGGTGGAAATGTTTGGCTGTAAGTGGAGAGAAGGAGTAGATGGGGGTAAAGAAATAAATAAACAGGTTATATAATGAGGGAAATCTAATATTACATTAATATATTGAGAAGACTGGAGCAAAAGGTGGTACTGTCTCAGGTTAGTTATTCCAGGTGCCTGAAAGGGTGAAGCCATGTACTGTGGAGACCACTCCTTTTTTTTGGAGCCTGATGAGGCTGAATGGAAGCCTGCAAACCTGAGTGGCCTTGTTCTGGGAGACATTTGGGTCATATGATATGATGATAGACTGGACTAATTATTAATGACTGAATGAAACTCTAGTAATGTGCTCATATCTAGACTCTTATTTTTCAGGTGACACCTACCATACTGCAATATGGTAGAACACCGGCATTGTTATGAAGATTCTGTTGGCTGATATTAATGGTCAAACGTATTGGGAAATCGAGTTAGGTATCCTATCCCTCCACCACACTGGCTCCTGCAAATCTTAGGCATATATAAGAACCATGTCCAAAGGCTAGGAGTGCCCTGTATAGAGCAGAATTAACTTTACCAGCCTCTGTCCAGTTCCTGGGAGGTAACTAAACCCTCGGAATTTCCTGGGTGATTGGAGTGTCTGCCCATCCCCTTGAGTCTGAGTCACTTGTTATGCTTCAGTGACTGGAATTTATCTTTATCTGGATCTAGACGTTTTTTTGAGTGGGGGCAGTGCTGAAGGTGAAACTCTTTTTATTTCAAACCAACAGGCCTATTGACTGATTAGGAGAGGAAGGAGTTGATGATTTGTTTTGGGTAGAAACAGGCACAGTGGATGTGCTCCTGTGGGTGGGTGGGTGCATGGGGTCAGAGGGCCTGGGAGAGGGTTGGCTGGGGGAGGGGGAAAGGGAGAGGGCCAGCACCACAGTCTTTGTCATGTAAGAGCCAGCATCACTGGCCCTCTATGGAGGGCAGGCTTCTCTCTACATTGTTCTAGGCACTGGATTTAGGGCATACCAGGGCCCCAAAGACTCAGGGCCCTATGGACATAACCAGACATCAAATCAAGGTTGAAGATGGTCAGAGCCCTTCCTCTTAGGGGTCTTCACCTCTTACTGAGGCCCAGGTGAGTTAAGGCCAAGAAGAAAGCAGAAAGGCAGAGGGTCTGTGAGATGGGTTCAAGCAAGAAGGGAGGGCAGAACTGGCGGCAGGGCCTCCAGGCTGTTCTGTGTCCCAGCTGGTTGAGGCCATCTCTCCAGTCCTGAAGCAGCACTGCCAAAACTAGTCCCATGAACTTGACATCTGTGGGTCTCAGTTTCTGAGTTTATACAAGGAGCAAGGTTGGTCTGTTTTGGCTCTAAGATTGTCCGATTTGATCTCATACAACTCTAGACACTCTGCCTTAAAAGTGGGGACCAGACTGAGCAGGTTGGGGCACAGGAGAACTTCCAATAAGCTGGAGGCGGGCTGGGGTGTCCTGTGGGCTTGTGGCCTCTGGACAGAGCCAGGAGCATCAGACTGGGCTGGGAACTAGGGGAACCCAATAACACATCTCCTGTGGGCTGAAGGCCCTTTGGTTTCTGGGCACCTGGGGAGAGGGGAGCTTATGGCTACTGATCTTAAAACCTCCAGAGAAACCACAGGGTAATTGAAGAAGCATGGGACATGTTTTGTAAGGAAGGAATAAAAGAATTTGAGAAGTTTTTAATCTCTGGAAAGAAAGAGACTTAGGGAGGACCTCAATGGGGTCTTTAAGCCCTGAAAGTGTAGAAACTGCTCCTCATCTGTCCCAGGGCAAAAATGAAAGGAAGTGGGCTAGCTTTGCTACTGGGGGCATTTGGGTCACCCATAGGAAGAGCTTAGATGCAAGGAAGAGGCAGTCGAGGAGAACTGATTGTGGGAGGTGAGGGTGTGGAAATAATTCTCAGAGAGCAGCACCTCTCTAATAATGACAATAATAGCAGCCATCACCGACTGCATCCAGGTCTGTCTTGTGCTATGCTGCTGAATTATATGCTACTCTCTTGGTCCATGAGCACCTACTAAGCTCCAGGAACTGTGCTAGACGCTGGGGCTATAATGATGAGCAAAACAGATCTATTTCCACAGTGCCCTGGGTGGGGTGGGGTAGGAGCTCAGCCTAATGGGTGAGTCAGAAATAAATTATGCATGTAAATGTGTGCGAGAATGTACAAACGCCATGAGAATGTGAAACAGGCGCATCTGATAGGCTTTGGGATGTTAGGAATACTCATTTGCTATATATTTGGTTTTCTTATTCCTGTTTCACTGAGGAGGAAATTGGGGCTCAGAGAGGTTAAGTCATTTGCCCAAGATTGCGTTAATGGGCAGAGGGAGCACTCAAAGATCTATCTGATCCCAGAGACTTTTCTGCCAACCACCTGACTCTAGAGACCCGGTTCAGAGGCTACACAAAGAATAAGATGGTCTGTTTTATCTTGGTGTGATTTGCAAGACTTCCAGTCTTGACACTACTTTTGCTGCCCTGTCTTGGAGCAAAGACCTGTAATCCCCCTCTCTGTGTTTCCTCAGACCATCAGCTCTCTCCCAGCCTGTCCCTTCTATACCTACGTGACCCTGCCAGGAGCACACAGCCCCTTCCCCAGGCCCTGCCAGGACCAGCACACCTGGGGGCAGCTCTTCAGATAAAGCTGGGAGCAGCATACCTGGGCAGCTCTCCAAGGGCCCAGTGTAGCCTTCAACCTTGCCGGTGCCAGGTCTGCTAAGGGCATGGCATGGCTTTGTGTGTAAGCGTTTGCACACATGTGTGTATAGCCCACCTAGAGTGCTTACTGAGATCTGTCATGAGAAAACATGTGAATGCTGATGTGCATACATGTAAAGGTGCACATATGTTCAAGCATTTTGTGGTCATCCACATTTGCGGCATGAGCCTGTGTTTGTGGGCAGGAGACTGAGCCCTCAGTCTGTGGGCCTGTGATGAGGGGGTACAGGCAGGAGACTTGGGAGCCCGTGGAAAGCAACACGAAGAGGGCAAATGGATCCTGAGGGGAGAGAAGACCCTATCTCTCTTAGGTGGGGCCTCAGGTTGTGCTTTGGGGTGTGCTGGGTGGGGTGGCTATGAAATGGAGAGCCACCCTGGGAGTGTGAGCCATCATCATTGTGATGCTGGAGAGCCCTGGGGGGTGCCCTTCCCAGGCCAAGTTAGAGCCCAGGACATAGGCTCCTGGGGCATCTGGCTGCCCAGACAGCCAGCCCTGATCTGCTGTTCATTAGTTCCCAGGATTCATAGGGCAACAACATATTGGATGCTCACCCTTTTTTATTTAATCCTAGGGACACCTGTGAGTTATAGGTTATTGTGCCAGTTATATAGATGAGGAGACAGAGGCTCAGAGAGGTTAGTTAACTTGCCCAAGGTCACACACATCAGTCAATGACAAGGCAGGAATTTGAACCTAAATTTGTTAGCCCTAAAAGCCTGTGAATTTTCCAAATTCTGCTCCGTTGACACTCCAATACCCCTCATTTTACAGCCAAAGCTGCAGAGGTGAAGGAACCTGTGCAGGGGCACCCGACTGCCCAGTGACACAGCAGGGGCTGCAAAACAGCCCCCCTACCCTCCACCTACTTCCCTTTTTCCTTCTATTTAGTTCATCACATGTGGCTTCTGCTTCCTGCTCTGGGATGGAGAGCTGGGATGCCAGGGTTCTAAGCCTGCTGTTGACATGCCTGGCAGAGAGAACCCCATCCAAGTGAGCCATGGCAAGCTGGGACCTTGGCTCCCTCAAGGCTGTGAAGGGCAGGGGCAGGAGCTGCTCTCTCAAACAGGCCTATGCTTAGGGAAGGGAAGAGGGAGGCAAAGAGGTGCCCCAGGACTCTTGCCCCTGCTCTGGAAGGGACCCATCATACCTGGACTGTTGCCTCTCCAGCAACAAGTAGGCCTAGAGAAGATGCCTGTAGTTGAGTCAAACGCCTGCGAGACAGGAAGGGCCCTGTCTGGTCAGTAGGCCCTAGCAGGGTTATTTGGTGGGTATCAGGCCCTGGCGAACCAACTGACACCTCCCAGCCAGCTTGGCTGGTCGCCAGGAGCCATTTTCTTTGTTACTTGGCACTGAGCTGGAGACTAGCATGAGCCTTTGGGGGCCTCAGGAGACATGCTCCCCAAGATAGTTAAGCCCCAGTGCCCAGCAGGAGGTACTGCTAGGGGATGAGTGTGGGTAGAAATGTCCAGCAAAGCTCAAAGGGAGATGTTCCAGTGCCACATCGTCCCACAGACATATAATGCAAACCACATGTGTGGTTTTAAATCTTTCAGTAGTCACATTAAAAAGTAAAAAAAGAAACCAGTAAGATTAATTCTATTTTTTAAACAAATTTATTTATTTATTTATTTATTTAGAGACAGGGTCTCACTCTGTCACCCAAGCTGGAGTGCAGTGGCATGATCTCAACTCACTGCAAACTCCATCTCCAGGGTTCAAGCAATTCTCCTGTCTCAGCCTCCCGAGTAGCTGAGACTACAGGTGCAAGCACCACCACATCCAGCTAATTTTTGTATTTTTTTGGTAGAGACGGGGTTTCACCCTATTGGTCAGGCTGGTCTCGAACTCCTGGTCTCAACTGATCCACCCACCCTCAGCCTCCCAAAGTGTTGGGATTACAGGCGTGAGCCACCATGCCAGGCCAAGATTAATTTTAATAATGTATTTTATTTAAACCAATGTACCCAAAATATTATAACTACAAAATATCATAAATAACAATTATTAATGAGATATTTTACACTTTGCTTTTCATATTAAGTCTTCCAAGTCTGGTTCATATTAGACTTGCAGCACATTTCTGCTTAGACTGACTGTGTTTCAAGTGCTCAGTAGCCACATGTGGCAGTGGCTACAGTGCTGGGCAGGGCAGGCCCAGAGTGAGTCAGAACAGATAATCACCTCCCCTGCCTCCACTCTCAGCTCCCAGGTGGACATTTGCTGTTGTGGCCTGGGAGGGTAGCAGCCCAGTCCCTGCTGATCTGCCCGTGCTCCTGTGGCTGCTGCAGGGGTCTCTGGACTGCATGGGGAAAAAGGAGGTTGAGGTGGGAGCTGGAAGGTCACAAAGTAGGGATAGAATGGAAGAGAAGCCAGATTGAGTCCCAAGTCTGGAGCAAGGAGGCCACTGGTGATGTGATCATGCCCACAGCAGTGGGAGAGTGGGTGTGGGACAGGGGTGTAGGGTGGAAGAGGTCAAGACACATGGGATCAGAGGCCCACAGGCCTGTACTGCCCCTCAGCACAATTCCTTTGGCCTTATTGCTTTTGTCCAACCCCCGAGTGTCTGGCTTCCTTTCATCCCCATTTCGGTGCTGCTTTCATTTTACAGCCAGCCTGGTTGTTTTCATTCCTTGTGTCTGAAGCTCCTGAAGGGAAGGTTTTCTTTTCAAAGTTTTGATTAACTCACAGCTTGAGCCCCGAGTTTGTTTGTTATGAAACTGCTGGCCTAACATCGGGGTAATACCTTCTCCGCACCTCTCCCTGACCCCTACCTTTGGGAGCCCTGGTGTGCTCCTCCCTGTCCCTGTCCAGGAATGAATGGGCTGAGCCTCCTGCTTTTTCCAAAGCTCTCCAGGCTCCTGGGCAGTGGAGAGAAGACCTGGGAGTTAGACTGCAAAGCCCCAGGGCCAGCTGGGCTGGAGTCCCTTCTTTTCTCCTTATCTAGGTGGGAAGGTACTGACGTTCTTAGGGGCATGTGTGTGCCTGGCTCCTTGTTCTGCAATACCCTGTTCTGGGTTCCATGCCAGCCCCCAGGGCACCCTGCCCTTTGAAAGTGGTGGGCTGGAGAGTCTAGTCTGGCCTGACCTGTAGGGTGGAATCAAATCACACACACACACTTCACTAAACTATGATTATCTTCAGTTATTTACTTACAAATTCTGTGCTCTTATATATGGCACTGTAACTACACCTGATTTTTGCCTTACATCTCTTCCAAACAAGTATTTCCCATGTAAGAATGTCTTAACAGAGCTTCTGAAGCGAACGTGTATCAGAAGCACCTGGAGGCCTTGCTAAAACAGGTTGTTGGGCCTACCTCAGAGATTCTGATTTGTGGGTGGGACCCATGACTTTGGCTCTCTAATGCCCTGGGCCATGCCAAGGCTGCAGGTCCTTTCATCACACAGCAAACAGCAGCACTTCAACAAACACCACTGCCCTTACAAGCACCATGGTCTGTTCTAAATGCCGTGAGAATAACAACTTCCAATCCTTATGGGAGTTCCATGAGGTAAGGATTCATATCATCCGTTTTATAGATGAGGAAATTGAGGGGGCAGAGAGACTAAGTAACTTGTCCAAGGCCACTCAGCTGGTTGATTAGCAGAGCCAGGACTCATGTGTACCCGTAAGTTGCTATGTGTCCCCATTGGAATCCAGGCCTCCCTGGATCACATTTTTGCATGCTTGCCCAGGCAGACAGGTGAGCTATGAGCATCTGCTGCTCCAGCTCTGAGCCTGGCGTGACCATAGGAAACTGTTCCCCAGGATCCTGTTCTGGCTCAACTTCTCTACATGTCCCAGCCAGTGCAATGGCGGGACAGGAGGCAGTCATGGGGAGCAGCCCAGGCAGAGTCAGCTGGGTGTATCAGCTGCTCAGCCAGGGAGCACACATTCAGAGGCTCACAGGGGCCAGACGTGACGAGAGGTTCTAGCTAGTATGAGGAAATCTTCCCCTTAAAATCACTCATCCTTTCAGCCCATTATTTGTTTTTCATTTTTTGGCAGATATGTGAATATATAAAATATTTTGCTTTTAACTCTACTGTTAAAAAAAAAACATAAAAGCATATTGTATAGGGCAGTCAATACTCATTCTCCTTTTGAGAGAGTATTAGGGAATGCAAAATAAAGAAAATGGAACCTACCAGAGTGCACTGTTTTAGGATTTAAGACTATAATCTATGTGACATATAGGTACACACACACACATATTTCCCCTAGGAACACTGGGTCAATATTCACTAATTCAGTGTTCACTGCAGCTATATATAGAACAAAACTACGGCAAATAATGAGAATTGACTATATATAATCTTTGGCTCTATTGGGCTCAGAAACAGCCAACTAACAACATCTGGTCTCCTTAGATGGACCCATCAGCTCAATAGTCACAAAACTGCCACAGTCTGGGAATGCCAGATGTTGAGCCCAGGCTTCTCTAGACTTTTCAATTTTATTTTTTTTTTTTGAGACGGAGTCTTGCTCTGTTGCCCAGGCTGGAGTGCAGTGGCGCGATCTCGGCTCACCGCAAGCTCTGCCTCCCAGGTTCACGCCATTCTCCTGCCTCAGCCTCCCGAGTAGCTGGGACTACAGGCGCCCGCCACCACGCCTGACTAATTTTTTTGTATTTTTAGTAGAGACGAAGTTTCACCGGATTAGCCAGGATGGTCTCGATCTCCTGACCTTGTGATCCGCCCACCTCGGCCTCCCAAAGTGCTGGGATTACAGGCTCGAGGCACCATGCCCAGCCGACTTTTCTATTAAAAATAAAAAACAGAATAAGCTTTTCTAATTTTTTAAAAAGATAGACCTTTAAAATAGTTATAGGTTCATAACAAAATTGAGGGGAAAGTACAGAGTTCCCACATATCCCTTCATCCTCCCTCACACACAGCCTCCCCGCAACCATTAACTACATCCCACATCAGAGTGGTACATTTGTTACAATTGATGGCCCTATACTGACATAATTATTACCCCAAAGCCCATAGTTTGCATTAGGGTTAGTTCTTTGTGTTGTACATTCTATGAGTTTTGGCAAATGTGTAATGACATATATACACCTTTACAGTTTAATATAGAATAGTTTCATGGCCCTAAAAATTTCCTGTGCTCCATCCTAAACACGTAGCAACCATGGTTCTTTTTACTTTCTCCATAGTTTTGCCTTTTCCAAAATGTCATATAATCGGAAGCATATGTGACCTTTCCAGACTGGCTTCTTTCACTTAGCAATACACACTTAGGGTTCCTCCATTTCATGGCTTGATAGCTCAATAGCTCATTCCTTTTTAGTGCTGAATAATATTCCATTGTATGGATAGACCACAGTTTGCTTATCCATTTGCCTACTGAAGGACATCGTAGTTGTTTTAGGAGTTCTTTGTATATTTTGGACAACAGTGCTTTATCAGATACGTGTTTTGCAAAGATTTTCTCCCAGTCTGTGGCTCGTCTTTTTATTATCTTAACAATGTCTTTCACAGAGAAATGCTAATAAAGTCTAATTTATCAACTTTTTCCTTCATGGATAGTGCTTTTTGTGATGCCAAGCCCAAGGTCACCTAAAACTTCCTTCTATGTTCATTTCTGGGAGGTTTATAGTTTTACATTTTACATGTAGGTCTATAGTCCATTTTGAGATGCTTTTTGTGAAAAACATAGAGTCTATGTCTAGATTCTTTTGTTTTTGGCATGTGGATGCCCAGTTGTTCCAGTATTATTTGTTGATTTTCTCCATTTAATTGCCTTTCCTCCTTTGTCAAAGATCAGTTGACTATATTGTATGGGTCTGCTTCTGGGTGCCCTATTCTGTTCTGTTGACCTATTTGTCTACTATTTCACCATTACCATACTCAATTACTGTAGCTTTATAGGAAGTCTTGAAGTTGGGTAGGGTCATCCTCTGACTTCATTCTTCTCCTTCAATATTGTGCTGACTATTCTGGGTCTTTTGCCTCTCAGACAAACTTTCAAATGTTTGTTAATATCCATAAATAACATATTGGGATTTTTATTTGGATTGTGTTGAATCTATAGCTCGAGCTGGGAAGAACTGACATCTTAACAATATTGAGTCTTTCTTTCTTTTTTTTTTTTTTTTTTGAGATGGAGTTTTGCTCTGTCACCCAGGCTGGAGTGCAGTGGCACAATCTTGGCTCACTGCAAGCCCCGCCTCCTGGGTTCATGCCATTCTCCTGCCTTAGCCTCCCCAGTAGCTGGGACTACAGACGCCTGCCACCATGCCCAGCTAATTTTTTGTATTTTTAGTAGAGACAGGTTTCACCGTGTTAGCCAGGATGGTCTGGATCTCCTGACCTCATGATCCGCCCGCCTCAGCCTCCCAAAGTGCTGGGATTACAGGCATGAGCCACTGCGCCTGGCCTAATATTGAGTCTTTCTATTCATGAAACTGTAATGTCTCTGCATTTACTTAGATCTTCAGCTTATTTCATCAGACTTTTGTGGTTTTCCTCATATAGATCTAGCCAAATTTGTTAGATTTGCACCTAAATATTTCTCTTTTTTGGTGTTAATATCAACGGTATTATGTTTTTAATTTCAAATTGTGATCGTTCATTATTGGTGTATAAGAAAGCAGTGAACTTTTGAACATTAATCTTGTATCCTGCAACCTTGCTACAACCACTTATTAGTTCCACAGGTTTTTAAAATTTGTCATCTGCAACTAAAGACAGTTTCATTTCTTCTTTCTCCTTATTATTATCTGACGCCATTTATTTCCTTTTTTGTCTTATTACATTCGCCATAATTTCAATACAATGTCAAATAGGAGTGGTGATAGAGGATATCCTTGCCTTGTTCCTGATCTTAGCAGGAAAGCATATATTTTTTGTTTGTTTGTTTTTTGAGACTGAGTCTCACTCAGGCATATAGTTTCTTATCATTAAATATGATGTTAGCTGTAGGATTTCTATAGATATTCTCGATCTAGTTGAGGAAGTTTTCCTCTATTCCTAGTTTGCTGAGAATTTTTATTAGAATGAGTGTTGGATTTTGTCATGTGCTATTGATATAATCATGATATGATCATGCAATTTTTCTTCTTTACCTTTTTGATGTGATAGATTACATTAATCCATCATTATATGGGCTTTTGAATTGTGAACTAGCCTTGCATACTTGGGCTAAATCTCACTTGGTTATGGTGTATAATTTTTTAATGCATCGTTGGATTCAACTTCCTAATATTTTGTTGATTTTTGCATCTGTGTGTTCATGAGAGATATTGGTCCGTAGTTTTTTCTTTCTTGTAATATCTTTGTTTGATTTTGGTATTAGGGTAATGTTGGCCTCATACAATTAGTTAGAAAGTATTCCCTCCACTTCTATTTTCCAGAAGAAATTATAGAGAATTAGTATATATTTTTTCCTTGAATGATTGTGGTAGCATTCACCAATGAATCCATCTGGACCTGGGGCTTTCTGTTTTGAAACATTATCAGTTACTCTTATCAGTTATCCATTCAATTTTTAAAATAAGTGTAGACTTGTTTTAATTTTTAAAATAAATATAGACCTGTTTGGATAATCTGTTTCTTCTTGTGTGAGTTTTGATAGATTTTGTCTTTCAAGGAATTGATCCATTTCATCTAGGTTGTCAAATCTGTGGGCATAAAGGTGTTCATATTATTTCTTTATTATCCTTAAAATGTCCATGGGCTCCATAGTGATGGCCTCTCTTTCATTTCCAGTATTAGTTTATCAGTTTTACTTATCTTTTCAAAGAACAGCTGTTGGTTTTTTTGATCATTTCTATTAATTTCCTGTCGTAATTTAATTATTTTCTGCTCTAATTTTTACTGTTTTTTAATTCTGCTTACTTTAGATTTAATTTGCTCTTCTTTTTCTGGTTTCCTAAGGTGAATGCTTAGCTTAGACTATTGATTTTAGGTCTTTCTTCTTTTCTAATACATTCATTCAATGCTATAAGTTTCCCTCTAAGCACTGTTTTCACTTGAGTATGCTACAAATTTTAATAAATTGAATTTTTATTTTCATTTAGTTCAAAATATTTTCAAAATTTCTCTTGAGACTTATTATTTGACCCATATGTTATTTAGATTTGTGTTATTTAATCTTCAAAATTTTGAGGGGATGTTCTAGCTATCTTTCTCTTGTTTATTTCTAGTTTAATCCCATTGTAATCTGAGAGAATCTGCTAAATGATTTCTAGTCTTCTAAACTTGTTATGGTGCATTTTATGGCACATAATTTGATCTTCCTTGTGAATGTTCCATGTGACCTCGAGAAGAATGTGTATTTTAGTGTTGTGGGATAAAGTAATCTATAAGAGTTGATTAGACCCAGTTGGTTGATGGTGTTGTTTAGTTCAACTATGTTCTTATTGATTTTCTGCCTGCTGGTTCTGTCAATTACTGATAGAGGAGGGTTGGAAGTCTCCAACTATAATAACAGATTCATTTATTTCTCCTTGCAGTTCTATCAATTTTTGCCACACATATTTTGGTGCTTTTTGTTAATTGCTTGCTTACATATTAAGTACTGTTATGTCTTCTTGGAGAACTGACCCCCGCTACCTGCCCCCTCCTAATTAATATGTTGAAGCCCTAACACCTAATGTGACTATACGTGGAAATAATCTTTAGAGGTAATTAGGGTTAAATGAGGTCATAAGAGTAGGGTCCCTGATTCGGTAGGATTAGTATCCTTAGAAGAAGAGACACTAGGGATTGATCTCTCCTCCCCCCTCCTCTTCCCCCAACAACCCCACATAAGCACGTAGAAAAAGTCCATGTGTGAGCACAGCAAGAAGGTGGCTGTCTACAAGCCAGGAAGAGTCTTCACCAGAACCAAATTACCTAGAAACATAATCTTGGATGTTCCAGGAATGAGAACTGTGAGAAAACAAATTTCTGTTATTTAAGTCACCCAGTTTATCTTATATTGTTGTGGCAGCCCAAGCATACTAATATCCCTTTATCCCCATATAATGCCTCTCTTTATTTTTGATAATTATCTTTGCTCTAAAGTATGTTGTGTGTAAAATCAACGTAACTATTCCATTTTTCTTTTTGATTATTGCTAGCCGGTTATGCCATTCTCCATCCCTTTATTTTTATTTTATCTGTGTCTTTATATTCAAAATGGGTTTCTTATAGAGATATTACTGTATCTTGTTTTCTTGTTTATTCTGACAGTCTCTGTCTTTTAATTGGTATATCTATACCATTAATATTTAAAATGATTATGGATATGGTTGGATTACTATTTACCACATTTGTTACTGTTTTCTATTATTGCTCTTGTTCTTCATTTCATTTTTTTCCTCACTCTTTTTCTGCCTTCTCTGTTTTTTAACTGAGGACCTTATATGATTCCATATTTTCTCCTATCTTAGTATATATCAAGTATATATATTTTTAAGCATTTTTCAGTGGTTGCCCCAGAGTTTACAGTATAATCCAAGTCCACGTCCAAATAACACTATAACACTTCATGGGTATAACACTTCATGGGTAGTGCAAGTATTAGGTTGGTTGCATTACTTTTAATGGCAAAAACCGCAATCACTTTTGCACCAACCTAACATCGTAGAGTATCTTTCCAGCCTCATATAACGTTACTGTCATTTATTTCACTTACATACAAGCTATAATCACTGAATTCATTGTTACTATAGTTCTGTTGAACAAAGGATTATCTGTTAAATCAATTAAGAATAAAAAATGAAAGCTTTTATTCTACTTTATTCCTTCTCTAATGCTTTTTCCTTTTTAAATACAGATTTGAGTTTATGACTTATCATTTTCCTTCTCTCTGAAGAACTTTGTTTAGCATTTTTTGCAAGGCAGGTCTATGGTGACAAATTTTCTCAATTTTTGTTTGTCTGAGAAAGTCTTTATTTCTCCCTGCCTCTTTTTTTCCTTTTTTCGAGACAGAGTGCAGTGGCAGGACCTCAGCTCACTGCAACGTCTGCCTCTTGGGTTCAAGCAATTCTCATGCCTCAGCCTCCCTAGTAGGTGGGATTACAGATGTGTCTCATGCCTCAGCCTCCCTAGTAGGTGGGATTACAGGTGTGTGTCACCACATTTGGCTAATTTTTTGTATTTTTAGTAGAGATGGGGTTTTGCCATGTTGGCCAGGCTGATCTTGAACTCCTGGTCTCAAATGATCTGCCCACCTTGGCCTCCCAAAGTGCTGGGATTACAAGTATAAGCCACTGTGCCTGGCCTCTCCCTGACTTTTGAGAGATAATTTATCTGGATACAGAATTCTTGTTTTGCAGGGGTTTTTTTCCAACACAAAGTTTTTCACTCCACTCTCTTCTTGTTGCATAGTTTCTGAGGAGAAGTCCAGTGTAATTCTCATCCATGCTCCTCTATAGGTAATGCATTTTTTTCTCCCTCTGTCTTCTTTAAAAACTTTTTCTTTGCCTTTGGTTTTTCTTCTGTTTAATATGACATCCCTAGGTGTAGATTTTTTGGGGCATTTATACTTTTAGGTGTTCTCTCAGCTTTCTGTGTCTGTGATTTGGTGTCTGACATTAACCTTGAGAAATTCTCAGTCATTATTGCTTTAAATATTTCCTCTGTTCTTTTCTCTCTTTTTTCTCTTTCTTGCATTCCCATTATGTGCACCTTTTGTAATTGCCCCATATTTCTTGAATATTATACTTTTTTATTAACTTTTCTTTTTGCATTTCCATGTTGGAAATTTCTATTGACTTTTCTTCAGGCTCATTGATTCTTTACTTGGCCATGTCTAGTCTATAATGAGCCCAACAAAAAAGTTCTTCATTTTTTTTTTTTTTTTGTGACAGAGTTTCACTCTTGTTGCCCAGGTTGGAGTACGATGGCATGATCTCAGTTCACCACAACCTCCACCTCCCAGGTTCAAGCGATTGTCCTGCCTCAGCCTCCCAAGTAGCTGGGATTACAGGCATGTGCCACCACTTCCAGCTAATTTTGTGTTTTTAGTAGAGACAGGGTTTCTCCATGTTGGTCAGGCTGGTCTCAAACTCCCAACCTCAGGTGATCCATCCACCTTGGCCTCCCAAAGTGCTGGGAGGCATTCTTAATTTCTGTTACAGTGTTTTTCAACTAGCATTTTTTAATTGTCTCTTAGAATTTCCATCCCTGCTTATATAACCCATCTGTTCTTGAATGCTGTCTACTTTTTTTCATTACAGCCCTTTGCATATTTACTCATCATTATTTAAAATTTGTAGTCTGATAATTCTAACATCCTTGTCATATCTGAGTCTAGGTATCTGATGCCCACTCTATCTCTCCAAACTATGTCTTTTAGTATGCCTTGTACTTTTCTGTTGAAAGCTGGACATGATGTACTGGGAAAAGGAACTGAGGTAAATAGGCCTTTAGGGAGATGGTGGTGGGGTATGAGTGGAAGGGAAGCATCTTATAGTCATATGATTAAGTCTCAGTCTCTAAATGAGCCCGTCCCCCTGGGCTATCAACTTTACAGTGTTTTTGAGTCCTACCTTCTACCCAGTCCCATTCTTTAGGTGAGACAGAAAGGCTAGATGGGGCTGGAATTGGAAAATTTCCTTCCCCAAGTCCATTAGGCTCTGGTAAAACATCAGTAAGTTAGGCTCTGGTGAAATAGTTTGTTTTTGTTTTTTGTTTTTGTTTTGAGGGCAGACCTTGCTAAGACAGAGTGCTCTGGGAGTGTTTCAAAATGGCTACTTCTTCTTATCTTCCTCCCCATCTCACAGAAGTACAAGGGGATTCTTCTTCTTTGATCTTCACTGTGAGAATATGGTAGAGCTCCTGGAGATAAAACTCACAAAAGTGTGCCCCATCCCTATCATGACTAGGTACCCCTGGAGTTTTGTTTTTGTTTTCGTTTTTTGAGACAGTCTCACCCTTACGCCCAGGCTAGAGTGCAGTGATGTAATATTGACTTACTGCAACCCCTGCCTCCCAGGTTTAAGTGATTCTCTTGCCTCAGCCTCCTGAGTAGCTGGGATTAGAGGCGTGCACCACCACACCTGTCTAATATTTTGTACTTTTAGTAGAGGTGGGGTTTCGTCATGTTGGCCGGGCTGGTCTTGAACTCCTGACCTCAAGTGATCCGCCCACCTCGGCCTCCCAAAGTGCTGGGATTACAGGCATGAGCCACTGCACCCAGCTCCCTGGAGTTTTTAACTGTAAATTTGTCCACACTGAAACTCCAGCAATTGGTTAATTACAGTGTTTACTCTGTGACCCCAGTTCTCTGGTGGATCTAAAAAAAGTTGTTGGTTTCTAGTTTGTTCAGCTTTTTTCTTGTGTAAACCGAAGTGACAACTTCCAAGCTCCTTAAATGCTGGACTAGAAACCAGAAGTCCCAGCATTCTATTTTCAGGTTTTCCTGTGGACTTTCTCCAAAGTCCTTTGCATTTAGGACAAAGTCAAAACCTGAGATAGGTGAAGGAATCAGGGGTTCCTTAATGATTTTATCAGGATAGACAATTATCTTTCTGGGGTGAAGGTGTATGTCTGAGATCAAGTCAGGGAGGAGAAGGCCTCTGAGAACCACCCTCCTCATATACCTCTTCACTCCACCCCCAACATCCACCTGCTGAGGCTTTACAGGATAAAAATGGTGAGTGCTGAGGTTACTTTCATTGCTATTCCAGATAACAAGCCATATTGATATTCAAGGAAATTCTCAGTTCATGCTCTGTTCAGAATCCTCAAAAGCAAAGAAGCTTCTTGGTCTATACCTAAGTATGCAGAGTGCTTCCCCTTGGGTCAGACAAGAGATCTGAATAATTTTAGGAAGAACCCTGTGCTGCTGTCCCTGCTGTAAGGAGCAAACCTCAACCTGCCTTGGGCCTCACTGTAGTCTGAGTCCCCTCTACATGAGGTGTGGCATTGAAGAGAAGAAGAATACAGCCTGATATCCCTGTCCTGGTACAGTCAGAGGAGGAAGATTGTATTACAGGCTCTTTCGTTCTCCCTTTCTGGACTCCATGGAGGCATCCATAGGACTCGAAGGCTAAGTCCAGTTCCTGGGACCTACACACCTAGGCACTTAGTAGAAAGATTTCCCTGGGCATTGTAAGTTCCTATGAGCCTTTGAAAGGAAGCCTCAGCAGCTTTCCAAAACTAGGCTCTCACCTTGTCATGGAGCTCAGAAGGAGCTCAGAATGGGAAGAGGAATGGCATCTCTCTGGTGGAAACATGTTCACCCTAGATGGAGCCTATTTTCCCTGAAAAGGTAAGTTTTTATCAAAAGGAGAAGAGGGGCAAGGGCCCTGAGTCTGCTAGGGATTTGGCTCAGATTTCACTTTCAGGGCTCCAGGATGTTTCCAGGTCACATGTGGGGTAGGCAGAGGGTTGAGACTTGGGGCCAGGAAGCAGATCCCTGCTGTGTATCCCTAGAGAGCAAGATCCTTTAGTTCCAGGCTCAGCAAAATTCTCACTTTCTTCCTCCAGACCTCATTTTTCCAGCAGACCCCACTGACAATTTATAGAAAGCTGTAGTCTCTCTCGGCAGAGCAAAGCACATAAACACATTTTTCATGCAATTTCAAGGAACTCACAGACTTCATGACTTTATCCATGGACCTTGCTCTATACCAAGGAAGCTGGCCCAGGATTTTGAAGCCCAAGGCCTGAGGCATAATGGAGATGAATTGTCCCCTGGGCACCTTGCTCACCTGAAGAGCCAGGGCCCATGGATGTGCTTCAAGCCCCATCGCCATGTCCTAGATGTACTCACAGCCCAGCCCATTCTAGAAAGTGCACTAGAGTTTGGAGGCACAGCCATGTGCTTGCAGCAGCTGGAAATTCCTGGCTTAATTCTCACAGTCCATCAGCAACTCAGTCCACTCCCCATGTGCCAGGACATAGTCACACACATAGCAAGCCACCGGCATGTTGGTGACAGCATCCATCAGTAAAGCACTAGCATGGAGAAGAACATGTGTGGGTGGCACAGGGTCTCCCTGATTTTCGCCTATGGCTCCCTGGCCCCAAAAGAGGGTGCTCATTTGAATGTTAAGCATGACCACACAGAATCCCACTTAATAAAGATCTCAGCACTGATCTTAATGCCCTACCCTGTCCCCAACACTTGGGGAAGACTAGAGAGTCCAAGAAAAACAAAATGGCACTTAGCCCAGGCACACTTACTTCTTCTAGGTCTGCCCATAGTGGGTAGGATTTGGCAGTAAAGGAATTTCTGTACCACTTGATGGAGTGAAGTCTCTATGTGCTCCTCACTTTCCCAACCCTGCCCTGAAAGAAAAAAATCCCATGAATTAAAAAGTGGCTAGAGAGGAACAGGAGTGGCCAAGGACAAGTGCATCCCAACCAGCATCCTCTCTGCTTGCCAGGCAGAGTGCTCTTTGCTCTACCTCTTGCCCTGCTTGTCCAGCATCAGCAGCACAAGCAGGGTACCAAGGCTGGCACCCACCCCAGAGCTTTAGTGGTTAGAGATATTTCAGGGCTCTGAGTTCCACTCCAGAAGAGACACGAGGTGCCGGAATGGGAGAGTGGTTCTCTCGGCAGGGTGACAAGGAAGAAGGAACCATGGAATTTATGGGGCACAGTGTGACAGAGCTGAAGGGGTCTTAGAGCATGTGAACCAATTCTAGGTGGGGAAACTGAGGCTCAGAGGGGCTGGACTGGCAGATGGCATGTTAGGTCAGTGCTGACCTAACCTTAGGTCTACTTGGAGCCTTGACAGTCTTACTAACGATGTGAGCTTTTTATTTTGTAAATGCGACCTCCCTTTCTCACCCTATCCCTGTCCCCTAAGGAAGAATAGGTCTGTCAGCCAGCACTTGGTGCTGAATCTCCTGAGAACTTGGCTTCTACCACCCAGAAGGCCCATCAGCATGGGGCCCCTACTAGAGTCCAGCACAAGCTGCATGCCCCCAGTGAATTTTCACCTGCCCTTGCTCACCTTCCTCACAGGCAGCCTCCAGAAGGGATTGGGGTGGGTGGGTGGGCAGTGAAGGCTGCTTTTCAGAGAAGGCAGGTGATAGGGTTTGACTCTGTGTCCCCACCCAAATCTCATCTCGAATTGTAATCCCTATGTGTAAAGGAAGGGGCCTAGTGAAGATGATTGGATCATGGGGGCAGTTTGTTTCCCCCATGCTGTTCTTGTGATAATGAGTGAGTTCTTTCATGGTTTAAAAGCATATGACGGTTCTTCCCTCCCTTGCCCCACGTCTTGTAAAGAAGGTGCTTGTTTTTCTTTTGCCTTCCACCATGATTGTAAGTTTCCTGAGGCCTCCCCAGCCACACAGAACTGTGAGTCAATTAAACCCTTTCTCTTTATAAATTACCCAGTTTGAGGTAGTTCTTTATAGAAGTGTGAAAACGGACTATAATACAGCATTCAGCTGGGGAATCAGCCTAGAGGCTCTGCCCACATCTGTGTCCAGGAGAATGCACTCAGCTAGAGGTGGGGAAGGCTCCCTGTGTGGGTCTGCAGTGACGGTGAGAGCTTCCACCCAGCGCAGGGAATTCCAAAGGGTGGCTCATGGGCCGGGCTGGGGCAGCTCTGAGTCTGGAGGCTTTGCTCCCACCATGGGTGGAGAAGGGACAGCGATGTGTATGTGAATGTGGAGGTCCCTCAAAGGTTCCTGTCTCCTGAAGGTTCAAGGCTGGCTTCTGCACAGCGAGGGGCACTGGCACGCACGCACCTGTGGGACTCGCAACTGGAAAAATGCATGAACAGATGTACACCGCGTCCTGGTTCCAGCCCTGAAGGGCTCCATCCGTCCTGGTGCCTGCTCTGCTACCTTGCTACGAATTTGTTCCGGCTTCCAATGTGGCTGCAGCTCCTGAGTGACGTTATCCAGATCCATGGATTGCCAAGCCTGGATGGCAGCTGCGGGAACGCCTCCTACCAGCCCTCCCCTGGCACACAGGCCGCTTGGGAGTGCGGGCTGCCACTGCCGCCAACTACCTGGAGCGCCCGGAGAGAGTGACGGCGAGCGGAAACCCGGGACGCCGCACCTGCACCCTTCTGGGTCCCTGCCAGGCCGCTCCTGGAGCAGGGAGGTGGCTTCTCCCTTCCCACCCAGGCTGGGTCACTCCCCCCGCCCTCCCCTTTTCCCACCCTTTTCCCCCCTTTCACCCCCCTTTCCCCCCTTTCCCCCCGCCCAGTCCCGGCAGCCTGGGACGCAGGCAGCTGCTGGCTCTTCCTGCGTATTCCTGCTCCCTGCTTCCAGTCCCCGGACCCCTGGGAAAGGCTCTGTAGGAGAGGGTCCTGCTGCATCTCAAAGGCCCCCCCTGCAGGGAGCCTAACCAGCACTCCTCCCCCACCCCCACACGCACTTGATGGAGAGATGACATTTGATGATGATGTGTGTGTCTGTGTGAGTGTAAGTGTGAGTGCCCGTGTGCATAGGTGGGTGGGTGGCGGGTATTGTGCCTGACAGGTCACTGAATATTTCCGGGCATGGGAGTATTTAAACACCCCTTAGGCCAGGATTTTGAGCAGGACAGAGTTTGAGTCACTAAATTATTCTTAAAGCCTCCCCTCCCCTAACCCATCTTGAGAGCCTGATTGAGGGCAGGTCCTAGGCAAGCAGGTGTCCCTGAGCCTCACACTTTGCTGGGCATTAGAGGTAAGGAGGTAGGGCAGCCCCTGTGCTTGCCCTTGTGGAGGAGAGATAAAGGCCTGGCATAACTATAGGGCCAAAAGTAGAATGAGCTGGTGATGGTGGTGGTGGTGGCGGGGGGGTGTGTGTTTTTACGCACACTCATGCGTGTTAGAGGTTGGGGGAATAGGTGTCCTGAGGAAGAGTTTCTGTGGGGAGAGGAGACATGAAGAGAGGCCAGGCCAACTTAGGGGGATGTCTTCTGCTAGCTGGACTCTCTGATCACTCTGTCACCTCCTAAGCAGGGCTCTGTAGGCTGTCAGCCCTCTCGGCCATAGCCAGCCTCAGTTGTCCACTCTCTTGTCTGCCTCAAGGACCTCATTGGTCACCACCTCCTTAGAGAGAAGCCTTCTTAAGAGGCCAGATCTCTCACTGCCCCAACCAGAAAAGTACCTTCAGAGAAGGCGCCCTTTTCTATTTCCCCAAGTTATCCCTTTGGTGTATTTGGGAACCACTCAAACTCAAGAGTCCTTTCGTTATTGCTGTCCAGAATCCAGCTCTGTCCAGCAGAACTTCCGTGATGATGCTCTGTATCTTCACTCCAATGCGGTGGCCACCAGCCACATGTGACCACTGAGCACTTGGGATGTGGCTTGTGAGACATTTTATTTAAATTTAATTAATTTAAATATGCAAATAGTCACATGTGGCTAGTGGCTACCATATTGGACTGTGTAGATGATGGGGGTGGGTGTTAAAGAAATAATTATTTGTGACACGTTAAAAATGCTGAGACACACTTTATTCAAGGGTGTTCTATCACAATAGTATGCAATATGAGTTTTGCCTGGCCTGGTTCAACCCACCTGAGTGTCTTATCCTTTTTAATCAAACGAGAGGTGAGCAGCTACCTTGAAGGACAGTTTCAGTGGCTTTGGGTGGATGCTGCCCTCTCATTCCCCAAGCTACATCCCCTGCAGACAGCCTGGGGGTCAGAGAGGGATAAGAGGCTTCAGTCTGCAGAGGACAGCAGAGTGGGCATGTAGGTGCACTCATGCACATGGCCTGAACACGTGTGTGTGTGGAGCTCTGTGGAGCAGATTCGGACAGGCTGGGTTCTAGTCTTGATTCTTCACTACTTCACCAAGTGATCTTGGGCAAATGCCATCCAGTCTCTGGACCTTTGTCCCTACGTGAAAAGTGGGAGTGTTTGTTGGATGTCTGGTGTTTTACATTTTTTGGAGGTGGTGCCTCGACCTGCCTGTGAAAATGGCTGTGTGGGGCAGGGGAGTCTGCAGTGCGTAAGACAGGGCTGGAGGGAGTTTTGCATGAGACAGGGTTGGCTAGCTCAGCAGCACTGAGCCTGGGCATGGAGCTAACTTCCGTGAGCTGGGCTTATCTCTCTGACTCACAGCACTAGCCTTGGTGCTCAGGGGGCTGGGGGGTGATGGGGCTGGCTCTCTGAAGATTTCCCACCTGAGGTTGTGTGAACAACTCCACCTGATCCCTGCCGACAGTGGACGGATGGCACCATCCCCTGTGCACAGGAACCAATGCACACGAGTCAATGTGGAGAGTTTGTCAGTCCGTGTCATATGGGCACATGTCTGCCTCTTTCTCTGTTTCAAATCCTACGGAACCCAGGATGTAACATCTTTATTCTTTGTCCTCAATGCAGAGAAAAGCTGGTGTTGGGGACAGGGCAAGTGTCCAGTGGAGCTCCATGCCCAGTGTCCCCATGAGGGCACAAGCACAGGCAGAATGGGTCTCCCAGAGAGTGCCCCCTAGCTATTGGCTAGGACTGAGGGCAGGGCCTGCGCCGGCAGCAGAGGGCCTCAGCAGGCCAAGGCAAAGCCAGGTTGATTGTACAGTAACCAAGTTCCATGCAGAACTTGTGGACAAAACCAGCACTCAGGCCCTAGAGGGCTCCAGTGGGCCATGGCACATGCAGGCCATAGAGGGCCAGTATACACATGTTGTCATCACTGTAGGTCCTAGCAGGAAGCAGGAGGGTTTGCCTACTGCCCAGCACATAAACATTCCCCATTCACCTTGCTTGACCCCCGCAGCCATCTTCAGCAGCATCCCTCTTCCTATTGTCGATTCCTCCATCTGCACTGGGCCTCTGTCACATCCTGCCACTTCAACCCTAAAGCCTGTCCTGAACGGTGCTCCTCTAGGGTGCAGGATCTGTGCTAGAACCAGACAAACAATGCATCAGCAACAGCACTGCCTTCGAGAGCTTATAGTCTAGCATAGCTTCTGATCTCAGACAAGTTACTGGACTTCTCTAAGCACAGTGAGTATAACAAGAGGATAAGAAAAACCCTAGTAAAGGATTCTTGGGAGCATGTGATGAGAAAATGGAGGTAAATGGACAAGCACAGTGATTTGCAAGCCTGGCTGCACATTGGAATCACCTGGGGAATTGTACGGAACACTCATGCCCAGCTGCCATGTCCAGAGGCTCTGCTTTAATAGGCATGGGATGAGGCCTAGGTATTGGGAATTTTAAAAGCTCCCCAGGTGACTCTAATATGCAGCCAGGTTTGAGAACCACTAGCTTGACATGTAACCCGTGCATAATGACTCACACCTCTTAGAGGGCCCTGCCCAGCCTTCCTCCCCATCACGCACTTGAGCCTTGCCTGTTGTACGTCATCTGCACTGGTGAGCATGCAGTCCCTGCCTTCGAGGTGGTGGGAGACATTGTGCAGTGTGGGCATCTGCTTCCAGTCCATGACACACTGGGGGAGGTGGGCAAGGGAGCCCAGTTGAGCCTGCAGGCCCTCTGGGCAGACACAGAACCTGAGCTTGTGGTCTGGCGCCTCCCCTGAACAGGGCTGGGCGCAGTGCTCTACCTCCCTCGGGGACCAGGCCACACTTGTGAAGAGTGTGTGAGAGATAAGGAGGCAAGGACCTGAAGTGGTCTCATTTGGGACCTGATGCTATGTAGGGCAATTCTGTGGCCTGGACCAGGTGGCTCCCTGCTAGTCTGAGTGCCATGCCTTCAGCTTCAGTGTGGGTATCTTACTTCATCTGTGCTAAGCTCCTTGGTAACCAAGTTCTCCATGAGCAGCCTTGGGGAGCTAGAGGGACCTAAGATACAAGATAAGCCATTCCCACCACTGTTGTGCAGCCCTCCTCACAGACCAAGGGGACAGACCCCACATACATGCTGGGAAAGGGCACAGGCAGACAGAGGCCAATGGGGAACAAGCAGCCTGCAGGTGTTTTCTGAGGGAGTCTGAGGGGTTGGAGGTCATGCCAGTGGTTGTCATGGATGCATTGGCAGAGGAGTAAGGAGGAGAAACGGTGCCATCCCCCACCCTCAGCATGTGGCTTGGTGACACTTTCCTGCCTCTCATTAGTTCCCTGCCCCACCATTCCTCATATCGCCATGTTCCCCATCCCTGGACAAAAAAGGCAGAGCAAAAACTGGCTGTGCCTTGAGAAGTGGCTGCATTTGGGGACAGGGCAGGATATTGACCTACCCCAACCCCAGTGACAGCAGCATTTTGGAGTGTGGGGAGAGTTGAGGATTCCAAGCCCCTCCCTGTGGTCTACCAGGAGCCAGTCTTGCTGACGCTCGGGTAGTGGACATTCCCTTGGTAATACTGAGGGTTGCTGCCTCCCAGCCCAATCTCTCCCCCAGCAAGTGGAAATTTCTAAAGGAAAGATCAGAAACTCTTGAAGACCTGCAACCTCAGAGAGCCAGTGACCCAAACAACCAAGGAACGTGGGCAAGGGTGTGGGGCAGGGCAGAGGGCTCTGAGGTTGGAGGAAGGTGGGACAGGGGGCAAGGCTCAGAAGCCGTCAGTAGCATGTGCTCTACCTTTCTTTGCCTTTGCCAAGTCTGACTAGAGATTTTTCCAGGATAGCCTAGGTGTACCCAACAAAGCATCCCCAGAGAGGTCACAGAAAAGAAACAAGGACAGTGGTGGAATGCAAACAAGGCACAAACTGGCCCCACCTGGGTTTATGTTGCTGCTGGTTGAGTAGGTGCTTGGGAGGGGACTCTGGGAAGGTTTTTCAGTGAGGAGTGGGTGGGGGCATGAAGATAGCAGGAAGAAGAGACTGAGAACTTTGTCATCAGCAGAGCCTGGACCTGTTGCAATAAGCTTCGGGTGGGTGCTGTGGGTCAGGTGGTCAGGAAGTATTGGAGTGTCTAGAGCCTCCTGGGTGATCATCTCCTTACTTGGAATTTCTGCAGAGGAAGAGACAGCAGGAAGGAAGCTTTTCTTTCAGGTGAGCCTCAGTAGCCCTGTTTTTGGCAAGGTGGGTATGATTCACCCTCATTCACCCTTCAGGCAACAAAGTCACCAGAAGTGAAGTCGTTTCCCTGAAGTCAGCTGGGCTGTGTGTGGGCAAGTGAAAGCCTGGAGCCAGGGCTCCTGGTGCCAGGTCTGAAACGGATTCCCCTGGCTTTCCTCCCCTCCACACAGCAAGATGCCTCCCATAGCTCAGGGGCTACCTCAGGCCTGGTTTCCAGGGTGTGCATGTGTGTGTGATGTGATTTCCCAGCATTCGTGATAGGAGGCACGCATACATGCACACATATGTGCATGTGTGTGTAGGCGACCCATGTTATTTTGTGCAAGTATAATTGCAAGTGCGCAAAGTCTACGTAGTGCATGTGTTAGCACAAGTTTCTCCCATTCCCTCTTCATACCTCAGGATCTCACATTCCTTCCTTTTCCTTGGGATAAAGAGGTAAGCCCCTCCTCAAGGAAGCCTGCCTTCCTCCTACTTGTTTTCTCTGCATCCCTCCCAGAGCCTCCAGGCTCCTCTGCTCTTAATTATCTCCTCTTTTTTCCTGATTTTCAGTCTTTCTTTTTCCACTGGCTTCTTCCCCCACCTATAAGCATACTCAGGCATCTCCTAGCATTTAAAAACCCTCACCCTTCCTTACCCTGCTTCTCTCTGGATCTCACCCCCAACCTCCTACCCACCACATTCCCTTTCCTGTTGAATTTCTCAGGGCAGCCTACATTTGCAACCTCTACTTCCTGACACCAATATCTACCTCTTAGCTGCTTGCCATCTGCCCTTACCCCACATCCCCCTCCTTTAAAACGGTTTTTCCCAAGACCATACCGGACTGCAGAGTGGCTTTTTCTCACTGCCTCCCTTCCTCTCACCAACCAGAGACTTCTCTCCATTTTACCTGAGATTTCCCTGGACTCTGACCCTATCTGTCTTTATCATCTCTGCTGCTGGCTTATGGCTCACCTTCTTACCCTTATGTACCTTGTCTCCAGCTCATACCATCTTTCTAAACCCAGCAGCTTGGAGCAGATCACAAACCTTCTCAAAAGCTGACAACAGTGCCCCCAAGTCGACCCAGCACACAAACTCGGCCTAGAATTGGAAAGCATCTACGGTTTTAATCCCTGTGCTCCCAGTATGCCTGCAACACTTATCACATCGTAATGGTTCATGTCTTCCTTATTAGAGAGTAATTCTATGAGGGTAGCAGCTCTATCTTGTTCACTGCGTTCATTGCTGTACCCCCAAGAGCCTAGCACAATGCTTGGCACATAAGCACCCAATATTTATTGACTCCATGAATGAACAAGAAAACAAATGAAGAAATGAATGAATGAATGAAGTTGGCCATCTCTGTGTGAGATGAGTTATTGCTCTTCACAGGGGGTGGTCTCCATGTCACTTGCCCTACATGCAAGTGAGAGGCAAACCCCTTTACAGCCCCCCAGCTTTTAGCTAATAGCTCTTGTTTGCTCCATCACAGACTCTGCTTCTTTGCAGCTCCAGCAGAGCTGGGTGTTCTTCAATGTTCCAGGCTCTAGGGTGGGCCAGAGGGCACCTTCCCCCAGGCATGAGCCCTGAAAGGGAAGGGAGCCTTGGGACAAGAAAAGCAGACGTCAGATGGCCTGGGGTGGCCCCACTCACAGTCACCATGTCCTGGCTCAGGAGGCGTTTGACTTTCCCCTGAACTGTAGTGGATAGCGAATCCTGTCCCATTCTCCATGTACCTGGTGGATCCCAAGGAGTCCTAGTGATTCTGAGTCTCTGGCAGAGAGGCATAGGCTCAGGTCTATCCAAGTGAGGTCCTGGCAGTGGGGCTCTGAGGCAGGCTGTGTGTAGGTCTGGCCAATATGGTTGCAGACTTAGCTTAGGTATAAGGATAGGTTGGTCCTGGGGTCAGGCACTTGGACAAATTATTTCACCAATCAAAGACTGTGTTTTTCAGCTCCTATTATGTAACTATACCTCTGACAATTTTGTCTCAAATGATACTCTTAAAATAATTGCTACCACCAGAATGGGAAGAGGATTCTGGACACAGACTAAGCACTCAAGACATTGTTGACTAAGGATGGGAATGGAGGTGTCCGCTTGGGGTGAGTTTGAAAATTCAATCCTGTCTCAATCTCAGAAAGACTGAGATATGGCCTCCGGGGTGGAACCAGGGGCTCCTGGAACAGTTTTTACTTTGGTGACCATATTTAGAAATTAGGAGACAACTTTCTCTCTCTTCTCAGGGCCAATGGGAGCAGAGGCAGGGAGGAAGCAGATGCAATGGTAGCAGGAGGAATTTAGCTGGGCATGAGGCAGGACTGCCCAACCATGGCAGGGCAGGAGACTTAGGAAGAGGCACCAAAGGTCCTGTGGCTCAGCACAAACAGTGTAAGGGCTGCACTGGGTGGAGGGCACCCAGAGGTTGGCTGAACCCATGGCAAAGGCAACTTTGAAGGTCTGGAGTGGGGTGCTGTCTTAGTCTGTTTGGGCTGCTGTAACAAAATGCATTAGACTGGGTAAACAACAGAAACGTACTGCTCATAGTTCTGAAGCCTGGGAAGTCCAAGATCAAGGTGCTGGTAGAGTCAGTATCTGGTGAGGGTGCTCTATTTCATAGATGGCATCTTGCTGCTGTGTCCCCACATGACTGAAGAGGCCAGGGAGCTTGCCTGAGCCTATTTTAAAAGGGCACTAATCCCATTCTTGATGGTGGGGCTCTCATGACCTAATCATTTCCCGAAGGCCCTACTTTGTAATGCCATCACACTGTTTACTAGGTCCCAACACGTGAATTTTGGGGGACACTAACATTCAGACCATAGCAGATGCCAGTGCCTCTCCTGCCATAGGACTGGGTTTGTCGGGGTAAAAGGAAGGGGGCTGCTCAAGGGAGTGCAGAAGCCTTGGGCTTTTGGGTCTCCCCTGGTTTCACCCTTGGCTCTCAGGGTGGGATTCAGCAGATCATATAGGTGCTCTGGGTTTCCATTTTCCAGCAGGGACTGGGGTGGAGACTTAGCCTTGTCTTATGACTTCCTAGAAAGTGGGAGCCTCAGTGAGACAAGGGGGCAAAATAAAGACATTGAAAACGAAACTGAAAGGTGTCCAGACCCTTAAGTAGCCTCTGGTGTGTAAGAGGCCAAGCTGTGCTCAGCCAGTCACAGAAAACCCTGCCTGAGGTCTCATTCCCCTCCCCATCCATCAGTGACACTTGGGCTTGAGGGCCAGATCCTGGATGCCTGATTATAAACCTGATCCTGACTCTGGTTTCTGAGCTCCTTCTTGCCTTATGTGTCTCAGGCTTTCCAGCTGTATAAAGGGAATTTTCTAGGGTGTTCATATGCTTCTCAGCTCCTCAGTCAAAGACAGTGGAGAACATAAAAAAAATCGCAGCACTATTCACAATAGCAAAGATATGGAAGCAACCTAAATGTCCATCAATGAATGCCTGGATAAAGAAAACATGATATATGTGTGTGTGTGTGTGTGTGTGTGTGTGTACACCGTAGAATACTACTCAGCCATAAAAAGAAAGAAATCATGTCTTTCGCAGCAACATGGATGGTACTGGAAGCCATTTTTTTTTTTTTTGGAACAACTCAGAAACAGAAAGTCAAATACCACGTGTTCTCACTTGTAAGTGGGAGCTGAATAATTTGTATGCCTGGATGTAGAAAATGCAGTAGTCAACACTGGAGACTTAGAAGGGTGGGAGGTGGGTGAGGGATGAGAAATTGCTTAATGGGTACAATCTACACCATTTATTCAGGTGACAGCTAAGCTAAAAGCCCATACTTTGCAACTACACAATATATCCATGTAACAAAACTGCACTTGTACCCCCTAAATCTGTTTTTTTTTAAAGGCAATGGAGAAAGAGTGGGCCTTGCAGGCAAAGAAAGCCTCGGGTCCAAGAAAGAAAAGAGATAGGGAGGAAGGAGGGGCCGAGCCAGGCACTCACATCCGGGTCGTTGGTAAGGGCCACAGGAGAGCCTCATTGAACTGTCTCCACTTGGCACTGAGCCAGGCCACATTTATGACTCCCTCCTTCAGGCTTTCCTGGACTGTGGACATTTTTTAGGGGGAGGTCCTGGCCCAGGGAAGTGAAACAAAAATAGAAGAGACCCGTACTTTCCCTGAATCACCCCCTGCTTCTAGCACAACTGCCCTAACCTTAACCCAGGCACTTAAGAATTACTTTGTTTCCTAAAGCCTCTGAAGGGAAATTTACAAGCCTCCGTGAGTCACCTGTGCTGGCATTAAATAACCCCCGACTAAGTTCCTCTTGTTTTTTCTGTGATCTCCATCACTGCAAGGCCATTTTCTCATTCATTCCTTCTGCACGTGTTGAACAACTACTCTGCGCTTGCACTGGGCCGGATAGTGGAGATATAGGTAAAGCAGATAATCACTGCCTTTAAGGCACTCTAGCAGGCAGGGAGACAGATGAGGAAACATGCAATGGCATCCCCTTTGAGGAGGTGAAAGCTGGGAATGCCGGCCTCAATGCTGGACAGGGGGAGGCAGTGCCACATGGGGCCTATAGGTGGCAGCAGAAGCCCACCACAGCCTGCTGGGGCTCTGGGACACCTGGGGGCAGGTACTCAGCCAGGGGATAGAGGGTAAGGTGGTCAGATTAAACTGGATTGGGCAAGGAGAAGTCGGCATAGCCAGAGCACCTGTGCACCTTGTCCTTAAGAAAGATGAGGTTAGGCCCAGTCCCAGTTCCTCAGCTTTTTGTCCAGATACCATCCTCTCACCTTTGGGAAGCAGAGTTTAAAAAGAGACCTAGGAAACTCCCAGCATACTGAGCTGTTCTCGGTGCATGTCAAACACTGCACACCCCCTGTGCACTGCCCACAGCAACTCCGCAAACTAGCTGAGTTATCCCCATTTTATAGATGTGGAAAATGAGGCTCAATGGAATGAAGGTGGCTCAGAATTGATGAAGGGCCTGACATATTTCCATAAAGACCTCCTGGGCTTCACCGACATGAAGATTGTTTAAACAAGCCTGGAGGAAGATGCCCTCAGCTGTTGTCCAAGAGGCCCCAGGGTCCCAGGCAAACTTAGCTTTGCAAAGTAGCCTTTCCCCATGCCTATGTGGACTTTCCCTTACTTCTCGGCTGCAGGTCGTCCTTCAGTTCCACTACTTTTTCTTTTTCATACCCTGCACATTCTATTTACTGTCCCACCATTGTGCCCCACAACATGAACACAACTTTCATGCCTGTCAGCATAAGGTTATAATCAAAATGACTTGTCATAATTATACAGCAGTTTAATATTCAGAAAGTATTTTCAGCCGAGTGTGGTGGCTCATGCCTGTAATCCCAGCATTTTGGGAGTCTGAGGTGGGAGGATTGCTTGAGGGCAGGAGTTCTAGACCAGCCTGGGCAACAAAGTGAGACTCTATCTCTACAAAAAATAAAAAAATTAGCTGGGCGAGGTGGCATGTGCTTATAGTCCCAGCTTCTTGGGAGGCTGAGGCAGGAGGATCACTTGAGCCCAGGAGATCAAGGCTGTAGTGAGCCATTATTGTGCCACTGCACTCTAGTCTGGGTGCCAGAGCGAGGCCCTGTCTCAGAAGAAAAAAACAAAAACAGAAAGTATTTTCACAATTAAGATCTTATTTGATTCTCACCCTCCCCATGACGCAGGTAATTTCATTATTCTCCTCTTATGGATGGGGAGATGGAAGGTCAGAGAAGGCTTTACCCCAAAGATGATGCATTTCCCACTATTCACTCCAAACAGCCTTTTGCCCAGAAACTTTACTTTTGCCAATTCCCCTTTCAGAAAATCACTTCCTTCTCCAATTCCTGTTTTCCTCCCAGGTCTTTAACCCTTCAAAGCCCTGCATGTGTACCTCATCTAGGAAGCTTACTTCCAGGATTCCCGTCCACACTGGCCTCCCCTTTCCCTTTGCCC
The DNA here is from genome assembly GCF_000001405.40 of Homo sapiens. Classification (NCBI taxonomy): domain Eukaryota; kingdom Metazoa; phylum Chordata; class Mammalia; order Primates; family Hominidae; genus Homo; species Homo sapiens. The sequence continues at coordinate 115,468,483 of NC_000001.11, read as the reverse complement.
CTGCACAGTTTTTTCCTGGGGCCCCACAGCTGTCACTGCACAGCTTGAGGCTTGTGGAGGTGGTGCCATATGGTGTGGAGGGCATAGTAGTGGGCAAGGGGGCACATGTGAATCCAGGTACCTCCTCTTACTACCTGTGGGATTCTGACCAACTTAACCTGTCTGGGCCTCTTCTAAGCACCTCTATGAAAATGGGCTTAATATTTGCACCTACCTCAGAGGGTCTCTGTGCAGATTAAATGAGCTGCCCACTGCTCAGTCAATGTAAATTGAGTGTGCATAAGGCAATGAGTGCACCCTGAGAATGGGTTCATGGAAGCAGATCTCAAGAAGCGCCCTGCCTGATGCTCTGCACGTAACAGCTGAGAGATTTCTATAACTGTGTTTCAAAAGCCTGACTCCCCTTCCACCCCTGGCCCAATTTTCTTCTGAATCTTTTCTTTTGGAAGAGAACAAGGAAGGACATTTTCCACCTCCCTATACCTTTACAGGGAGGTGGGTGGGGCTGCCCTGGGCCTGTGGTCACCCACCCCCTCATCCTACCCCCAGCCTAACAATTTTTCCCTGGGGACCTGGGGCAGGGAAAGGAGGCTTTGGAAACAAAAGTCAGGTGTGTGTTCAGGCTCAGACTCTTACTTATGACCCAAGGTTTGCCGCTCAACTTCCCTGAGACTCAATATCCTCATTGGAAAATGGGAATGTTGGATTGTTGGGAGTGTGATTGAAGATGAGACATGAGAAAAGATCCCGTGAAATCTGGAGCATTTTACAGGCTTAGCAACCATGACTACTAAAAAACCTTCCCGCTTACTTACCTTCAGGTCTTCTGATCCCATTTGCACTCCCCAAACTGAAATCCTCTTTCTCTCTGAGATCTTCTTCCAACCCTGCCTCCTTCCTTCCTCCAGCCTTAATGAATTGCTTGTTCCCATAGGACTTGGCACAGAACGGATAATTTTTCTTCTCCCTTTAGGCTGCCTTAATCCTTTCTTTTGCCTTTTTGCTGCCTTTTACATCTTAACATTTATGATAATCTGCCCTTAGTACTAATGACAGCAGAGTTCTTACAATGTTCGCTGCAGCACGCTAAGAGCTTTACATACATTATCTCATTACATCTTCAAAGCAACCCATGGAGCAGGTGCTGCCAATATCCCTGTTTTGGAAATGAATGAACTGAGACTTGAGCAGTTAAGGAACTTACCCATGGTTCCAGGCCTCATTAGTTCTGCTAGTGGAATGACGTTTAAACCAAGAACATTGAACTCTACAAGCCTTACTTTTAACCACTGTATTGTGCTGTTTCTCTGGTAGAGCTAACTGTGCCCATGCCCCACCTCCTTTTCTTTCTTTCTTCTCTCTTTTTTTTTTTTTTGTTTCAAGAAATTGGCTTGTGACATGTGGGTGTTGACAAACCCAAAATCCATAGGGCAGGCTGGCAGGCTGGAGGCTCTCACAGGCAGGAGTGGATGCTACCATCTTAAGCGTGCCCTTTTTACTAGCTAAGCTGCAAACTCCTTGAGGGCAAGGGGCATGTCTCAAACATCTCTGAGTTTCCCACAATGCCTAGCAAGGGGTGCCTAGCAGGGCCTCCAGGCAGGAATCAAAAGACACAGCTATTAGGCCTACCTATGTGCCACCGATCTATTTGCTGTGTGACTTTGGCACTTGACCTTTTGGAATGGGATCCTCCTTGTCTGGGTCATGAGGATTGGATGACATCACATATCCAAAAACTGGGGATGTTAGGAAGGTGGGAACACTTGTACCCCTGCCACCCCATCTCTGGCTGGTCTGAAGGCACCAGTGTCTGCATTGGGACTGAAGGTGCAGGGGCCGCAGAGCTCCAGCAGGAGTCCCCAGCAAGGAGTCTCCTCCTCCACTGCTCCATGCCTCCCCTCAGTCTGGTGCTTGCTCCCTGTGATCCGCTCAAGCCTTGTGGCCTCAGAGTCTTTTTCCTTTTACACATTTAACATGGGGAGGTTGCAATTTTCCTCTGCCCTCATTTACTACCTTGGGGCAGATGGCAGGGCACTCGGTAATAAGTCCTACCCTTGGTACCTAGCTAGGTGAGTGAAGGGTGACTGGGTTTTCAGACCAGAACCAGGGAGGAAGGAGGGCTGTGGGAGAGGAATGCTGTCCCCAGCCCTGTCTTAGCCTGGCTGTGGGCTGCCACAGGGGCAGAGGCTCATGAGGAACAGCACTGCCTAGGGATAGTGAGGGCTGGGAAGGCACTGAACCTAGGTTTCCAGCCCCCCAGCCCGGACCCTGCCTTCTAACTCCTTGAAGCTCCATCCTTGGTATTAACCTTGGCTTTGCTCCTGACTGGCTTCCCCCGCGTTACATCCTGATTACATCCAGAGCACGGGTGAACCCTCCAGGCTTGTTTCCTGACAGAGTCAGACCCAGGGCTCTCAATGCTGCCCCCCTCCAAGCTTCTGTTAGCAGTGGCTATTGATGGGAAAGTCCACCACAGCCTGGCTGGGGAAGAGGCACCTGGTAACTTTCTGAAAGAGGGGAGCTGGGAGTGAGATAGAAGGTGCTATGTCCATCCTCACTTGACCTAGTAAGTGAGGGAGGAAAGGCAGCCCTTGGGGAGTTGGGGAGGCTTCTGCAGAATAGTGAGGCAGGGCAGCTGGTCTTCCAGCTCCTCCTTTTGCTTGGCCCCAATTCCCCTTTGGATCTCTTCTCTCTGCCACTTTCCCTTTTCCCCGCAGGTTTCCAACTAGTCTAGGGAAGCTACCCCAACACACATCCATCCCATAAGTCTCAGAATGTGTAATATTTGTTAAGCCTGAGATGCCCTCTCCCAGCTTTACCCTGCTCCTTCTTCAGGGCCCACTTCTGATATCATTACCTCCCACCTCCCCCATGAGCAGGCCTGAGTCAGCCTGGCATTGACTGCTCTCTGTGGTGGGCTCCCACAGCCCGGATATAAACCCTTTTTCAAAAGCTCTGGCCTCAACTGTCCTTGAATCAGAGTTATTTCTGTATGTGTACATCTGCCTGTGGTCCAGCACAAAGTGAGGCTTAATATTTATGAAGCGAGTGAACTAGTGAGCTGTGATGGGCAGCGCAAAGAGTTCTGGGATCAATGTCAGGGACCTGAGTTCTAGTCCTGGCTCTAGTGTGAACTTGCTGTGTGACACTGGACCTGTCCCTTCCCCACTCTGGGCCTCAGTTTCCCAATCTGTATAATGAGGAGATGGCTAGGTGGCTCCTAAGGTGCCTTTCAGGTCAATTACTCTAGCGTGCTGAGTTCTGTGCCTCCAGGATGGTGCCTTCTTCCAGGGAAGGAAATAGAGGCCCAAAGGGAATGGCACATGCAAAAGCCATGTGGAGAGAGGGAGTGTGGTGAGAACGAGGGCCCAAGAGGGAGCCAACCCAGCTAAAATAGACTGATGAGTGGATGTGAGGGGAGAGATGAGGCTGGGGAGGCAGGGGTGATGAGGGCTGAGGCCTACTGAGTGCTTGCTGTGTGGCAGGCACCACTCTAATTGCTTAACACATTTATCTTTATTTTTTTCATCAATTTTTACTTTAAGTTCCTGGGTACATGCGCAGGATGTGCAGGGCTGTTACGTAGGTAAATGTGTGCCATGGTGGTTTGCTGCACAGATCAACCCATCATCTAGGTATTAAGCCCAGCATCCATTAGCTATTCTTCTTGATGTTCTCCCTGCCTCCATGACCCCCTCACAGGCCCCAGTGTGGATGTTCCCCATCATATGTTCACATGTTCTCATCGTTCAGCTCCCACTTAAAACTGACAACATGTCGTGTTTGGTTTTCTGTTCCTGCATTAGTTTGCTGAGAATAATGTCTTCCAGCTCCATCCATGTCCCTGCAAAGGACATGCTCTCATTCCTTTTTATGGCTGCTCAGTACTCCATAGTATATATGTACCACATTTTCTTTAACCAGTCTATCATTGATGGGTGTTTGGATTGATTCCATGTCTTTGCTATTGTGAATAGTGCTGCAATGAACATATGTGTGCATGTATCTTTATAATAGAGTGATTTATATTCTTTTGGGTATATACCCAGTAATGGGATTGCCACAACCTTATGACATAGATACCATTATTAGCAACCAATATTATCATTTTACAGGTAAGAAAACTGAGATATGGGGAGATTCAGAAAATAAGTTGACCAGTGTCACACTGGCAATAGTGGTAGAGCCTGGCTGTGAATTTAGGCCATGTGACCCAGAACTCACTACATGGCTGACTTGAGTGTTAAACCATAGAGGCACTTAAGCCTCATATTAAATAGTTCTATGTTTGCTCTAAAATCAGTGGGAAGCTATTGATGGGTTATACAGGGGATGATGTAATTAGAGGTGTTTTGCAAAGGTAACTCTGACTGCAATATGGACTAGAAAAGGATCCGAATAGGCCTAGAATAGTCTAGCATAAACTAGTTGGGGTGCCACAGCATTTGAACTTGAAAGTTAAAATGGAAGCTTGGACTGTGGTAAATAGTTATGCTAGAGATGGAGATTAGATCGAATTGAGAGAAATATAGGAAATAAAATTCACAGGACTTGGTGATGAATGGGACATAGGGAGTGAAGGAGAGGGAAGTTTTTGGATGGCTAGTGATGCATAGGGTGCAGTGGAAGAGAAACAGGTTCCAGAAAAGGAAGAGAGGTTGAGGAGATCATGAGTTTGAGAACCTGTGGAACATAAAGTTCTTATAAGATATTCCAGGGATGATGTCAAATGGTAGGTGGACATATGGATCTGGGTGACAGATTTATGCATTATTTGCAATTGATAATTAATACTGTAGGTATGAATAAAATTAGCCAGGGAGAAAGTATAGAACAAGAAGGTCCAGGACTCCAAGCTTTAATAGGCTATGAGTGGAGAAAAATTCTGTGGAGGAGCTCAAAAGGGAGTGGCCAGAGGAAACCAGCAGGTGTCCCTGAAGCCACAGGAGAGTGAGGAGCAATGGTGGCTGTGGCTGCAAGGTCAGGTAAGACATGAACTAAAAATAGACATGCAGCCCTTGGTGCTGTTGATAGGGGGTATTTTGGTGGAGCAGAGGGGTGGGAATCCAGACAGGGATGGATTGAGCCACTGGGGGCCAGAAGATGAAGATAGGTATTTTGAGAATTGGGGCTGTAAAGGAGGGGAAAGAAGGAGATAACTAGGGAGAAATGAGGACCAGGTGAGAGGTTTTCTCTTTCCCTCTTCTTCCTCTTCCTCCTTTCCTTCTATTTTGCCCCCTTCCTTCCTTCCTTCCTTCCTTCCTTCCTTCCTTCCTTCCTTCCTTCCTCCCTCCCTCTCTCCCTCCCTCCCTTCCTTCCTTCCTTCTTTCCTTTCATCCTTCTTTCCTTCTCTTCCCTCTTTCCATCTTTTCCTTCTGTTTTCTCTCTTCGTTTTTAATAATGGGAGGTGCTGCATATATTTAAAGGCTTAGAAAAGACTCAGTCAAGAGGAAAGGATAATCAATACAGTAAGATTCCCGAGAGGGTAGGAGTGCAAAGAGTAGGACAAGCTGGGGGGCAGGCAGCCCCTCCACTGGAGCAGGAAGAGGAAGTCAGGATGTATGCAGGTGTCAGTAATTTATGTTCTTGCTATTAGAAGCTGAGGGACTTCCTGTCTAGTGGCTCTTATATTTTCTGACAAGCAGGAAACAAAGACCTTTGCTGCGAGCCGCAGATGAGAAGAAGTTTGAAGGCATGAGAAAAATGGAGAAGGTTTGAAATAATTACAGAAAGCAGGAAGGAGATGACAAGGGAAACCAAGAGGGTTTCTGGGAGGAATTAAGAGCATATATAATGACTGGAGATCATGACTTTAGAGGAAGCCAATCTGCCCTGTTCTCCGACTTCCTCTACTACCACTAAGTGCTCAGCTGCTTGGATACAGATGTGGAGACAAGTGTGACTGGCTTCATCCAGGGCTGAGGTTTTGTCAAACGTGGTGATTAAGTATGAGGGACCAAGGAATTTATAGTCTTGGCAAAAAAAAAAAAATGTTACTGAATGATGGACTGTGGAATATAAGCTGGATACAGGAGAGAAGTCAAGATAGGACAGGATGGATGCTCTCAGAGCAAGCAGGGAGGACTACAGAGGGGAGAGAAGAAAGAATAATGGTGGTGAGAAAAGCTGAACCACCTTGCAGGAAAGCAAGGAGCTGGTGGAGCAAGAGTGGGATATTGAGATAGTCTTTTTGGAAGTGGAACAGTTATGAGTGATGACCTTCCAGAGAAGGACAAGGGAGTGAATGGTGGAAGTGGAGTGGGGGTGAAGGCCACTGGAAGGAACGCGCTCAAGAAACTTCGGGGCTAGCGTGCTGGCAGGTCAACGTCCACATGCTGTCATCCAGCAGAATTGTAGGGAGGTGAGGGTAGAGGAAATATGTGAGTCCAGAGAGAACGTCTTTTATCAATGACATGGTAGGAACCGGAGGTCCAATGATGACAGCAGTCAGTCAGGAGACAGGGCCCAAGGCAAAGAAGCACACGCCTGCAGGAGGAGCATCTTCTCCCATTGTCCACGTCAGCCCTGGAAGACGTGAATCTCCACAACACAGGGAAACCAAGACCTTAGAGGGTAAATCTTGTGTTCTAACTCCTAACAGGTAAGTGGCAGAGGCAGCACATGAATCTCCCTGCTTCACAACCTGTGTCACATGTGGGTATAGCTGCCCGGGTAGTCAGTGTCCAGCCCAGAATCTCATCTTGGCTCACCTCACCCCTCTGCTGGTGGACAGTCAGTTATGAATCCAGGGAGGGTGACATGTCTCCTTTCCACCAGCAGGCCTTGACAAGACTGTGACTTGCCACGGCCAGTTGGGTGACTGTATTTGGCATCCCCACGATTGGAATGTCTACTGCGATCCTCAAGAGAGGAAGCCTCCAGCCTCTTCTTTGCGGGGTGGCATGACAGCCTGGCTGTGCTGACTGAGAGGGGACCCAGGAGGTCTAACTCCTCTATGTACACATTTCCAGCCAGTCTCCTGTTTTCATGCAGGCTTCAGTTCTACCAGACACATGCAAGTCCCAAGACTTGGTCCTAGGGGTGAGATCATCATGTCCCCTTCGTAGAACCCTTTGTCAGCTCTACTGAGCAATGGTTTTCTTTTCCTTCTCTTTGTCCATGAGAGTTTATATTTTTATTATTCCTTTGCTATTTAAGAAATATATTTGTTATTCCTTTATTCCCTAATTCTTTTAAGGGACTTAGAGAGAAGACAGGCACAAATGTGTCAAAGTGACTTTTTTAAACATTTTATGAAGATAATGTGTTGAAGGGACAGTTGTTAAGACCATATTGGATTGACATTAGAGAAACCATAGAAAAACAAAACCTTAAAGCGTGGCAAAAGTCGGGGCTATTCATTATGTCCTGGCTCTGTCAACAACCAAAAGCAACCTCTGCCACAGGATCCCCTCTCTGAGCCAAGGATGGGGCCATGTTGGACTCTGATGTCTTTTAAAATGGAAGGAGGCACTAAAGGTGAGGAAGGGCACACTAGCTCTCCTCCGACTCAATGTCCCTCACCCCCTGCGACCAAGCCTTGCCCCCAGGAAGCTGGTGACAGAGGGAGAAGAATGCAGGGGTGTAACTAGGTAGGGGGGCAGGAGCTAGGTGCCTGACTGCCACATGAGGCTTGAGGCAGGAAGGCCTGCTCTGGCGACAGGGGATCCACCTCTGCTGTCATGGAAGGAGTCTGGAGAGGAGCTAGGGAGAGTTATGCTGGCTGCCACGCCTGCTTCCCAAAACAAATCGCTCAGGGAAAGGGTTGGCTCTGCCACCAGAGGTGCTTAAAAGGGTGGGGCTGGCGAAGAAGAAGAGACTGTGGTGTGTTGGAAAATGATAGCATTTAGAGTTGGAATGTGGGAGTTCAACTCTTGGCTCAAACTCTTCAGCTCTGTGGCCTTGGACACACTGCTTAACTCTCTGAGCCTAGGTTTCTCTTCTGTACAATGGGGATAATGTGTTCGCCTCATACAGTTGCTGTGAGGGTGAAATGAGGCAACTCTGCACTTGACATACTGTAGACACTTGAAAGTCACCTGTTAAAATATCCAGACTGACTCTAGTCCAGATTCCCCAGAATCTCCCTCATCCCCCACCCTTGCTCCTGCTCCTTTCCATAGTCATAGAAGGCATCCCTCTACCGTTGTCATGGACACACCAAAAGGGGTGCGACCTGTGAAATGACCCTCCCCTTCCCCTTCTCCCATCAGAAGATGCTCAGGCCCTCCTAGTTTCTCACATCTTGGGTACTTTTCAGAGATGCCAGAAGGAAGTGGGTTTGACTGCCCCTAGGTGCCCAGCTTTCTGAGCCCACCCAGAAAGGGAGATGAGAGTCCCTGAAGCAAGTAATATCTATTCCCCATCAGAGTCTCCAATTTGCTCCATGCCTTCCCCCTACTTACTTCACAGTCAGGCTGGGGCATGAGGCAGAAAAACGTCTTTTGCCCTGCAGAGACTCCTGTCCCTTCTCAAGGCATGTGGCCAGAACTGCAAAGCCCAGAGTCTCCCAGGCAGTAGTCTTGGGGCAAGAAGCATGGGACAGGCGGTCCTGCTCCATCCTGACTGTCTTCCACAGTGGGGCCTCTGCAGTGCTAGATCTTGGGGCCCCTGGGTTGCAGTGGAAGATGACAAGCCCTGAAATGTGGTTACAGGGGCCCACAACACATGCAAGGTCACAGGGGCACATGACCATGAACACATATGTGGATTCTCACACTTTTATCCTTATCCCCATAAACCTGCTCATGCACAGACAGGCCCAGAACCATCAGCCTCTTCCTACCCACAGCCATCGTCAGAGAAAGGCATGTTCCAGGGGCTAGGAGAATGGCTGTCTTTATAGAATAAAGGTTGAGTTTGTAATTCCTCACTCAGAGGTGCAGAGAGGCACACCCAGCTGCTTGGAGATGAAATGCTCTCTCTAAATATCAACAGTGTCACCTCTGTCATCCTGTGCTGTCACATGAGCTCACCATGGTATGGATAAGTGGAGAGGTCCTGGAGGGATGTTCACAGGTAGAGACAGGGTTAAGCAGGTTGTCACATTTCCATGGTGGCCTGTCTCTTGCCAAAGCAGCACAGCTCTGCCTCCATCCCATGGAATCCTGGTTTCTATCATGGGCGCAACGCCACGGGGCTTCACAACATGGTGGTGGGCCCCACAGTCCCTGTGGAAAAGAACATTTCCATCCTAGACCAAGCAGGATAGGGGTAGTCTGCAGCTCTCAAGTAGGGCTGTGTTTTTTTGTGTGTGTGTTGGGGGAGGGTGGATTTCCTGGGGTTTCCTTACTGCCAAGTTCTACTCCTTCCTGCAGCAATTCCAACTCTCCAGCTATTGGGGCTCCTAGGAGTGTATAATTAGCATTCCCTGGGCCACAAAGGTCCGCTTGATCTCCACCAGGGCTGACTCCCATGGAAACCCTGCCATCTCATAGAGGCATCACCGTGCAACACGGGAGACAAGCCCTGGTTTCAGGAGCCCTGGGGGCCAGTATTAGGCTTGCCACTCGCTGGCTGTGTGCCTTGAGTTATTATCTTTCTGAAGCTCAGGTTACCACCTGTCTAGAGGGGGAAACACATGCCCAACTCCCTGGGCTGTTATGCGGATAAAGTGAAGTGACATATGAAAAGTATTGGAGCAGGAGGGTGGATGGCTGAGTCCACTGTTGATTATCTTGCACGTGGGGTGGGGCTTTAGTGCCTTACTACCCCAGCAGAGATCTGACCGTGAGGGAGGATGATATTTAAGCCTTTCTGGACAGGATAGCTTCTGGGGGTGGTTGGCCTCATCTTCCAGAGTGATCAGTCCAGCTGGCTGGTAAGTTTCCTGGGAAAAGAGGTGTTTAACTGGTTTGCCCACCTTTGGTCCAGATCAGTGCTACTTAAAGTATGGGCTGTGGCCATGCCTCACTATAAAATGTTTGTTTCTGGACAGCCATGAGATAAATACAGGAATTAAAAGGAAGTCCAGAAAATGTTTTAGAGATTTGACATTGCTGAAACATCCAAGCATCAACCAATATGGCCATACCCTTAGTTAAATTTATAAAATTTTAGTTTTCTAGTGATTCATTTTTATTGTATTTTTATTGATTAGGAATGGATTGGAGGCAAAACCTGGTCCTTTATATTGTTCAGTAGTCCTGGACGTGCCCTGGGCTTCAGGGGGCTGGAGGTGGGGCTCACTGTGTACCCATCCCTTACCTCCCAATAGCTGCTCATCCTGGCACTTCCAGCAGCCAGGACAGGGGGACTTCCTCTGCCCAGATGGAGGGTTCTGTTCATAAGGGACCAGGAGGACCAGGAGTCCAATCTCTGGCCTGGGACAGAGAGCAAGGAGGGGATGCAGCTAGGGTAGGCACCAATGAGCTCAGGGGGCTGAGAAAGGTGACTTTGGAACACCTATTCATAAGCCCATCCTGTGCTTCTCTTCTGTTTCTTTTTGTTCATACCCCTCTCCCAATCTTTTTTTTTTTTTTTTTTCTGACACAGGGTCTTTCTCTGTTGCCCAGGCTGCAGTACAGTGGTGTAACCATGGCTCACTGCCAGCCTGGACCTCTTGGGTTCAAGTGATCCTCCTGCCTCAGCCTTCTGTGTAACTGGGACTACAGGCATGTGTAACCACGCCTGGCTAATTTTTAAATTTTTTGTAGAGAGGGGGTCTCAGGGCCTTGCTATGCTGCCAGGCTGGTCTTGAACTTCTGGGCTCAAGCAATTCTGCCTCAGCCTCCCGAAGTGCTGGAATTACAAATGTAAGCCATTGCACCAGGCCCTTCTTTTTCCTTGACATCTATGATGCTCAAGGCTGAGTGCTGTTTAGCCAGCAGGACCATTTTAGCTTAGGTTGTTAGCCCCTCCTTCAACATGGCTTTGAGTTATAATGTTTACCAGTGTTATCTTAAATACATTTTATATTAAATTGCTTTCTTTTAGAGAACAAACAGGGTATCACTTAGAAATAACAAACACTAAAGAATTTGCTAGTTGCCCAGCTCTCCCCCCTTCTTGGCTCACTGCCCAGCTCCTCTCTTGAGCCTATGAATTACGCTCCCCACTGACGGTGAGTTCCTCAGGGAAGGTGGAGGCCATGTTCACTCATCTCTGTGTCTCAGAGTGCTTGAAACAGTGTCTTGCATATGGCAGGGCCTCAGAAAATGCTTGTTAAATATATAAAAGCAAATGAATAATAGCTTGTTGTAACAGAAATCCAGAAAGCGGAGCTAAGTCCAATGTGCCTTCACCCACCTGTAATCCAAATCCATTCTCTGATAACAATGGCTGTGAACCCCCTCTTAAGCTATATGGAGAGTCAGTGAAGAACATAAACGATCTAGGTTACCTACATCACCTCCCCTTCCCCTCTCTTGGTGGAATTTCTTCCCTTCCTTCTTAGGGTTAACAAGGCTAATTTGGAAGATACATTCCATGCAAGACTCAATAAGTTATTTATAATTTCCACAGTAAAACAGGGCAAGTAGCTCTAAGTAGACAATAACCCCAGCCAGTCGTGGCAAGAGATGAGTGAAATGAGGCCTGGTTTGAATGTGTGTGTGTTGAGGGGCGGGAGGGTTGGCTCTGAGCCCTGCTCCTCAGTGTCCTGGCTCACTGTGGGAAAGAGGCATGTAGGCACAGTCCAGAGTTAATGACAGTCCGCTCAGTGGCCCTTCCCACCCCCTTGTCCTGCCCTGGGCTTTTGATTATGATCTGCAGTTGGATTTCAACTGGAACAAACCCCTAGCATGAGCAGCCTAAAGCCTTTCACCCATGTCTAAGCCGCTCGCATTTCTCCCATCTGATCCTCACGTTTGCTTTGTGTGCCTGGTATGGCATTAATGTCTGAGGGATGAGTCGTCACAGGGACTCACTCCTCTTTAAAAATGGAACTTGGAGTAATTCGAACAAGAGGTATGGGGTAATAAATGCCTGTGCTGGGCCAAGCATTGGGGCTTGGCACTGGGTATGCCGAGATGAGTTAGTCCACCCCCTGCCCTGCGTGTGTCCATGGCCAACTCACACGCTGTGACCGAGTGACAAATGCTGATGTGGGTGGAGAGGCTTCCCTGAGGAGGTGGCATAGGGCAGCATTCTGAAGGTTGTTGTGGATTCTGCCCAGAGGAGCAGGAAAGGAGGACCCTGTAGGGAAGGTGCATGTCGAGATTGGCGAGGTATAAGCAGTTTTCCAGGAAATGGTGACCTACTGAGGACTACTGTTCAGCCAGAGACGCCCGGTAGTGACCCATCCACTGGCACTGCTGCTCAGCATGGTCTGGGGCCTGATTATACCAGAATCCTCTGGAGTGCTTGTTAGAAAAGTAGATTCTAGGTGTTGAGACCCTCTGCCACAGGCTTACACCTATTCCCAGCCTCATCCCTGCTTGGCCAGGGACTAAGTGACATACTGGGGCTGTGGACCTGAGAAATGCCATTGGCTGTACAGAGCAGGACTCATTGTCATCACGTCCTCCCCAAACTGCATGAGTAAAACTCAAAGGAAATGTATATCACGGTCACAAGTGCTCAGGACGTGACTCTGGGACTGTTGCCTTAGCCCACTGGTCTTGGCACAGTGAGAAACTGAAGTCCTCTCAATCAGCCTGATGATCTGAAAGTTTGTGATTAGCAAGGTACAGATCAGTTATTCCCAGCCTCCTTCTTGGGAAATTTGACAAGTTAATCTAGAATATCTAGATCTGTGCTGTCTAACATGGCAGCCACTAGTTTACATGAGGCTATTTAAATAGAACATTGTCGTCATCACAGAAAGTTCTACTGAATAGTGCTCAAGAGAAAATAAATTCTATGCTTAAAAGTGTGACTCAGGAATTTGACATTGGTTCTCCTGTGTGTGCTGAAGAGATGGGACAAATGTCAGCCCCAAACGACAAAGCTCAAGGTTTGTGTGTCAAATACCTAGACAGCCAGTCCATCTGGTTAGTCAGTTTGGTGGAGGAAAAGAAATTAAACTGGTTAGTAAACATCGTCTGTAGCAGTGATGACATTGCTAGCTTCTTATATAATTTCCTTTTCAACTATTCAGTCATTTTACAAACATTTGTGGGGTACCTGTTATGTCTCGGCACCATGTCTAGACGCTGGGGATACAACAGTGACAAGACAGATGTTGCTCTTAGCCCTGTGGAGCTCACAGTCCTGTGTGGCCGAGTGTTAGTCTCTCAGCTGAAACACTGAGCATTTCCAGAGCGGCTTAACATTTCTCTCCCAGGACGTGTTTCAACTAACTGCCTGTGGCTGTCAATAAAAAGATACAGCCAAGTTCTAAAGATCCCAAATTGGGTTTCGTAGTGAGCAATTCACAACTGTACCCCGAAATGTCCTAGGCTTTCTCTATGAGCCTCTGCAACCCAGACCAAGCCGGAGCCATCTGGACACGTTTAGATGAATGGAGGTGAGGGAGGAGTCCTGGCAGCAGCTTGGGAGGCCGCCCAGAGGGAACTCCTGGAGGCAGCTGGAGTAAACAAGTGCCGAGTGGCTGGTGAAATGGTTTGGCTGTAGAGGCTGATACACCCAGGCTCAAAGCTTTGAAGAGAGTAATAACAAATGGCTTTGATTTAATTACACACCACAGACTTTCTAACGGACTTTTGAGGAAGGCAGCACTTCTGAGATCCAAGTCTGGCAAGAATTTGCCATAGGTGATTTTTCAGGTTATTTTACTTTGTGAGACTCAGGAAATAAACAAGGCCTTTGAAATCAATGTGTGTGTGTGTGTATGTGTGTGTGTGTGTGTGTCTGCAACTTAATTTTCTAATTTCAAAATAACAGAATAACAAAGTTTGTGCCTGATCATAATGTATGTCTCAAATCATAGCTAAAAGCCTTTTTGAGTGCCACTCATTTATTCTCAGAAAAATGTATATAGAAGCATGTTGCAAAGTGTGTTATGAGAAACACAGAGAGTCCTGGGTGGTGGGCTCTTTCAGTTCATATTTAGGAAACCATTTAAAGGACAGAGTAGCAAGGAATGTAATTGCTTATGTTGAGAGTGAGCCATTGTTTCCAAAATTGTCAATACAAATTACTCTTAAGGAACATTTCTCGGGGACTTACTATGTGTTTAGCACTGACCTGGCTGCAAGGGAGATACAAAAGACAATAATAAAAACTTGGCTTGGTCTCTACAGCTTCAGATTCTCAGAGAGAGAGGCACAAGTCAGGCCAAGTGAGTGGGAGAGAATTACCTTTATGGAGGGGATCTGGGAAGTCTTCTAGAAGGAGGGGGCCATGGAACTGTTCAGGCCCAGCGGCTTCACCTTGCACGCTGGAAATTGCCCTTAACTTACTGTCAATAATAATTATGAGAATCTCCATTGAACTTATAAAATATCGAACATGTTTGTGCAACTTTAAGAATTCAGTTGGGGCAGGTAGATATTTATTTTACGACAAAACTCAAAATTGCATTTGTTTTCATAATGAATTTGAAAAGTCCTTTTTAGGGTGAAATCTTTATCAAAAAAGTATATGACACAGGCCTGCCCTTGGGAAGCAGATGTAATAGTGACTCTGTATGCTATAGAGCCAGAGGTCTTTGAAGACTGGCTTCACTCCAGTGAGATATTAGGCAAGTTCCTGAACCTATGTGAGGCTCAGCGTACTCATCTAGAAAATAGTAGTCAGAATACCTATACTATGAAATCAGTTTATGGTGACTCTTTAATGAGATACTTTGATGAATTTCATAGTATACTGTTGGGCATGTGGTAAGTGCTCGGTTAATGTTGGCTCAGATAAGCCTGACTTCCTGATATCTCAGTCTTATCCCATCTTAACTAGCCTACCTATCATGTGGTCACTTACAACCTGGCACCAATCATGGTAAAGCAGTGTTTTTGGTAGGCAATAATTGAGACAAAAGGATTCTCCTGGAGTTGGTTTAGGTAAAAGTCTAGAGAGGGCTGGTTTAAGTAAAACTCTGCATGAGGAAAGATCTTGTCAAAAACATCCTCCAGGCAGCTCCATTCCATGTGACAAGGCTGGGTTCCTGTCTTTCCTATCCACTCCCAAGCTGTGCTTATCTCAATTAAGCCCTTGCCACACCGTGTTCAAATGGCCTAGCCTATTTACAGGTTGGTCTCCACTACTTGCTATGAGCTCCTTAATAATTGGAACCACAGCAGAGCCCAGTGCCTGGGAGGAAGCTGGCACTCAATAATACTTTGTGAATGGATAGATGGACAGATAGATGGGTTTCAAATCTGAACCAAAGCCCTGCGGCCAGACATCATGATCTGGATTCTCTTTCAGTTCACTTAAGTGACAGGTAGGAGGCAAACAAAGAATATTTATTCAGTATGTTACAAATTACTATTCCGGAAGAGTTAGTAGCATTTCCTTAAGTGGGGAAGCTTGTAAAACCCAGGAAATTCTAAGGCTCTGTGTTAGCTTCTTTCTGTCCAGCTTATTGCTCTGGCCCATGGAAATTCTATATTTGGGTGACCTAGAGAAATTATGATGTTCTCTGTGCTTGAGGAGGACAAGTCATCCTATCTGCCTCTCCCCCATTGTTTGTTAGACCTGAACAGGCAGGAAAGTAAGATGTTTGGGAAAGGGTAGCTCAGGTTGGGCGTTGAGTCGGAGCAGAAAAAAGAATTTCCAGGGTTGGAGAAAGTCATTAATTGATGATCCTTTAGACCAAGAAATGCCTTCGTGACCATATGTTTATGTCAGCCCATGTCAACACTTCCTGCTCTCTCTGCTTCAGGATGAACTCATCAATGGCTGGTTACTCACTAATTCACACTGTATGGTAACCCGTTACCATCATTCACTTATTCATTCACTTATTCAACAAATACAGGGGAATCTCTATGTGTAGTGTAGTAGCACAAAAGGTACCATATTAAAGGTTAAGAGCTCCCCTACTTTAAAACTGTCCTCAAGGAGCTTATAATCCAGTAATGCAGATTAGTAGATATACATGATAAGTATAATAAAAGGTAGCAAATGAAAAGTTACGAAGAGTCACAGAACCATGGGAGACCAAGAGAATTAGATATCATTGCCACTGGAAGACCCTTATCAGTGGGGTTGAGAGGCTTTGGGAGTAAATGTTTTCAAATCCTAGAATGATCATTTACTAACTGGATGACTGTGGGCCTCGGTTTCCTGACTTGTTGGATTTTTGTGAGTGTTAAATGAAAAAAGTGTACATGGAACTCTTAGCACAGAGCCCCACACATAGGTGGCTAGTGCTTCCCAGCTCAACTCCGCAGGCCAGTGCACCTGCAGAGCTTTTAAAAATCACCTGTGTCTCAGTGGCAGTCAGGGTTACTTGGTTGTAAACATGAAACTTATTTTGGCTAACATTAAACAAGCAAGAAATTTATTGGAAAGACAGAGTGCTCACAGAAGTGGAGGAAAGCTGAGGAGCCAGGCCTGGGAACAGACGAGGCAGGGTGGCGCTGGGCATCACCATGGGCAGAAAGGACTTCGCGAGGCCTCACCAGAGCAATCCACTCCAATAAATGTCCATTCTTGCTTTTCTTCATCCAGAGTTCTCATTCTGGGAGAGACTGGGTTATGGACTGGGTGTTTGTGTCCCCCTCAAATTCATATGCTGAAATTGAATCCCCAGTGTGATGGCATTTGGATTGGGGCCTTCGAGAGGTGATTAGGTCATGGGGCTTGTTCTCTTCTGCATATGAGTATACAGTGAGAAGTTAGCAGTCTACCACCTGGTAGAGGGCCCTCACCAGAACCTGACCATGATGGAATCCTGATCTCAGGCTTCCAGCCTCCAGAACCTGCAAAAAATCAATTTCTGTTGCTTATAAACCACCTGGATGTGGGACTTTTTTATAGCAGCCTGAACTAAAACAATGGCCTTGCTCGGTCTCATGCCCATGCTTGTTGGGGTCCTATGGAGATATCTTCACTAACATCCCTTCCAAGCAGTATGTGGTGCTGGGGTATTGTTTCCCAGGGAAAAATGAGGTGGTTTCTTAACTGGTAGAAAACGCTGAGCAGATTAAAAACAACAGTTATTCACAGCACAGTACCTGTCTCACACCTACATAATGGGCATCCATTCATGGGGCATGGGCATGTATATTTTTTTAAAGCTTCACAAAAATTCAGAGATGCACCAAAAGTTGAGAATTATTGCAATAGCATTAAAATGCCAAGGAGTATGATTAGCTCTTAAGATGAAGAGGGGAGATGTGTGCAAAGCTGAATAACACATATCTCCATATCTCGTCAGAAACTTGAAGTCATTGTGATAGCTGGTATAGCAGGATTATGCTAAGAGTAACTGGAACTTCTCTCCTCCTAGTGAGGGAGATAAACAAAATACTCATATAGCCGCAGGGATATGTGTGATGTTCTGAGGGAGCCTGGGCCTTTCCTCTAGATGACTATTTTGTTCTCCATGACATCCACTGCTCCAAGGATGTTTCAAGGCACACAGAAAATGAGTGGTCCAAGAAAAGAGGGTGAGGTAGCCCTCTCTGCATCAGGGGTTAGCACCCCGTTGGCAGCTTCTTAGATTGCAAAGAGAAGGCCTCTAAGTCATTTCAGGGAATGCTGCACTCCCTGGTTGCAGGGTCAGCCTCTTCCATGGAAGGATTGGGCATCTGCCAGGTGACCCGTGGGAGTAACCTGCACTTTCTAAACTTTTCTGTGGAGCTGGGGAGGGTAAAGGGAGCAGCAGGCTTGGCAGTCCACCAAGCGATAGGGAATCATAGGATGTGCTTGAGCAGCTCTGGGAGGTTGCCCAGCCACGATGGCTCTGGACCTGAGGGTCTTTGAACGGCAAAACATTGCTCCAGACATTTTTCTCTAGGTCCATTAATCCTGATGACAGGCTCCAAAATTGCAAAGGGATTGCCCTTTGCCAGATCACAAATATCTACGGTCTGACATTAAACAAACTGAGTTTGTCTTTTCTGTGTATAATTGGCACCCAAATACAGATAAAGAAAAAAAGAAAGAGGCAGAGAGGAAACTTTTGGCTTACTCTCCAGTTTAAAAATTACACTGTGACATCTATTGCTTTCATTATCCAAGAATGTCAGTTTGGAGCAGGCTTGCCTCTCTCTCTTTGCAGCCATCCCATCCCCTCCACAAAGCCTTTCCTACTGATCTAATCAATGTTGACTCTTCTCTGTCTACCAGGGGAGACCCTAGACAAGACTGGAGCTGAGGAGAAGGTTGTCTTTGGGCATTGCCAGTCTCTCTCTTTCTATGGCCCCTCTATCTCTTCCCTTCACCTGGTGTTCCTTCTTAGTCTCCTTCCAACTCTCAATCAACTCACTTATTTGATAATTTATCTCAGAGCAGCTAGTATTTTATGTTAAAGATTATAGGTGCATAATTTAGGATTAAAAAATAATTCGATTACTATTTCCAGGATATTTACCTTTTTACCTCTAATTATTTTTGCTGAGGAGATACATTAGTTAGAATACTGGTTTGAGGCTGGGCATGGTGGCCCACGCCTGTAATCCCAGCACTTTGGGAGGCTAAGGTGGGCAGATCTCCTGAGGTCAGGAGTTCGAGACCAGCCTGGCCAACATGGTGAAACCCTGTCTCTACTAAAAATACAAAAATTAGCCGGGCTTGCTGGCAAGTGCCTGTAGTCCCAGCTACTCGGGAGGCTCAGGCAGGAGAATTGCTTGAACGCAGGAGGCGGAGTTTGCAGTGAGGTTGCACTCCAGCCTGGGTGACAGAGGGAGACTCTGTCTCAAAAATAATAATAATAAATAAAAATAAATACTGGTTTGGTTCTTTTAACAAAGGTCAAGGTGGTAGTGACTTAATCGAGGTGGAGATTTATTTCTTTCCCACATATAATTCAAAGATAGGCAATGAGGACTAATGTGATAGTCCACGCTGTCCAGCACTCAGGATCTTTCTTATTGCTTTGCCATCCTAAAAATGCAGCTTCCACCTCATAGTCCTGGAAGCTGCCTCAGCTCCAGCCACCACATCCATGCTGCAACCAGAAGGAAGGGAGGGGAGACAGGAAGGGAAGGGCTGGCCTGTGCTTTTTTGTGGCCCAAACTGGAAATTGCCTTTTCTCACATTCGATTTTCTAGAACCTGTCAAAGGTTACAAGTACATCCTTGTATCTGTATGAAATGAAAGTCTTTCATTTGTATGAAATGAAGTCTTTCAATAGGTAGAATATGCCTAGGCAACACTTCTGTAGGACAGAGGATATGAAGGACTGATGAGGGTAGCAACTCTCTTCTTGCTGCCTTTCAACTCACATCCTTCAAGTGACCCACCCTGACCAAGGCCAGTGCTGTATCTTTACAAAGCATGCACCCCAACCTTCTTTCAAACGTGTCTGTCTCCTCTGTGGGCAATCTCATACAGGCATGAAGGCACTCAGAGCCTAATTTACAGACCAAGGGACAAGACTGGTGCTTTGTTACCCTGGTTTCCCACACCTAGATCCTCCTCTGAGTCCTGTTGTTTCTACTTCAGAAATATCTTCCACACCTGGCCGCTTCTCTCCCTCTGCACAACCATTGTCTTAGCGCAGGGTTTCAACATCTCAGCTCATTCTCCATTTATTGATTTCTTCAATGACTAGTTACTGAACACCCACTCCAAAGCAAGTGATAACGTAGGTGCTAAAGATAGAAGGATGGTGCTTGTCCTTCCACCGCTCACATGTAACAGGGGAGACAAGACCAAAACAAAACACTCACCTAACCAGAGGGCCATGCACAGACTACTGAAACCTACTGTTTCTTCTCCAGGGCACCAATCTACCTAATTCTAATGCATTCTCTTCACTGCTCCAGAGTTATATTCCTTCTATTAAAATGCATGATTATTTCACCATTTTCTGTTTAAAATCAACTCCCACCTGCTTTCTCCACCCTTTATAATTAATATAAAGAAAGCAGGGGTGATAGTCAAGGTTTTAACAAATGATATGGCAGGAGCACCAACCAACCAGCCAAAGGGTAAGGTCCTGCCAGCGCAGATCAATTGAACCAACCCTGCAGGGAAGGTTCCTCCTTTTTTGGCCCTAAACCTACTTCCACCTCTAAACACCATAAGCTCTGGCTGCTCTGAGCTGCTTTGTATTCTCCTAACATGCCAGGTTCTTTTATGACCTTGCATTTTGCCCATGCTGTTTCTTCTAATAAGAATGTTCTTACTCTCTTAGTGGCAAGTTTTTCTTCCTCCTCCTCCTCCTCCTGTTTCTCCTTTTACCAGCTCTTCCTCTTCCTGATAGCTAATATTTCTTGTTAGCTAATATTTCTTGAATAACTCCTACATTTCAGGCACTATTCTAAACACTTTACTTCATGTAATAAATCATTTGATTCTCACAGCTATGTGATTAGAGTACTATTATTTACATTTCATAGAGGAGGAATTGAGGTACAGGGAGGTTAAATAAATTGTCCCAGCTCACCCAGCTCAAATGTCATTTTCTCTGTGAGACATTTCCAGGCACACCTGTCAGAGTTAGCTGCTTTTTGCCTTATGTTGCCATAACACGTTGTGCATATTTCTATTATTTACCACATTATATAATAAATGATCCATTTATAGATCTCTCGTCCACGATGGTAGATAATACAATCATCTTTGTGTCTCTAGGGCCTGGCACAGCACTGAGCTTATCATAGGCACACAGTGAAAGGTTATTGAATGTCAAAGGAATGAGTAAACTATAAGAAAATTCCTTCCTACTTTTGTGGTTTCCTATATCACCTTCTCATCAGTAACTTCAATAATTCTCTACAAGTGTCTTTTTTGAATTTCTTTCTTTCTTTTTTTTTTTTTGTATTTTTCTAGCCTGGATGACCTTACCTGAAAGAAGAGGAAACAACCATCAATGTAGTATGAACCCAGGAGCTCTTAAAAGACATAATTCCTTTAAAATAAAATTTGACCAACTGGTTACCTAGAAGCTCCCTGGCCAGAATAACCCACTCTGTATTTCAGGTTTTTACTGCTATTGGGATGCAAATCTGCCTTAAATATCCAACACCATCAGCTGTTAGTATGAATATACCTTCATGGGAATGATGATTGGTAAGGAAGCTTTGCCAGAGGACTCATGGAGCCACACATAGGAGCACTACATGCCCACTCTGGAGACAGGCATGGGAATGAGAAGAGTTGAGATGGGGAGAGGCAAGCAAGTTGGGGTTGGAGATACTCACGAAGCCAGAACCAGGTGACAGGAATAAAGGTAAGCTCATCAGATTGTCTTCCTCTTCTCCCACATCCTTCCAGCATCTGAGCCTATGCCCAGCACTGCCTTTATTAGGGTCTTTAGAGCAGGAAAAGAAGAGCTGGCCACTGTCAACTTTTATTAATAAATGATCTAAAATCTCAACATGGCTTTCTTCCTGACTTTGGCAGTCTCTCTCTCGGCTATATAATATTTAAAATGGGAAGCCAACAAGAATACTGTGTTTTCCCATAATAAGGTGTAAAAGAGATAATCTGGAGTCCTCATGAACGATTAGAGGCTCCTCCAAAGTGATGTTCAATGCTGTGCTCGGGACCGCCATCCCCTCAGAGTGCCTGGCACAGGCAGGCATTGGCTTTGATTACTTCAGACAAGCCATCCTCAAGACCAACAAGCAAGAAAGTGAGAAATGATGTAGACTTGATGTGAATTTTAAGAGGACGTACACACACACATTCCTTCAAGTAAAATTGAAGTCACTATGAAATTATAATTTTGCATATGCATATTTAACTTATAAATCACAACTCTTCTTCTTCTTCTTTTTTTTTTTGAAACAGAGTCTCACTCTGTCACCCAGACTGGAATTCAGTGGCGCAAACTCAGCTCACTGCAGCCCCCACCTCCCAGGTTCAAGCCATCCTCATGCCTCAGCCTGCCGAGTAGCTGGAACTATCGACTTGCACCACTACTTTTTTATAATCTTTGCAATGATCATCTTACACGACTAAAGAGTCCATCTAGAAGTTGCACTATAACTGAATCAGATATTCCTTTATGGTTGACCACTTAGGCTCTCTAAAACATTTTTATAATTATAATTAACTATACAAATTTTTGACTTTATGCAATGAAAAATTTCAAATAGAGAAAATATAATGATGAACCCCCCAAAACTCATTACCTACATTTAACAATAATTAACATTTACAATTTTTGTACTTATTTTTGCCAAGGTGTTTAAAAATATATTACAGATATCATAATATGTCACCACCAAGTACTCCAGTTTGCATCGCTAAACAATAAGGGCATTTAATGCCAACATCAATATCAGTTCTAACAAAGTTAGTATTTATTCCTTAATATCACCTAATACCTGGCCAATATTAGAAGTTGCCAGTAGTCTCTGCAAAGGTCTTCTTACCATTTTTGCTCAAATCTAAACTCAAACAAGGTGCATGAATTGCATTTTGCTGTCATGGCTCTTGAGTCTCTTTTAACTTAGAATCCTCCCTCTGTCCCCAGTCTTTTTCCCTTCCACTGACTTGAGGAAACTGGGTCAGTTTTCAATTAGACTTTTCTGCCTTCTGGATTGCTTCCTGGAGACATTATTAAACATATTCTCCTAATCCTTGCATTTAAATTGACACTTGAATCTTAATCACGTTTTTGGTAAAAACACTTTCTAGGGGACTGTATTTCATATTACATCAGAATGCACCTAATATAAAATTGTTCTACCACATATGACGATAAGATTACTTCATGAGGAACTTTAAATAGTGACACCCTCATCTGTCAATTTTAAAGTTGTATTTATTTTCCCGTTTAGGTTAGCAAATAATCAATTGAGGTAATGTTTTAGCATCCTGCAAATATCCAGCTACCATTCAGTCTTTTCCCTAATGATTTTAGCATCATTACTGGATATCGCCTAAATCAAATATCTCTTAAGGGGTTTTAAAATGTCAGTTTCTATTTCTATCACTTCTATATTTATTTGATGAAATTTTATTGAGATTCTTTTTCTTTCTATATTTATTAATGAGATTATTTTCAAAAGAAGAGCTTTCTTTTATTAACTAGGACTCTTTAGTGACCCTGAATTTTAGGTAATATTGCTGTGTAGGAAACCATCTCAGACTTAATGGTGTAAAATAAGAATTTTATTATGTTTGTGGATTCTGTGGGTGAGGAATTCAGACAGGGCACAATGGGGATCTGTTCTGTGATGTCTGGGCCTCAGCTGGAAAGACTCAAGGGCTACAGTGACTCAACAACTGGACACTTGAATGATCTGGAGGCTCCTTCATGCATAGTCTCTCTTGGGCCAGAATGATTTGAACACTGAGCTCAGCTGAGACTGCTAACCAGAGCTCCTACATGTGGACTATCCATGTGGCTTGGGCTTCCTCACAGCATGGTGGCCTCAGGGGAATTAGACTTTTTTATGTAGAAGCTCAGAACTCCAGAATGAATATCCCAGCAGACATGACAGAAGCTGAATTGCCTTTTATGACCTATCCTCAAAAATCACAAAGAATTACTCTCATCGTAGTCTGTTTGTTACTAGTCAAAACCATCACCAGACTGCCCAGATTCAAGAGGAGGTGACATAGAGCCCACTTCTTGATGGTAGGGTAGAACAGTCACACTGTAAAAGAGCATGTGGGATGGGGAACACTGTGGCCATCTCTGGAAGGTGCAGTCTGCCACATCCTGAAAGGCAGTTCCTACATAACAGGAAAATAAATGTCTGATTCTCTCCATTTAACTGTCAATATTCAGAGTAAGAAACCAGTGAAGTAGATACCCTGAATTGTAACAGATTAGGGTGTTTCTCTAGAGGTGAGTGTGAGGCTTTCTCACTTTTGACTAACATTAGTAACATATTGATTTTTAAAAAATATTTAATGTGCTTCAATTTATTCTTTTTAATACACAGATTGTCCCAACTTTGGCTCATGGGATCCATTGCAAGCTGGCTTCCATGTCTTTTTGATAATATGTCATTAACCTTTGATAGCTTCATTGCTTTCTGGCATAACAACATGAGTCAGGCTCATGTATATTCCCTGCTCTATTCCTGGAATTAGCCATTGCACCTAGGAAGCCCTTCCTATTGATATTTAGAATATTGATATTTAGAATGATATTTAGAAACCAAATCTGAATACTAAGGATGTTCATTAGTACATGGGAGGCTTGGCTTCCATAGCTTTTCCATGGACAGAGCAAAGACAGAGCTTTAAGTTCTTTCTTAAAAAATGTATGTGTATATATATATGTGTGTGTGTGTGTGTGTCTTTATAATTCTAAATGTATACTAATATTTATAATTCAAATTTAAATATTATAGGATTTTACCTAATACATTTGATTTTATATTTTTATGTCTCTTCTTACATTAATTACAATATAAATCTTACACTATAAAACTATCATAGACACAAATAGTTTCAAAATGACAATGCTAATATTACTTCTAACAATGCCAAACAATACAAATTAATATTCCTTTGAAGTTTTTTATTGTTGTTATCCTTGTTTTTTTGGTCTGTCCTTAAGATAAATCACACTAAGCTTGTATAGTAGATGAACTATGTTCAAAGCATACTCAGATAAATTTTGCTTTCTCATGATGCCTTTATTCCATTCTTCTCATCCTTTAGGTAACCATTTTTATTAGATCTTGATTTAGGCTTCCAGCGTTTCTTTTTACAAATATAAGAAATTATTATGTACCTGTATAAACATGTGGATTTATACTCATACTTTCACCTCTCCTTACACAAAAATAGCATATTATTTTTGTTTTTCTGCATCTTGCTTTTTTCACCTAAGAATATATCCTAAAAAGCACTCCACAAAATTTTTTCTCATCTTTTTTGTGGTTACGTATACTCCATTGTGTGGGTTTATGATAGTTTAATCAGTTCCCTGATGATAGAGAGTCAGTCGATTCCAATCCTTTTATTACACATGTTATTTTATATTAGGGCTACTGTAACTTTGGAATAGATTATCAGAGCTAGGAATGCCAGATCCAAGGTCCACGCATGTGTAATTTTGCTTGACGTTGTCAATTCTCTCCATGAGGTCTCTGCTACTTCCTACATTCCTAGGAGCAATGAAGGAGATGCTGATTTCTCATAGTTTTGTCATCAAAACCTGTTATCAAACTTTGGGGCTTTTACCAATCTGATAGGTGAGAAATGGTATCTTGGTGTACTATCAGTTTGCATTTCTCTAATTATAAGTGTGCTTGAGCAACTTTAATATGTTTAAAGACCATTTTATTTCATTTTATGAGTCCCGTCTGTTCATGTCTTTGGCTAATTCTTCTGTTAGGTTGTGGGTCCTTTTTTCAATATCTGGGAATGCTGTTTTGCCATGCATTTTTTTCCTTTTGATGTTGTTGAATTTATCAATATTTCCTTTTATTAAAGATGTAGATTTTTCTCATTCTCAGGTTATGGGAATTTGTGCATATTTCTCCACTATTTATACTGATAAGGAGTTTGACTATCCCCCTATATATGAAAAAACGTTCCCTATTATAAATAACATGCTTATAAACATCATTTTTCATAACTTTTTTCTTTAATCCTATTTTTCATATTGTTTCCTTAGGATAGAGGCCAGTAATGCAATTTCTTGGTCAAAGGGTAAAAAACATTTTCAAGATCTTGATACATAATGCCAAATAATCAAAAAGTTTTAATACCCTAGTAGGTTTAATGAACACATTCTAAGCCTCGAATATTGACAAAATGTCAAATCTGCTTGTCAGTTTTCATAGAGCTTGCCGTGTAATTATATAGAAATTCCCTGAGGAGCACACGTGAAACCAGAATGTCCCTATACATTACCAGCCACGATTTAATCCTATATTGTTGTTGACTCATTTCCCTTCATACTACTAAGTTCTTGTGTGAAAGCCTCCCCAGTTATTTGGGGGTTCACCAAGTGTCCTCTGAGGTGCAAGGGTTCTTCCTCTCTAGCTCCCTTGTACATGTCCGTTGCCCGTGTGTCCCTGGAGAGGTACCTTATCATTGCCACTGGGGCAGATGTCCTCCATGGGATTAATATCTGAAAGAGCAGAGGAACTGAAAACAAAACCCAAACAAGCTGCTGCATTTAAAACTCTGTCAGATCTGGAGACAGGAGCAGCGTAACAGACAGTGCCACTCTGAAGGGAGAAGACATCCATCTTCACCTCACCTCCAACCATTTCCCAGCATTGGTCCTGAGGTGTCCACCACTTTAGACAGGAGTGCCCAGTGCAGGAGCATTCAGGCCCAGAAGGGCACTTGGGAATGAGTTTGGGGGGACAAGAGGATCTGACCTATGTATGTGGATGCGATAGGCCAGTGAAACTTTAGTTATTACTATGACTGTGACATTATTCATACCCACTACCCACAGACTAGCCTAGAAACATTTGATTTCAGTATTTCATTCAACAGAAGTTTGTTTTCTGTTTGTTTTTAAGCACTTACTATGTCAGTTGCTGAATATAGACTTACATTGAACCAAATCTGCTTCCATATAAGCTACCCTTGGTGCTCCTAGCTCTGCCCTGCCCCCACAGCCTCTCTGAAAAGTTTTTGGTAAAAATCCCTGTATCCGTCAGATTCCTTTATTGCAAAATGACAGAAACCCATTTGAAATTGGATTAAGCAAAAGTGGATATGCACTGGCTCATTTAACCGGAAGGTCAGGGAGCAGAGGTAGGGAGGGTTTCAGGTCCAGCTGGATCAAATAATGTCTTCAGTTCTAACCCTCCCCACCCAACTCTTCATTTAGGTTTTCTCTGTATTAATTTTATTCTCAGGAAGAATCTTGCATCAAGATGATAAAAATGGCCCTTGGCAGCTCAAGGACAGAGCCCTTGCTTCCTAGAATCTATGTGTTTTTCTGAACTCTGATTGATCTTGCTTCGGATTATATGCTTACTCCTAACTAGTCACTGTGTGCAGCAATTAGGTACTCTAATTGGCTCTCCTGGGCACATGCCCACCTCATGATAGTGTCCTGTGATTAACAGTCTGTTTGGAGCTTCGCAAACATTTTGACCTCTGTCCCTGCCTTAAAAGTACCAGCTTTCCAGGATCCTGTCCTTGGTAAGCATGGATTCTGTAGACATACTGTCTTGCCTTAAGTTTCAGCTCCATTACTTCCTAACTGTGTGACCTTGGGGAAGTTATTCTGAGCCTTAATTTTCTCATCTGCAAAAGTAGGATAATAATGGTATCTACCTCATAGTGTTATTGTGGAGTTTACCTGAGGAAACATGCAGAGAACACTTAGTGTCTGACACATAGTGCTACATAAGTGTTAAAACATTATTATTATTACCATACCTCCAAGGCCAGCAAAACTTGGCCAAAAACTTAAACTCCATGTGTTTGAAAGAAAATTCAAAAGAAAAAAAAGCAGAGTAGTTCATACTAGTATATAAGCCCTTAAAAATGTCTCATTTAGAGACAACATACTGGAGCCACTTTTACCAGCAGTTCCACAAGGAATTTATCATTGCTGAACAGTTTAAGATCATTAGATAAACTATGTCCTAGTCAGAAAGTGGGGGTTTTATACTTCAGAAAGGATCCCTTCTTATTAAGCAAAGATGAATGGCATTTTCTGCATTTGCAAAAGTATAGATCAGCTTTCTAAAAGACCTCGCATTGCATCTAGCCCTCATCCTGATTAGTCACGGCAGTTAAAAATCTGAGGAAGACAAGCACCCTTTGTGGACTTTCACATTATAGCTCTTTCTCTTGAAGTTTGGTACAACTGTATCAGCTTTGAAATATATAAATCCAATTAAAGTGTGTTTGGCTTTTTAGAAAGCAAAGGGGAGATTAGGCCCCTGAGAGCAGCTTTGTCATTTTATGTTTTTTACCAAACCACTTGACTTTTTGCCACCTCCTTTCTAGAGATTAAGTCGTAGGTCAAGGTGGTGGCTGATCTACAACACAGGTTAAAACCCCAGCTTGAGTTGGAAAGCAAGCTAACTTGGTAACAACCCACATAGACATAGGCACGTGCACCTAGCAAAGCCAATTTCTCCAAAGATGTATTTCAGGAATGAGAAGTTCTTTTTTTTTTTTTGAGATGGAGTCTCACTCTGTTGCCAGTCTGGAGTGCAGTGGTGCGATCTCGGTTCACTGCAACCTCTGTCTCCTGGGTTCCAGCGATTCTCCTGCCTTAGCCTCCTGAGTAGCTGGGACTACAGGCATGTGCCACCATGCCTGGCTAATTTTTGTAATTTTAGTAGAGATGGTGTATTAGTCTATTTTCATGCTGCTGATAAAGACATACCCAAGACTGGGCCATTTACAAAAGAGAGAGATTTATTGGACTTACAATTCCACATGGCTGGGGAGACTTTACAATCATGGCGAGAGGCAAGGAGGAGCAAGGTCACATCTTATTTGGGTGGTAGCAGGCAAAGTCAGAGATTGTGCAGAGAGACTCCCATTTTTAAAACCATAACATCTCAAATGGTATTTCTAGTTCTAGATCCCTAAGGAATCGCCACACTGACTTCCACAATGGTTGAACTAGTTTACAGTCTCACCAACAGTGTAAAAGTGTTCCTATTTCTCCACATCCTCTCCAGCACCTGTTGTTTCCTGACTTTTTAATGATCGCCATTCTAACTTGTGTGAGATGAGATCCCAAAGGATTATAAATCATGCTGCTATAAAGACACATGCACATGTATGTTTATTGCGGCACTATTCATAATAGCAAAGAATTGGAACCAACCCAAATGTCCATCAATGATAGACTGGATTAAGAAAATGTGGCACATATACACCATGGAATACTATGCAGCCATAAAAAAGGATGAGTTCATGTCCTTTGTAGGGACATGGATGAAGCTGGAAACCATCATCCTCAGCAAACTATCACAAGGACAAAAAACCAAACACCGCATGTTCTCACTCATAGGTGGGAATTGAACAATGAGAACACTTGGACACAGGAAGGAGAACATCACACACCAGGGCCTGTTGTGGGGTGAGGGGAGCAGGGAGTGATAGCATTAGGAGATATACCTAATGTAAATGACGTGTTAATGGGTGCAGCACACCAACATGGCACATGTATACATATGCAACAAACCTGCACGTTGTGCACATGTACCCTAGAAATTAAAGTATAATAAATATATATATATATAAACCATAACATCTCATAAGACCCATTCACTATCACAAGAGCAGCACAGGGAAAACCCACCTCATGATTCAATCATCTCCCACCAGGCCCCGCCCACAACAAGTGGGAATTATGGGCGCTACAAGATGAGATTTGGGTGGGGACACAGAGCCAAACCATGTCAGACAGGGTTTCACCATGTTGGCCAGGCTGGTCTCAAACTCCTGACCTCAGGTGATCTGCCTGCCTCAGCCTCCCAAAGTGCTGGGATTACAGGTGTGAGGCACCACACCTGGACAGAAATGAGTAGTTCTTGATAGGATTGGAGGTAGCCAGCTCAGTGTAACTGTTCATTTCTGTCTTCTGAAGTAAAAGCATGAGAAATGCCCATATTCAAACCAGAAACCGAGTATGTTTCCTTTGGTAACATCCCCGAAAACCAGACTTTCACACACCTGACCACACCACACATCTGTCCTTGAATTTCCACTAAGGTATATCAGTAACAATAACCTGAAAAAATTTTCTAAGGAGTGCATTAGAAAATAAGTACTTATCACTTCATGTGAGTCTATTGTGTGAGCAGCCTAATCTCAGCTGCCCAGTATCTTGTACTGCAATCAGTAACTGACCATGAAGAGAGAGATGGAGGAGTCCTGACTGTCTGAGCCCTAAACTGTTTGTCCTCTTGGCCTGGGCACCAGATGTGTGAGTGAGCAAGCCTCAAGGGGATTCTAGTCCCCAACCCTTGAACCACAGCAGTCCATTCTGAGTTGGAGCAGAGATGAGCTGTCTCTTCCAAGGTCATGAACAAAATGAAGTTTGTTGTTATTTTAACATTACTCGAGTAAAACCCAAGCATATCTATGTATATATGACAATTTCCCAGCTACGTCCCACGTAGCAGAGTGATTACTAGAGCTGCTGAACCTGACTGGGGGCTTCGCAGAGGCTCCTGATGTAGTGAAAAATGAAGATGGGTCAGAACAGATTCATAAAAATTATGGTCTATTTTAAACATCATATAATGAATAAATTAATATTTTATTTTAAAAGTATAATTGGATAATGCACAACATAGCCCAAGGATTTATTTAAAAAAAAAAAAATCGCTGGTGATGCCCAAGTGACACAGCTTAATGATCAGACACATACTTTTAAGGTTGTATGAGTAACATCTTGTTCCATCAGTTTCTCTGTGACTGTATAAGCTCATTTGGAAATAACATCCGAAGTCTACGTTTGAGATGAAAGTGAAAAGTTGTGAAAGTGAGTCCTGGCTTGTTGGGCCAGGCCTGTGATAGCACTGAGCTGGATGCTCTGGTCTGCTGCACCGAGTTCCAATGCCTGATCCTCTGACATCAGGTGGCTGCATGGCCCTCAGGAGGAGACCTTCTCTGAAGCAACACCTGCAGCCTTTCGGGCTCTGGGCTTCCTCACCCACCCTCAAACCCAAGAGAGCTGCCCTGCACTGCTCAGTGTCTGGAGAGCTAAAGAGCTTTTTCCCCTCTTGTCTTTTTACTTTCCTAGCCTTACTGCTAGCAGGTCTCAAGAGTTCCATTATAAGCCATTGTTTTCTTTGTTCAGAGCCTTTTAGTCTCTCCTACTGTAAATAACAACAGCGACTAGAACAATTAACATTTGTGCAATTGTGCACATGTACCCTAAAACTTAAAGTATAATAATAAAAAAAGCAGCAACAATAAAGTATAACAGACAAGTCAGCCAGCTTTAACAAAAAAAAAAAAACATTTGTGCAGTGAATTGCAGTTTGCAGAGCACTTTCACAGACATTCTCTTAACTGAGACTCACATCAAATAAGTCATTATTATTCTAAAGTAGTTATTATTATGATTTCAAATTTACAAGCAAGGAACGAGGCTCTGAGAGGTGAAGTGCCTTGTCTGAGATCGAATAACCCGTCAGTGGAGAAGCCTGGAGAGAATGCAGGTGTTCTGAGTCTGACCTTATATTCCGTCCATTCTGTCAGCTGCGCTTCTGTGGGTAGACAGAGCGGCACCTCTGCTTCATACACAAACAATTATGGTGATGATTGTTGTCATTGTTCACCAACTTGGGCTCACTCAGTGTACCTTCATTTTCTTTTCCATGACAATAATTTTGTATTTCCAGAATAGGATTATGCAATGGAAACTTCCGGGAAATTAGATACTTTAAAACTCACTTTACCCATTAGTTTCTATTTTTTATGTTTGAAATAAAATAATAATCTAACATTTACTGTAATTATAACAATAAACAACAAAAGTTTATGGTGTTTAACAGTTTGGTATTTAGCAGTTTACAAGGTACTTTAACATACATTAATTCATTTGGTTTTCACAACTGCCCAGTAAAGTTAATTGAAATAGTATGCCTATTCTTTTTTAGAGGAATAAGAGGGTAAATGCCTAGTTCACATTCTCTCAACAAATAAAAGCTGTCCTATGATTTGTATTCAAGGTTTTGGCCTTCCTCTGCACCTTTTTCAGTACCTCCAGCATAGGGTAACTTGGAGTGAGAGAGGGAGGGTTGAATTTGAATTCAGCCTCTGACCATTATTCTGTGTCCTGGGGCAGTGCTTCTGAAACTTGAGCACTCACAGGAACCTCCTGGAGAGCTGAATCCTGGGCCCTGTCACCCAGATTCAGTCTGCCCAGGGTGAGGCCTGGGCATTTGCATTTCTAACAAGCTTCTGGTTTATATTGCTATTTCCAGCCTGTGGAAATACACTTTGAGTAGTTCTGACAGAGAGAAGATGATGCATCTCTCAAAGCCTCAGCATCATCATCTCTAAGGGGGTTAATAGTGCTACCTGCCTCACAGGGTAATAATGAAATAATGTGCATAAAGGCCTTTCTAAACGACCACAGGCTACTAACGTTATTATCCACTGCTTACAACGCAAAATACAAAATACACTTGAAAGTTGAAAGATCACATCAAAAACTTTCACAGCTCTCAGGGGTGCTATTCACATCATATTCTATGCACTGTTGCTCAGAGCTGTGCAACATGATGGTATTGGCTAAATGAGAACCACGATATTCATCTTATTATTATGAATTTCTAGTGTGGGATTCCACTCTAAATTCAATCCAAGCTAAGGATCCCTACCTCCCCAGGGAGAAGGGGTATATCAGCACAGCATTCATCTTATTGTTATGAATTTCTAGTGTGGGATTCCACTCTGAATCCAATCCCCAGAAAGAAGGGGTTGATCAGCACAGCTGGTAGTGCCTATGTGGCTGCTTCATTGTCCTAGGAGTGGAATTACACCTTCCTGCATGTGAGAGGGGGGCACTCACAGGGATGGGCAGGAAGAGGGGAAAGAAAGGCACTCTGAGCTTCCCATCCTTACCCACTGCCACTTCCCATCCTTACCCAATTGCCATTGTGAGCTTCCCTTTTTATATGAGCCTTGGCCAAGCAGCCAGACTAAGTGCAGATTTTTTGTTTCTCTTACTTTCTCTAGTCCAGGGCTTACTGGGAGACTTGAGGGTGCCAAGAAGTGGTCAATGAGAGGGAAAAGGAGCCACAGCAAAGGGCCCCTCAAACCACATGTTGGTTAATCAGCCTCTGAGTGAGAGAAAATGAGCCCCACAGGGATCCATTTATTCTTGAGCGTTGCAGTCTGACAGTGTTGGATCTAAGTCCCAGCTCTGTCATTTATTAGTTCCAAGGACTTATGTGAGTTGCTTTGCCCCCCTTGAACTGAAGTTTCTTTACTGTAAAAGAAGATGAATAATATCCCACTACCCAGTGCCCTCAGTAAATGACAGCTCTTCTTCTTATTATTAATGTTCATTCAACAAGGATTTACTGTACATGCTCTATGTGCCAAACAATATATTAGGCACTGGCCATACAGAAATAAACATAACATTGTGCCTGTCCTGGAGAAGTCTACAGCCCAGTGTGGGAGACACAATTAAGCACGACACAGGTCGCAGGTGTTATTGTCAATACAAGTACAAGGTACAGTACAAAGGAGGGAAATTGGCAGAGGGCAACAGG
This sequence comes from Homo sapiens, assembly GCF_000001405.40. Taxonomy (NCBI): domain Eukaryota; kingdom Metazoa; phylum Chordata; class Mammalia; order Primates; family Hominidae; genus Homo; species Homo sapiens. The sequence goes on along the minus strand of NC_000001.11, from coordinate 115,435,379 downwards.
ATTGTGCTCCTTTGGAACTAGTGGCCTTCTGATTTCTCATTTCTGTCCTTCCGTTTACCCTCCCACATCTCAGGAGGAAAATCCAGAAATGCACAGTTTAAATGATAGCTCAGAATAATCATCCTAGGTCAATATTCCTGAGCATCCCAGATCTGCTGCCTGACTGAGGCCTTGCCAGCTGAAAACAGCATCCATCAGCGGTGAACTTAGACTATCCTCTCAGCATCCCCCATCCATGCAAGGCATCTCATTCAGGTTTGGAAAGTTACAGCCTGACACAGCCCTGGAGGTTTGTTTGACTCTTTTTTTTCTTTTCAAATGTTTCATTTCTTTCCCTTTAGGATCTGTGCCCTAGTTGTTCTGGGAAACTTGTGACCTCTCTGTGTTTTTAATTAGAAGATGTCATTTTTCCATGGCAACCTATCTTGATGTCCCAAATAGAGAAACTGTAAAATCAGTTTCCCTATGAAGGGCCAAGCAGTTGGAATGGGAGGCTGCCCAACGAGTGCTGGTGCCCAGGCCTGGTGGCTCCACCCCTGGGTAGGGTCCCCTAAGCAGAAGAACACCACCAGGGTCTCCTGCTAATGTAGACCTGCACCATAGTAGCCTCAGCTGGAACCCTCTTGGCCTGAGTCCATAACACCCAGTTCTTGATGGTTGTTTGGGAGAATCTGCACTTTCTGACTGGCATGGGAACAAACCATGTGAGCCATGAACTATGGTGTCTCCAGGGCCAATAGCCCATAGGTAATAACTTACAGAAGCCAGAAAAACATTGATGGGAAGCAGTTGAAACCAGCCCAAACTCCATGGTGACCAAAGTTGAACTGACCTTCTCTCCCCAGCACCTCACCTCCTAAAGGAATGAGTAGCTTCAGGAAATGATGAAGGAAATAAAGAAATTACGTCCACTCTTTGCAAGTTAGCAATAAGGAAACAGTAGTTAAATCATTGGGCAAAAAGTGGTTGGTTTCTAAAATAACACCCTAAATTTTGTAATTCTGGTTTTTTTCTTTTATTTTTTAAAGGATTATTTGCATTCAGAAAGGCAGACCTAATGATAAATGAAAGTCACCCTGACCACAGAGATTATATTGATACATGTTTAAGTTAAATGGTAAAATGATGTGCTGAATCCTTCCACTACACTGATCAAAATGGAAGGGCGTCACAAGGAAACAAAGGGATCCCCTCATTCTGTGTGTACCCTGTCGAAAACCCACAAGGTGCTAGGCTCCAATAACAACAGCTAACTCTTGTTGACTGCTTATTATTTCCAGGAATTGTTCAAGTGATTTATATCTATTCATTACACACTCATCACAATTATAACAGCAGTAGTTTTCTCTGCTTGTTACATGCCAAGAGCAGTTCTAACTACTTTCATGTGTAATTAATTTCATATTCACTATCATCTTCCTAATTTGCAGATCAGGAAACAGGCATAGAGGGTTGGATAACGTTCTCAAGGTCACAGTCTGGAGATGAAACCAGGCAGTATTGGCTCCAGAGTCTGTGCCTGTAGCCTCTGTAAGTACTACTTCTTCCTTCTTCATGTAAGAAAGTTTCTGGAATTAGGGAAACATATTTGACATGCTAAGTGCATTCCCATCTCAGGACCTTTCGCTGGCCGTTCCCGTTGCTGGAGTGCGCTTTCCTAGGTCTCGGCTTGCCAGGCTCCTTGTCATCATTCATGTCTTGGCTCACTCATGCTTCTTGGAAATGCTTTCCCTGACCCCAAGTCAAAGCAGCCCTCTCTACTGGAAGCCCCAGCCTCTTCGGCCCATTTTTTAAAATTTTAGTTCCTTTGGAGTGCCTTTCACTGCCAGAAATTGCCCTGTTTCTTTATTTATTCTCCCCCCACTGACTAGAATGTAAGTTCCATGACTGGTGTAACTGTTCTACATCAGATAACGCCTGGCACAGAGTTCAGTGCTGTATTAGTCCATTTTTTCACTGCTGATAAAGGCATACCCAAGACTGGGAAGAAAAATAGGTTTAGTTGGACTTACAGTTCCACATGGCTGGGGAGGCCTCAGAATTATGGCAGGAGGCCAAAGGCACTTCTTACATGGTGGCAGCAAGAGAAAATGAGGAAGATGCAAAAGCAGAAACCCCTGATAAAACCATCAGATCTTGTGAGACTTATTCACTACCACGAGAACAGTATGGGGGAAACCGCCCTCATGATTCAAATTATCTCCCACTTGGTCCCTCCCACAACAGGTAGGAACTACAGGATTATAATTCAAGATGAAGTTTGGGTGAGTACATAGAGCCAAACCATATCAGGTGCTCGATAAATACTTGTTGAATGAACAAATGGAGCCTATTAGTAATGATTTTGTCTTGAGCACCAGTTATAATGATGATAACACAGCAGCAGCACCAATAGTACTAATTGGTACTATTAAGTGTTTATTATAAACCACATATTGTGCTAAATATGTGAAGTAGACACTGTTATTGCCCCATTTTGCAGAGGATGAAACTAAGACTTAGAGCAGGTACATGTTGCTGGTGTCACCATGAAGCCAAGAAGCCCTCAAGAACATATGTATATGCCAAAGTGTAGAGGATGAATTTACTGTTATTGAAGCAAAGGCCGCAGGCAATCCCTGCACACCACGGTGAGCCTCTGTGCCTCCTGGGGCTTCCATTTCCCTCTCAGAGGTAAGCAAGTGAAAACAACTAGCACCCGTGACTAGTGGGCAGTTGGAACTCAATAAATATATCTTTCCTTCCTCCATTCCTTGGTGCAACTCATCCAGTATTTATCCCCTCAAAACGTCCTGTGATCTCTGAATGTTTGAATTCCATAGCCTCAAATTATGCCCCAAACTATAGGTCACCTGTGGCCAGATGGCTCGGTCTTTGGTGTCATTAGAGAAAGGATGACTGAAAAGTACGAGGGAAAAGCAAAGACCAGGACAAAGATTTCAAGGAGGGAAATAGAAACAGAGTGTGTGGGAGGAGAGGATGTTGCAAGAAGCAAGAAGGATATAGCAGGAAGAGCCTCAGCTGAGGAAAAAACAGTGCTGTCCACAGAGGTCATGGAGGACTCCACGTGGAAGGGAGTGCCTGGGAAGGGTGTGGCATTAACTGGCTGACGTTGCTGCAAGCCTGCAGGGCTCTTGTCCTCGATGGGACACTTAGGAGCAGATCGGGGACTTGAGTACAGTGCATCCAGCAGAGCAGTGGCCCAGCTGCACCTGGCAGGAAAGCCCTGCCCTGGAGCACCAAGGAGCACAAGGGTGAGGAGGCTGCGGAGCCCTGGTCAGGAGCCGGGGTGCCCAGTATTGGTGTCTGGTCCTGCCCTCATGCCCCTGACGCCACACTCAGCTGCTTTTCAGCTCAGGGAACACCTATCAGGCCCCTCTATTTCAGGAGACTTTCCTGGGTGATGAAAGCGTGAAGTAATAGCCAGCATTGGAGGTCGGTGGGCTAATCAGGTTTGAGGGTTTACTTATTTCACAGAATGACTGTGGTAAATGCACAGATTTCTGTTTTCTATAGGAGGGAGATATGGAGAAAACTAAGCATCACTTATGAAGCGCAGGTCCCTTCTCCCTTCAGGCACAGAACACTTGAGACAGCCAACATTCTCGCGAAGCACCGCCATGGGAGGGTGAATGGCACACATAGCGGAGGGTCTGTACAGGTCAGTGGTGACGGGCCCTCCCAAGGGCTCTGCTGCAGCGGGCTTCAGTCTGCACTTTGACAAGATCTCCATCTCAGGTAATCCCTGTGCACATTCAAGTCTGAGAAGCGCTGAGCTAAAACATTACCACTTTTCAAAAGCACTTTTTGAAACCCCAGGCAGAAAAGTCCTCAGATTTTCACTCACATACACACAGAGATCTCCACGCGCTTGATAACCATCATTCAGTCATGCTTGGGGTTCTTATGAAGGAGAATACATCTAATTATGCTCAGGCTAAACTTCAGTGTTCCCTAAAATCCTAATCTCAATCTTTCTCTCTTTACTTCTTCTTTTGAATTTAATTTAATGTTTAATTTTTGTGGTTCCATAGCAGGACTATTCTCTTTACTTCTATCTCTACCTCTTTTGAGATGTTGGAGACTCTCTCACTCCAGGAGTTCTCAATCCTGGGTAAGTTAAGAGAATAGAGCAGTTAGAGGTATAGGCTTTGGAATCAGAAAATCTGGGTTTTAGTCTTGGCTCTGTTTCCTCTTGGCTGTATGAAGGTAAGAAACTCATACTCTCTGGCCTTAGTCTTCTCACATGTGGAATGAAGCTAGTAGAAACACCTACTTCATGAGGTTATAGTGAGAATTCAATTAAAAAGGTACACAAAGTGCTTTCACGATGTAAGCATCCAATAGCTGGCCACTGTTGCTGTCATGAAGATGGTGCAAGACCTCAACGCTGTCGCCTTGCTCTTTCATCCCAGGAGTATGTGCTGCCTTACTCATCTGTCGGTGACTCATCATGTGTCCTTGGAAACCCAACTTAACAACCAATTAATCTTCTAACAATGCACACTATGACAGGAGACATTTATTGGTTAATCTGGATGAAACATATTAATGAAATTTTATGGCCATCCCCGATGTAAAAGATTTTTTAAAGACTCATTTCAAATTTCTCGTGTTGAGCTGATTTAGGATTTTATTTTATATTTATTTACAAGAGTATTTACTTTGTGGCAGTCAGTGGGTGAGACACTGGGCTTGCAAAGGTGAGCAAGATATGGCCCTTATTCTCAGGCAGAACACAGGGTAATGGGGAACAGGCATATAGACAAGGAACTGGAATAGCTTAGAACATTTGTGCTGGTGGAAGCATGACAAGTTTGCAGGGCAGACATAGGAGAGGGCCTAAGTCAGAACTGGGGAATAGGCAGGGAAGGGGGTTTTTGAAGACGGAACTAAATTTTAAGGTAGGACAGACAAAAAGGAAAAGAAAGTGTGTCTGGAAAGAGGGAATAGAGGCATAAAGAGAGAAAGAGAGAGGAGAGAGAGAGAAAGAGAGAGGGAAGGAGTGTGTATGTGTGTGTGTGTAACTTACAATAATGTGGTTTTGCTGGTTAGTGGATGAAAGACAGAAGTCACATCATAAAGGGGTTTAGATTTCACACACAAGAGTTTAGTCTGTAGCCAGTGAGTGGCTACTGGAAAATTTAAGCCCGGGGAGTTGTGGGGTGAAATTTGAGTTTCTGCAGGATCCTTCCAGGGATTGTGTGAGAAATGGAGAGTGGAGTGGACTGGAGACAGCTATAGCAGAGAATGGAGAAAGAGAATGGGAGGGGAGAAACAAGGCAGAACAGAGGGATAGTCACAAGACAGAAATGAATCAGCCTCGGTGATTGCTGGATATGGAGGTAAGAGAAAGTAAAGTGTTAAGGATGATTCTTGGTGTGTCAGAGAGGCCCAGCAAGCAGCTGATTGTGTGAGTGCAGCAGATTTTGATCTTTGCTTCCACAACAACTGTTATACTCTGAATGTTTGTGCCCCTACCCCCTCCCAAATTATATGTTGATATCTTACCCCCAAGGTAATGGTATTAGGGGTGGGGCCTTTGGGGGTGATCATGAGGCAGAGACTTCACTAATGGAATGAGTGCCCCTATAAAAATATTGCAGAGAACTAGCTAGCCCCTTCCATCATGTGAGGGCACAGTGAGCAGATGTCCATCTATGAAGGAAGTGGGCCCTCACCAGACACCAAATCTGCAGGCACTGTGAGCAATGAAATTCTGTTGCCTGTAAGCTACCCAGTCTGCAGTATTTTATTATAGCAACCTGCATGGACCAAGACAACAATCATCTCCCATATGACACTTTCCTTCTGCTTGAACCCCAAAGTATTCCATTAAAAGCAGAGATCACTTGATATTAGAAGGGTATAGACCCAACTCCAATGGATGACTTATGACTGGTCTAAATGACCTGTGCTAATCTCATTCCTTTTGGCCACTTCGTCACATTGTGGGCAAGTGACTCATCTGTTCCAGCTAATGAAGAATAAAGAGGGACTTTTGCCCATTTCCCCTTCTTCTTGCATGGAAGGGAGACATAACTTCCATATCCAACATATCTCCTTGCAACAGCCTACTTGTGACCACGAGCCAAGAGTGAGAGAAGGAAGTCAGTACACTAGGATGCTGGAGCACAAAGGGAGAACCTAGTCCCTGATGGCATCTTTGAGCACCTGAATAAATGCTACCATCTACTGCCTCAGAACTTCCTGTTAAGTAAGATAAAAATGGTTTGTTAGGTTAGACATTTGCTTTTTAAAGGATGGGATATATGAGGCTAATAAATAGCTCCAAAAGTAAGGGCTCAGACACAATAGACACATTGCTTGTTCTTGAGTGGCTGAGGCTGGATGTTACAGGTCACAGGTGGTGGAAAGCTCAGGGACACAGCCAATGGAGGCCCTGCTCTTCATAACACATGGCTCCCAAAGTCATCTTGGGCATAGAGTCACAGTTAGTCAGAGGGGGATGAGGATAGAGCTACTCTTTTGGGAGGTTTTACGGGCCAAACATATGACTCCCATTCACATTCCATTGGAAGAACTGGCCACATCTAACTGCAAGGCAAGCTGGGAAATGTATGGTAACCAGGAAACCATATTCCAGCTTCTATGAAAGGATGAATTTTGGTGAACAACTAGCAGTCTCTGTCACACACCTGTAAATTGAGTTTTATTTTTCTTATTTGCAGCTGAAAGAATTTGTCACTGATCCAATGGGTCTGGAGATAGGAGAGGCATTTTGGTGGGTTATACAGAGTTTTTCTTTGACTGTGGTATCTACATTTTTCAAAACGTATCATATGTGATAGGTAAATCCAAGGAAGTGGATGACTTCACTTAGGAAGAATGTAGAGAGTGAGAAGAGATACAGAGATAGAGCCCTTTGAAGTGTTCACTGACCCATCTAATGCAGAATCATTCCTCCTTATTGCTGGTGAAAAGAGCAGTTCAGACATCTCAGTGGCCTATAGAGACCTCCCTTGGGTTGAGTAGCCTCATGACTCAGATGTAAGAATAACTCTATAGACCATGGTTGCCCAGATATTTCTGTTTTGGGTGGATTCTGAATATAAAATTCCAGCAGCGCTATCTTTGCCTCTGTTTTCATTCTTTAAGGTACTAACTTTGACAAATAGCTGAAAAAAGTCTTGAGTGTGTAGTGTGTTCAACTTCTTTCCTTTCCTGGTGAAGATATCATATGTGGACACCTAGCAACCTGGATCCTGAAATAATGTGGAAAATGCCCCAGGGGCTGTTCTGTTCTTTCCTCTTTCTTATCCTCTGTCCTATGGCTTCATATTTGGAAACTCTAACTTTTCTGGGTTTAACTACATAAAGCCACAATAGAAGCAACAATAAAGGCATTCACTGGAACTTTCCTCCACCAGAATCTACCTTGAGATTTGAATTTTCTTGAAAGGGCATCTCCATTAGACTGTGGTTTTTCCTGATAACTTAAGCCATTCTAAGGGGTAAATACGGATGACCCCACGATCTGAGCTGACACACCTTGTGGGCCTCATGATTTGTAGTGTATGCAGTCATGGGTAGACATCAGATGTCCTCCACCTGACTGGCCAGTGATGTCCTCCAACACTCTCCCCTCAAAGATCCCAATCACAGGAGCTAAGCAGGAAGAGAACATTCAACTGTGGGTTGGTCTGAAAACTTAGGGATGTAGGCACTTGTTAGCCAGAGCCTTATCTATTTATAATTCAAATAAATTCCACCAGGGCAGAGACCATATTATATACATTTAATTTTACTCTCCCACTCTGCCATACTATATATTTAAAAATAATGATAATTACCAGAGATGGAGTTCTTACTTTAAGCCAGGTACCATGCTATGTGTTTTACCTGAGTTCCTCATTTAATCCTCATAAAACTGTATTAGATAGGTAGTACTATTTTCATCATTTTATAGATGATGAAACTGAGACTAAAGGAATTAAGTAGCTACCTGAATAGCAGAGTTTAAAAATAATCAAGCCAAGATCCAAGCCCAGCAGCTTAATCCTTACAATAAGAATTAAGGTAGATTACCCTTACCTTAGATCACCTCCCCTTAATCCTTGTTGTAAAGGTTAAAGATCTATGTAGAGCGACTGAAGCCAAGCACAAGAAACAGCTACTATCTTTATGTCATTGCTCCTTCTGAACAGATGCAAGTCATGTGATTTTCTTATACGATCACATGGGTGGGCTGTCTTCCATCTTGTGTGATGATGAGAAAGCTATGCAAAAATTTCTTTGTTAGGAAACGTAGGGGTTTTGTGACATGGTAACAACTAAAGGCTTGGTGAACAGGCAATATCTGAGGAACATGGCCCAGAGAAATAAAAGGTCCCACCCAGTAGTCAACCTCCTGGCCGGCTAAGTTATAAAGCTTTTCTGATAATATTTATTGGCGTCCCTTGGATAATTAAATTGAATCAATTAGGTGTTATTGTGAGCATTTTTTTCTTAATAAAGTTTATTTTTCCAGCATAAAAGTAATATAAAGCTTGGAAAATACAGCAAAATAAAAAGAGGAAAAATCAACATGATTTTACTGCCTAAAAAATCCCATTGACATTTTTGTCTTCTAAGAGAAATTTTGTGTTTTTTTTTTTATTTGTTTGCTTTGTTGATAGCTTGAGAGACCTTCAAATTCCCATGTACCTGAGTCATCAAAATTTCTAAATCTGGTCAGTTCTTAGCCCTAGAGTCCCAAGAGTGCCATAAGATAGATCCTGGCAGGGCAGTGGCCAGAGGGGCTGGTCTGAACAGGGTGACAGAAGCCCTGATATCTCAGGGAAAAGCACTCAGCGTAAGCCAGGGTCGACCTTGTCCAGAAGGAAGTTTTCCTGGGCTCAGTTCCCACCCTCGTGGTCACATCACCGTGACACAGCAGGAAGTGGCCTCCCCAGAGCCCAGGTCTCTCACAGGAAACTGTTGTCAGAGGCTTCCACATGGGCCAGCAGTCCCTGCACATTGGGTTAGCAGCAGCATTCCAATCCACAGGATTTGTTCACAGGCTGGAATGCTGGCCTCCGGGCTGGGCTATGGTGCTTCCTCTACTTGGTCCTGATGCTTGTGGTGATACCTTGTGGTGGTGCCATAAATCAGCTCTGCTCTGTGCTTTCCCCGAGAGATTCCCAAATGAATTGCCACCCAAGCAGGCAACGTGAGATACCTCCTTTCAGATGTCACGTACTAGATGGAAGTTTGTTCTTAGTAGAGGGGGTGAATAGCAATGTCAGGCTATGGTGTTGGAGTCTATTCAGTTTCCCACACTTGACCCACATGTCAGTCATGAGCTAAACCTCAGAGGCTGTCTCCTCAGTGTTAGTGGTTATTTTTCCTTGGCTAGAGGGAAGAGCAAAGGAATGGGAACCCAGAAGCTGTCACGTCAGCTGTAGGTTTGCACACCCAGTGCTTGATGTTAGGCAAACCACCTCATTTCTCGGGGTCCTCGGCTTCCTTAAAAGTTTATTCTCTTAATTGGACAATTTATTAGCTGACCTTCCTTGCAGCTACCAATCCAAGAGCAATTGGTGTTCACAATAATGATCCTTCAACACTACAAGACCCTAAGACACAAGTGAACACCCTATAATCTTAGGGCTGCATGTGTTTTATTTATTCAGACTTGTTAAAACCTGGTGATCCCTGTGCATCACTTATGGAGACTCTAGTAACCGGCGTGGTGAACAGCCACGATAGAACATGGAATGTTAAGCAAATTCCTCATTCTTTATTTTGAGGATGATGCCGTGAAATGTGTAGCAAGAAAACTAGCAGGGCTGAAACAATACACACAGGAACATGGGCTTGTCATGGGCACTCCTAGGAAGACGGCTGTAGGCATGGGACAAAGGCTTTAGGCTGTAGAACCCAATGCTATGTGAGGCTCTATCTTTTTGCCCCACAGACTTACACAACTTCTGTGGCTGAAGAAGGCTCTCACCAATTCACTTTTCTGTGAATTGTGCAGTCACTTTCCAGTTGTCCTGTCTCATGGCTTTCCCTTTAATGTCCTGCTTCCTCTGTCCAGTTGCATTTAGCCCATGCTAAATGCACTTCTCCACAGGGCACATGAAGATGTGTTACAATGAGGCCATGACTTAGCCACTGGGTGGGCTGTGGGTCAACCTAAAACTCAAACTACACATGAAGATAAATGTGATTTGGGAGACAGACATGTGTCTCAAAACCACTATGCCATAGACTCGGGCATGTTTTGGAGTGTGATGTTTCATTCTTACTGTGACAGAATTTTAAATGGGACTTTACCTGTGTTTTCTGAGTTACACCTGAGCGCCCAAGGTGACAACTCCACTTTCTAAAGAAACTTCCAGGCCATCCATATTGCTAAGAGGTGGTTCTACCATAGTTCTATGGTTCTTGTCCCACCTCTAGCCTATACATAAAAGAAGGCTAGAGCTTGATCAAGGATGCTGAGGAGTAAAGATTTCCTTGAAGTGACTTAACAGTGTCCTGAGTTTTCTTTTCCCTTCTCATGGGGTTTCAGGGAAAGTGCTTTCTTGCCCCTTCTTCAAGCCAATACAGAGATTCTGTTGCCCTGGTGCTGCTGGAAGGCCACAGCAGAGCAGGATGGAAGAGTCCCTTGGAATTTGTAGAGCAAATACACCAGTGCCTGAATTGCCTCCAGAAAATTCTAAAAGAGAGAAGGCCACTAGTGCCGTTTACTAGAGTCAAAAGTGAACAAGGCACTGAAGTTGGGCAAGCTACTCTTTCAACAGTGACTGAGCAAGGTTGCTTTCTCCTGGGGCTAGCACAGATACTGCAGAAGATGATTGGTCTTGAATTGTCTTGAGAGGATCCTTCCTATATGTCTGCCCAGCTGGGGCAAATTAACCCCAGCACAAACCACTTGGTGCAGGCAGTGGCTTGCCAGGAGACAGAGTTTGCCAGCCAGAGACTGCATGGCCCATGTCAGAAAAAAGATTGCAGTATCTGTGGTCCCCACCAGAGCACGGACTCAGAAGGACCTGCAATTGAGAACGAGAGGCACCATCTGGGCACCTTCCAGGCAGAGTGCACTCACATCTAATTCCAGCAGCTCCAGCCCATAACAAAACACTTTGCTCTTTTCCTTTAATTTTCCCCTCTTTTGATCCCAACCATGGAGGGAAAAGAAGCGATAGACAGAGAGCTAGAGGGGAGACAGAAAAAAACAGAAAGGAAAGTGAAGTCCTCCTCTATGCAGGTTGCCAAACTGAGATCAAGCCTGATGGGGCAGAAAGAAAAAATAATCGTTTGAAGTGGATAAGTTGAAGTTTTGGTTTAGTTTGGATTTAATCCCTGAAAATTAAGAACGTTCACACATGAAACTGATCTGAAAAGCACAACGATCTGCTAATGACATCATCCAGGGCAGGGGGATCTGACGGTCTATTTGATGGGTAGCAATGAAAGGAATGTAAAGTTTGCTTTCTGATTCAACCTCTTCAATAAGCTGGTCACATTACAATTTTGGACTCAGACTTCTGATTCTGGGAAGAGAATAAATGTATTTTCCTCCATTCCTCTTGCTTGGTCCAACTAAAAACCCTGGATATTATGCGTAAAACAACAACAAAAAAGACCCTAAAAGGGTGAGAGAAAAGGGAGACAGACTAGGGACCTCATGATCCAAAAAATGACACAGAGTTGAGTTGCCTAGGCTTGCTTTCTGCCTCACATATCCCAGACTGGGTGCTGGAGAAGCCAGCAACAGGGGAACACCAATGGTGCAGACATAAAAAAACCCAACAAAAGCCTGCTCTCTCTAGCCAAAGTACTGGGAAAAGAGCAACCTAGAAAGCTACAATAAAGCTTATAGACAGAAACTGCTCTGCTCCAGTCAAATAGCAGAGGAAAAACTGATTCTCAACCCCAAAAACACCAGCAAAGATCAAGTGGCGAGCCTAGGCTTCCACCCTCTCTGGGATGTAATGAGGTGCCCCAGCTTCCCCCACCTGCTGTTGGGGTGGCGCCTGAGAGGGCTAACTAGGGAGCTGGCATTTTCATCTCCACCTACTACATTTAAAAAGAGGAAAAGCCTCAGCTAAATAGTTTAAGTTCCCGTATCAATAATCTGGAAAAAGAAAAGCAAAACAACCCAAAGAAGGTGAAGTGAAGGAAGGAAATAATAAAGATAACAGATATTAATGAAACTGAAAACAGAAAAACAATAGAGGTAGTCAACAAAACAAAGACCTAGTTCTTTGAAGAGAGGAATAAAATTGGCAAACCTCTAGCAGGACTGACAAAGAAAAATAGAAGACACAGACTTCTAATATTAGGAAAAACAGGGGGCATCACTATAGACCTTGCACACAGGATGATAAAGGAGTATCACAAACGATTCTATCTCTACAGATGTAAATCTCATGACTGAGGTGAAATGGACCAATTCCTCAAAAAGCACAAACCACCAGAACTCACTCAACATTAAATATATAACTACTAAGGAAATCGAACTCATAATTTGAAATTTTACAAAAAAAGAATCTGCAGACCCAGATGGTTTTACCAGAGAATTCTACCAACTGTTTAAAAAGGGATCAAATCACTTTTACAAAATGGCTTCTAGAAAACAGAAGAGGAGGAAATACTTCTTAATGTGTTTTATAAAGTTAGTATTAATAGGATACTAAAATCAGACATTGACAATTGACAGTGCAAAAAAACAGATCAATATACCACATGAATTTTAGAGGCAAAAATCTTTAACCTCTAAAACTTTTAAAAATGTTAGCAAATAGAATTTAGCAATATATAGACAAAATTATACTCCATGACCAAGTAAGTTTTGTCTAAGGGATTCAAGGCTGGTTCATTATCTGAAACTCTATCAACATGATTCACCTTAATAAGCTAACAAAGAAAAATCGCATGAGCATCTTAATTGATAGAGAAAAAACATTCAGCAATACTCAACACTTATTAATGATAAAAACTCTGAGAAAACTATGAATAGAGAGGAACTTCTTTACTTTGATAAGGAGCACTTACAAAAAATCCATAGTTAACATTAATCTTAATGAAGAAAGAATGAATGTTTGCCCTCTATGATCCAGAGCAAGGCATGGTTGTCCTCTCTCATCGCTTTTATGCAACGTATTGCTGGAAGTTCTAGCCGGTGCAATAGGCAACAAAAAGAAATAAAAGACATGCAGATCAGAAAAAAGAAAGAAAACTGTCCCTCTTGCAGATGACATGATTATCTATGCGGAAAATCTTAGGGAATCAGCAAAGCGAACCTCCTAGAGCCAGTAAATGTGATCAGCAAGGTCATGAGTTACAAGATAAACATTAAAAAATTAACTGTATTTCTGTATACTAGCAGTGAACATGTAGATAATGGAATTAAAAATACATTATCATGTACAACCACTCAAGAAAATGGAGTACTTAGGTGTAAGTCTGACAAAACATGTACAGGACTTGTGTGCTAAAAACTACAAAACACTGATGAAAGAAAGCAAAGAAGATTTAAATAAGTGGAGAGACATACAGTGTTCATGAATTGAATGACGCAACTTAGTAAAGATGTCAGTTTTCCAAAATTGATATACACGTTTAATATAATTTATATCAAATTCTCTGCCAGAATTTTTGTAGATATGCAGAATATTACTCTAAAATTTATTTTGAAATTCAAAGGAACTGGGATAGCTAAAACCATTTTTAAAAAGAATAAAATATAAGGAATCCATCTACACAATTTTATGACTTATTATATAGCCAGCCTAATCAAGACTGTGAAGTGTCGGTAGGAGATTAGATACATAGATCAACAGATGAGAAAAGAAAACCCAGAAATAGACCCACACTAACATGTCCAACTGATTTTTGACAAAATTGCAAAAGCAATCCAATAAAGAAAAGATAGCCTTTTAAACAATGCCGGGGCAATTGGTCATCCATGGGCAAAATAATGAACTCTGACCTAAGTCTCACAACTTATACAAATGTAAGTTCAAAACGGATCAAGTTCTTAAACGTAAAACACAAAACTATGAAACATTTATTTTAAAAAAGAGAAAAATCTTTGGAATTTGGGGCTGGGCCAAGTTCTTAGACTTGACACTAAAAGCATCAACCATACAAGAAAATTGATAAAATGGGTTTTATCAAAATTAAAAACTTTTCTTTGCAAAATACTCTATAGAGGGAATTAGTGATGAGCTGCAGACTGGGAAAAAATATTTGCAAACCACATATGCAACAAAGTAGTAGTGTCTTAGAATATATGAGGAACTCTCAAAACTTAGAATATATAAAGAATTCTCAAAATTTAATAGTAAAAAACAAAACAATGCAATTAGAAAATAGGCAAGATATATGAACAGATATTTCACTGAAAAGGATATACAGATGACAAATAAACACATGAAAAGTTGTTCAATATCATAAGTTATTAGAGAAATGAAAAAACCACAGTGAGATACCACCACACACCTATCAAAATGGCTAAAGTAAAAAATAATGACAACATCAAATGATGGTGAGGATATGGAGAAACTGGGTGGCTTAAACATTACTGGTGGATATGTAAAATGGCACAGTTGCTCTGGAAAACAGTTTGGAAGTTTCTTAAAAAACTAAATATGAGCCACCATACAGCCCAGCAATTGCAATCTGGGCATTTACTTCAGAGAGAAGAAAACTTACTTTCACACAAAAGCCTGTATACAAATCTTCATAGAAGCTTCATTCATAATAGTAAAAAACTGGAAACAGCCCAGATACCTTTCAACAGGTTAATGGTTAAACAAATTGTGGTATATCCGTACCACAGACTACCATTCAGTAATAAAAAAAGAAATGAATTATTAAGATATGCAACAAACTCGATGAATCTCCAGAGAACTTTGCCGAGTAAAAAGTGCCAAAAGCAAAAGGTTACATATCATGTGATTTCATTTATATAACATTCTTGAAATGACAAAATTACAGTAATGGAGAAAAGATGGGTGGTTTCAGGGGTGAAGGAGTGGGTGGGGGTGGGAAAGAAGTGAATGTGGCTATGAAAGGGCAAACTGAGGGAAACTTTTGGTGATGGAAATATTCTGTATCTTGAGTATATCAATGTCAATATCTTGATTGTGATATTGTACTGTCATTTCCAGGATGTCACCATTGGGGAAAACTGGGTAAAGGGTACATGGGCTCTGTCTATAGTATTTCTTACATTATTATAAATCTATAATTGTCTACATTATTTACTACTAGTTGAAAATTAACTCAAAATAAAAAGTTTAGCTAAAATAAACTTGCAATCTCAGAATTTAAGCAGCTCTATCTGGGAATTATCTGAAAGACAACAGTGGCTTTTACATTTTCTATATGAGGCCATGTCTGGTGCCTCTTCTTGATACACCCATGATATCCTGTGCTTAGCTCTATCCCTGCACTGATCTTATTTTCCTACAATTAGCAGTTTACATGTCTGTTTCCTCCACGGAGCCCTGTCTTTTTTAAGTGCATGGACTGTGTCTCAATCATCTTATACTTAGCATGTATTCATTTGTTTGTGGACATTGGGTCTGGCACATAGTAGGTGCACAACAAATGTGTGTTGCATGGTCAAGTTAATGAATACCTACGTGGCAGCAACAGGTGGCATATTTTTGTCTGGGACTGACTTGTGTGCTGGCTTCAGGAAGACATCTAAGAACAAAGAGAAGATTGAATAAAATGGAGACGGTAACTGCTACTACACTCCTTAGGTACTGCAAAATGCTTGTCAGAGCATCAAGAATTTAGACATGTCAAACTGAGTTGATTGCAAAGGTAAAATGTAAAGCAGGCAAAGATTCTCTCTGGGGTCTTTTGATTCTCTTTAATTTACTCTGTTTTTCTTCTTGAGCATTCTCACATTCACGCCCAGCCCCTATACACAAATAAGTTTTCCAGTTTTGGAGCTTTCCTATGGCTATTCAAAATTTCCTACTAAGATGCTTCAGCCAGATAATGCCCCAAAATGCATCTTTCCTGTTCCCATCATTAGACATTGAACTGTCCGGCCTTCACTTTTTCAGGTCCCAATTCTTTGACAGAAACAGTTTGAATTGAAATGGGATTATCTGATAAATGACAATATATGAGTCTGTCTCTTTTTAACAACCCATAATAGTAGGTGTCATGCTATTCTTTTTTTTAATTTTATTATTATTATACTTTAAGTTTTAGGGTACATGTGCACAACGTGCAGGTTTGTTACATATGTATACATGTGCCATGTTGGTGTGCTGCACCCATTAACTCCTCATTTAGCATTAGGTATATCTCCTAATGCTATCCCTCCCCCCCTCTCCCCACCCCACAACAGGCCCTGGTGTGTGATGGTCCCCTTCCTGTGTCCATGTGTTCTCATTGTTCAATTCCCACCTATGAGTGACAACATGTGGTGTTTGGTTTTTTGTCCTTGTGATAGTTTGCTGAGCATGCTATTCTTTAACCTGGAGCATGAAAAAAGTGGGAATTTAAGACCCTCATGCCAGGTCCAGTTAGTGGGTACAGTGAGTTTGACTTTGCTGTTTTAGCTCCAAGGGTGGTTTCAATACAAATAAGCATTATAGCTACATTGATGAATTTTTATAAGAAAAGTATTTTCCATTACAAACTCTATTAAGTTTCTTATAATAGTTGTTTCTTATAACAAATGTTAAGCTATTACAAAAATTTCATGATTCATTTTGTATTTTGAAAGTATTTTTATTAAAATTAAGTATTTCTATTTAAATATTTTATAAATATTTGATTTGCTAATTAGTTTTTGTTCATTATTTTCTGATTATAGCTTCTGTCATTTTTATTTTTTGGTGGCTTCTTCCTTATGTCAAATTTGCAGATGTAATTTGTCTGACAGATACAATTTTTCCCTTAGTTTTTCCCAGTAACAAATTTTGCTCTACAGAGTTTAGCCAACATCAGTTTTAGCCTCAGGCATAGTAAGGACTTAATAAATGTTAGCTGTTACTAGCATGCATTCTTTCAAACAGTGTTCTTTACAAATTTGTTTTAATATATAATTATATACCATAAAATATCAATGTGTACAGTTTAGTGGTTTTTAGTATATTCACAAAGTTTTGTAGTCATCACTACTACCTAATTCCAGAACAATTTGTTCTTCTCGAAAGAAACTCCATACTCTTTAGTGGTCAATTTTCATTTCCTCCTCTCTCTAGCCCTGGCAACCACTAACCTATTTTCTGTTTCAATGGATTTGCCATTCAGGACATTTAATATAAATAAAATCAGGCAATATGTGGCCTTTGTTTCTGGCTTTTTTCATTTAGTATAATGTTTTTAAGGTCTATGTATGTATTAGTGTTTCATTCCTTTTTATGGCTGAATAATATTCTATTGTATGGATATACTGCATTATATATTCATTGAATGGATATACAATTTTGTTCAACCCTTCATCAAATAATAGATATTTGAGCTGTTTCCACTTTTTGGGTATTGTGAATAATATTGATATAAACATTTGTGTACAAGTTCTTGTGTTGAAATGTTTTCTGTTTTCTTGGGTATTTGCCTAAATGTGGAATTGCAGGATTAGATACCCACGAGCAATGTATGAGAGTTCCACTTTCTCTTCATGCTAGTCAATACTTAGATTGTCTGTCTTTTTTATTGTACCATCCTGGTGGGTGTGAAGTGGAATCACGTTGTGGTTTTAATTGATATTCTTTTAATGATTAATGATGTTGGGTATCTTTTTATGAGTTTATTAACCATCTGCATATCTTTTTTGGATAAATTTCTATTCAAGTTCATTTTCTTAATTAGGTTATTTGTCTTTTATTTGTTGAATCATAAATGTTCTTCAAATATTCTAGAATAGGTCCGTCACTAGATATATGATTTGTAAATATATATTTTTTTCTATTCTTTGAGTGTCTTTTACTTTCTTGATGGTGCCCTTTGAAGCACAAAAGTTTTTAATTTTTGATGAAACCCAGTGCATTTTTTTGTGTGTGTATGCTTGTATTTTGGATGTCATGTCTAAGACCATTGTATCATCCAAAGTCACAAAGATATGCCTATTTTTTTTCTAAGAATTTTAGAGTTTTCACTCTTACATTTAGGTCCGTGATCCATTCCTAGTCAGTTTTTGTATATGGCTTGAGGTAGGGGTCCAGTTTCATCCATTTGCATGTGAATATCCAGTTGTCAGAGCTTCATTAGTTTAAGATGATTCTTTCCACATTGAATTGTCTCTTTGCTGAAAATCAATTGACCATAAACTTAGGATTTATTTCTAGACTATCAATTCTGTTCCACTAAGCTATATATCCATTCTTATACCAGATCACTCTGTTTTAATTACTATAGCACTGTAGTAAGTTTTGAGATTGGGAAGTATGAGTTCTCCAACTTTGTTCTTTTTCAAGATTGTTTTGGTTATTCTAGGTTCCTTGATATCTCTATAAATTTTAGGATCAGCTTGGTAATTCTTGGAAACCAAAAAAGAAAGCTAGGATTTTGATAGGGATTATGTTGAATCTGTACATCAGTGTGGGGAGTATTGCCATATCAACAATATTAAAATTTCTGACCATGAGCATGGGATGGCTTTCCATTTATTTAAGGCTTCTCTAATTTCTTTCAATGATGTTTTATAGTTTTCAGTGTACAAGTCTTGCAGTTCTTTTGTTTCTTTGCAAATTAGGTAAAAACACTAATGAAATTTGGTTTCTAGTTGATGCATGAGAAAATTTTTCTCATATTTGTGAGGCAGAATGAGGCAGACTGAGAGAGAGGCTAGAGCTATTGCGGTCAATCAACTGCTCAGTTCCTGAGTGTCTTGCAGTGTCAAAGCAAAGTGAGAATATTTGGGGGCCGCAAAGGCAGAGTGCTAACTCACTTGATGAAAACTGTCCATCTTCCACAGTGAGATGGAATAAGGCAAGGGAGGCCTCTGACACACCTCAAACTGCACCTCGTGGTAAATCCCTGGCCTCCCAGGTAAGAGACTGGTCCTTTCCACAGTAATCTCCCAGAGGAATGCCAGTATTTCTGTGAACTTTTCTGTTCTGTAATCATCTGAATTCAGAGTCACTAATAATATGGGATAGGAATGTTTCCTCCAATTATTCCAGACCTGCCAAGCTGCAAAAGACCACTGATGCCAAAAGTTCTCATTTAATCAACAAACAGTACTCCAGGAATGGCCTGTCTATCTCTCCCAGTGCTGTGGCAAAGGGGAAGAAAACAGCAATGGCTGGGAAAAAACCAACACTGAGGACTCTCTGGAGTCTGAAACAGTTGTGGAAAAAATTCTGAGAAATTCCCCTGAAAAGAATGGGAAAGAATCCACATGAAAGATTTTATTGCTTATGACAAACTCCGGCTGCTCACATAAATTTTTTTTACAAACTAGACTAACATTATAAAAATGCAATATATATATATATATATATATCTCACATACGCATGCACTTGCACGCACACACACACACACACACACCTTGACATATTGACTAGGCTGCATTCATAATGTGCTTCTCAAAAGAAAATACTGATTTCACTCTAAACATCTCTAAACGCAAATGGAAACACAATTTCAGGAATCAAGTCTTCAAAAACCTTCATGTTTTGAGGTGTGCTCCCCATCCTTCCCTATTTCATTTAGGATACTTCTATCATCAGAAACTAGAGCAGACACTCATATTTAATTTAGTTTACAGATGTGCTACTCCTTAATTTACGAGAATATTTTTGCTGCCACCCTTTTAAAGAGTGGTACTTCCTGAGATGCCCAAGTTATTTTCTATTTATTACATCATTTGTCTACCCAACATTCCTGACAGTAGATCAAAAAGAGGACAGACAAGGAAATAAGCAGGTTTATTCTCTTCATTATACAGCTAAGGAAACTGAGATGGGGGAAGGAAATGGTTTTCCATCCATCATCAATTCTTTCACTCATCAGTTACTTATGAGAGTTGTTTTGTATTATGCCTAGCCTCTAGATGCTAGGGTTACAGTCAAGGGGGAGTCACATTGTTATTTTCAAAATACAAATCTGGGCTGGGAGCGGTGGCTCACGCCTGCAATCCCAGCACTTTAGGAGGCCGAGGCGGGCGAATCACGATGTCAGGAGATCGAGACCATCCTGGCTAACACGGAGAAACCCCATCTCTAATAAAAACACAAAAAATTAGCAGAGCATGGTGGCGGGTGCCTGTAGTCCCAGCTACTCGGGAGGGTGAGGCAGGAGAATGGCATGAACCTGGAAGGCGGAGCTTGCAGTGAGCCGAGATCAAGCCACTGCACTCCAGCCTGGGGGACAGAGCAAGACTCCGTCTCAAATAAAAATAAAAATAAACAAAATACAAATCTGATTGTGTCACATTTTTGCCTAAATTATGTCACGGATTTGCCACAGGTCTCAGAATAAAGATTAAAATTCTTATGATGGCTTATGAAGTTTACACGGTCTTACTCCTATATCTGCTTCCAGCCTTATCTAATTTCTGCCTGCCACAGTCAACTAAAGCTTCAACTTTTTCACCCATTAGGTTTTTATGTTTTTGGTTTTTTGAGGAGATGTATTTATTTAATTTTAATTTTGATTTTTTTTCAGAGTTGTGAAGCCATATAGTTCAAGGAGTTGATATTTTTAATAGTCTTATTATGAAAAATAGTGCTAGAATAACTGGTTAGCCATATGCAGAAGATTGAAACTGGACCTCTTTCTGACACTATATTCAAAAATCAACTCAAGGTGGATTAAACACTTAAATGTAAATCCTGAAACTGTAAAAACCCTGGAAGACAACCTAGGCAATACCATTCTGGACATAGGAAGCGGCAAAGATTTCATAACAAAGACACCAAAAGCAATTGCAACAGAAGCAAAAGTTGACAAATGGGATCTAATTAAACTAAACAGCTTCTGCACAACAAAGAAAACTATTAACAGAGTGGACAGACAACCTACAGAATGGGCTTTTTTGTGTGTGTGTGAAATGGAATCTCACTCTGTGCCCAGGCTGGAGTGCAGTGGTGCCATCTCAGCTCACTGCAAGCTCCGCCTCCCTGGTTCA
The DNA here is from genome assembly GCF_000001405.40 of Homo sapiens. Taxonomy (NCBI): domain Eukaryota; kingdom Metazoa; phylum Chordata; class Mammalia; order Primates; family Hominidae; genus Homo; species Homo sapiens. The sequence goes on along the minus strand of NC_000001.11, from coordinate 115,414,314 downwards.
AGCAATTCCCCTGCCTCAGTCTCCTGAGTGGCTGGGGTAACAGGCACACTCCACCAAGCCTGGCTAATTTTTTTGTATTTTTAGTAGAGACGGGGTTTCACCATGTTGGCCAGACTGGTCTGGAACTCCTGACCTCAGGCAATCCACCCACCTCGGCCTCCCAAAGTGCTGGGATTACAGGCGGGAGCCACAGTGTGTGGCCACTTTTTTTAAACTAGAAGTAATCTTAGAGCTCATTTCTCCCTCTCCTGTAATCTCAGAGATATTTATACCTAGGTTCAAGGTCACATGGCAAGTGGACCTCAGAGGGGGACTAAAACGTGGTTCTCCTCAATCCTTTTCCCACACTCTTCAGAGTATGCCACACTGTAAACTAACTTTCAATTAAGATGAATATAGGACTCTGCATTTGTATTTTCTTAAGATGACAGAAACTCGCCAACAATAGACATTAAGACATTGTTACCACAAACAACAGCAACAGCAATACTTGTGGCTACTGTTTAATCCTCACACATGTCAGTCACCATGCCAGGCATTATGCATGTTCTGTGTCACCTTGGTTTTCACATTGACTCTGTGGAGTAGACATTATCATTAACCCTATTTCCACATAAGGAAATTGGGTCTTAGGAAGTTTAAGCTGTTTTCCTGAATGAGCGCTACTAGGCATATCTGGGCAGATGTGGTGGAGCCAGGATTTGAACTCAACTCTATCTGGCTTTGAACTCAACATTTTTCTTCTTTAATTGACATATTGATTCTGTATTTCTCATAACCATGATTTTCACCAATTCTTGGAACCTGACACTATCTGACTGCTGTTAGCCTCATAGATCTGTCATGAGAATTAAACAAATAAATACGAATGTAAACACTACGCCTTACAAGAGTGCTTGGCTTGTGGTGAGTGCCCAGCAAATGTTAGCTGCCCTTATAATCCTCTGCAGCCTCCTCCTTCGTCTGCTGTAAACCCCTTACCTTCCTCATTGCTGGCAAACTTAGCTCTTTTCTTGGTCTTACCCTTCTTTTCTTTGATTTTTCACATGAAACATTTCCACTGATTGACTTTCTTACCATTGTCCACTTGGAGTTTAAACTTTATTCTCTCATCTCCTCCTTCTCCTTCTCCTCCTCCTTTTTCTCCTCATTCTCCTCCTCTTTCTTCTTCTCCTCCCTCCTCCTCCCTCCTCCTCCTCCTCTTCTTCTTCTTCTTCCATCTGCCTTCCATTTTTCACTGGCTACAAATGGCCTTTGAATGGTCCCATTTGGGCTCTGCTCTCCTGGGGTGTTCCTCATCTTACCTCTTCACATCAGTTTTTCAATTCACAACTCAAACCAGTCCCTTCCAGTAAGTCCTTCCTGGGCTAGGTAAACACTCCTCACATCCACAGAAAGAAAAGAATCCAAGTGCCCTTCCCCCAGGGGAGGTTCACCCATTCTTCAGCTGCCTTCCCAGCCTTGAGAGATTTTACAGCTCTCAGTTTTCTAATCTGTAAAATAAGGGCACCTCACTACCTAGCCCTAAGTTTCTTGGCTTTCGTAAATGCTTTTGTTTTATTTCCAATGTTAGATCCTGCTCTCAGCTGGGAGCCTGGGGTTTCTGCACAACCCACAAAAACTGCCCAAGATTGCTGAGCCTTCTTGGGGCCCTTTCCTTTGGTTTTATTCCTCCTTGAAAAAGAAGTAAAATTAGTTAGCTTTAGAAACTGTTGGTAGAAGACAATGTGTTTATTACTATGAGGAAAATCATATCAAATTAAGACCATCTTTCATTCATCATTCTGGGAATACCCATTTTTGTGGGGAAGAGTGACTAACACACACACACACATTCACTCTCTGCAATGAAATTAGAAAAACAAACATGTTGGCAAGAAGTGGATCTTTAGGGTTGACTTCTCTTCCTTTACTGTACCTCTTCCTTCTCTCCCCACCTCTAGATCAAGTGATTTCTCCTCTATTTTTAAAATTCTGTTATATCCTGTCTCCTTGAGCACCACTGTTTTTTGAAATCTTCCACCCTCACTATCATTTCAAATACCTATCCCCAAGAAAGGGTGACAAGTGTAAGAAGGGGTTAATGGGAATATGAAGGGAGAGGAAAGATAAATCACATATTAGATTAAACACAATGTATTTCAAGCCTTTAAATAGTCACTTACTACATGTTATTTGATTTAATAACAATAATAATTCTGCAAGGATTACTGTTATCACCATTTTATAGTTGAGGAAATGGAGACTCAGAGAGGCTAAATAAACTGTCTATTGTTGCACAGTTGATTTAGCCAAGTTAGGCTTTAGCCAAGGTCTGCTTGACTCCAAAGCCTGTGCTGTTTTTTCTTTGCTCTATTGATTGTCCGTGACTGCTAAACAAATTACTAGCAAGACTTAGTTGCTTAAAACAACAAACATTTATTATTGCACAATTTCTGTGAGTCAGGAATTGGGTGTGACTTAGCTGGGTGCTTTGAACTCAGGGTTTCCCACAAGCCTTCAAACAAAGTGTTGGCTGATGCTGCCTCATCTATCTCAAGGCTCAACTCAGGGAGGATCCTCTTCCAAGCTCATGCATGTGCTGTTGGCAGGCCTCAGCTTCTCATTGGCTGTATGCTGAGGACATAAATTTTTTGCCATGTGAACCTCTCCATAGAGCACCTCACAACATGGCACCTGGCTTCCCCTGGAGTGAGTAACTAAGAGGGGGAGAGAAGGCACCCAAGATGGAAGCCACAGTCTTTTTTATAACCTGAAATTGAAAGTGACATCTGTCACTTCTGTTGTATTCTGTTCCTTAGAAGTGAGTCAATAAGTCCAGCCCACACTCAAGGGGAGGGGAGCACACAAAGGCATGAATACCAGGAGGTGGGAATTGCCTTGTAGAAATTATCTTTCTGAACTCATTTTTATGTTCTAACATATTCTCTGCTTTACAAAAACTGTGTACTGTGTATGTTTAAACCATCCCTTAGGCAAAACTAAGCATTCTACTTGTGTTTAGCTCCTCACATGAACATTGCTTTACTAAAATTTTCAGGAAAGAATTTCAGAGAAGTTCACATGCACTTTGAACCAGACAGTTTAAAGTAAGTTTGAAAGATGTAGTTGTGCATATATTTCCCATTATACACTATATATTACATATTATATAATGTTATACATATTATATATAAAATATTGTTTTGGGGTGTGTGTCTATCAATATATATATATACATCTATATACACAATATTAAAAAACAACATATAAGCTGCAATGTATAACATATAATAATAAAATAATAGGGATAATTAGAATCTGGCACAATGTTCTTTGCACTTATACAAGTCTTATTTTGCAAAGATTTCTATAATGTTATGATTTGGATAAGAGCCAAAAGAAGTATCTCAATGGCCACTTGACCATGTGTGCACATCTGTCCCCTCATTAAGAGCATCTTATTAATGTCCACAATTAGCCAAGAACATTTACTTACCACATACTAGGAGCAGAGTCCTTTAGTGAAAATAGTAAATAAAACTTTTAGTAACTCCAAAGCATTATAACCCAATTGATGAGGCTGAATTATACAAACCTCATTGAGCCTAATGAAAAACGTGATATGGATAGATAGCAGAGCGCTTGAACAAGGCCTTCGGGGTCCCAGAGACCTGGCTTCAAAAGTCTGCTCTACTGGTTGGGGATTTTTGGGTAAATATTCTTGTCTGAAAATAGGTATAGGGCACCTGATAGGGCAAAAATGATGAAAGACAGCACAGTCAAGTGGTTCAGATGCATGAATTCTGGCACCAGATGCTTGGGTTCAATTCCTGGCTCTGCTACTTACTATGGACCAGTCCTTAACTTTTCTGCCTCAGCTTCCCCATCTGAAAAATGGAGATAATTATGGCACCTACGTCATAGGTCTGTTGGGAGAATTAATTAAGTTAATATGTGCAAAGCACTTAGAACAGTACTTGGCACTCAGTAAGCATTGTCAATAAAGAAAAATGAAGCCATTTGTGTAAAGCTCTTACCAGAATACCCGGCATAAATAAATTAATACATTATTTTCAATGGTTTAACCTTTAATTTCTTCATCTGTAAAATGGGAATATTAATGATTGTCTTATACAGTTCTTAAGAAAATATAATAAAATAAAATAAAACAATATATATAAAGCACTAACAGTTTGTGGTCCAAATAAGGACTTAGTAAATGGTAGCTATTTTTATTATGAATATTCACAAGCATTTATAGAGCTAGCAATAAGTGGGAGTTGAGAATTCCAAATAACCTAGTGCAAAACGTCTCCCAAACCAGGAAGTAAATAGCTCCAAGTAAGCGCCTGGCTCTGAGATTACTACAAGATGTTTCTTTGCTCTCTTAGCCTGAGTTCCTTCCGGGCTATCTGTATCTGGGGAATTGTGAGTCTGAGAATGGTTTCTTCTGGTTTCTGCTTGGTATTTTAATTGGCATATTAAGTTTTTTATCTACTTCTCCTCTATGTTTTTAATAATACCCCTTTGTGGTTGCAGGCTAAGTGCAGAAAGAACGTATTAGAAATAGCTCATAGAGATAAAGGCCTTAAACACACTGAGGGCTAGTAGCCTGGGATCATCTAATTGCAAGCTGAGGGAGCTGGCTGCCAACTCCATGAGGTGTTTTTGGAGGGCTGCATTCACTGGGTGAGGAGATGGGGAGGCTCGGGGGCACCCAAAGGACCAGCTGAAATTCTCCTGTTCTGATTCTCAAGGACGGCCACTGGGCCTTGTCTCTTTTCCTGAGAGCCCCAGTCAAGAACTCTTAATGTCTCGGGCCTCTCCTTCAAGGCTGAAAATGACATTTAATAGGTAACACCGGTTTGGGTAGAAAGGAATGCATTTCTCAAAAACATAATCCTGTCTTTGGCCCTGCTAATGATAGCCACAAACCAAGGAGGAAGAAAAACATTTTTAAACCTAATTCTGGGAAGTAGATTGCCCCCTGACCTCCTCCCCAGGGCCAGAACACCAACTATCAGACTGAAGGCAAACATGCTGCAAAACAAGACAGTGGGGAGACACCACTTCATGACTAATTGGCTTTAGGAACATGGAATAAAGGAAAATATATAAACAACTATCTGAGCTTTAAAAAATAAATACTACTAAGGGCCATGGATTGCTCACATAATTTCACTTTTATTAGAAATACCAACCCCAGTGACTATCACTGTCCCACCCTAATGTTGAGTTCATTTGAGATCTAGTATTGTAAAAGATAAATCTTCAACTATATTCAAAATTTTACTGGTTTTTGGTCCCTCTTTCATTTTTTTTACCTGGTGGTTTCAGAGAAATCTCATCAGAGTTCACTTGGCAATAATTTGTGTATCTTAAATAAAGTAATTTTCATAAAAGTCCCAACTTTCAACACCTTTCAAATGGTGTTAGCTTGGCTTTAAACTCCTTAGTTAGAGAATCTCAGTAAGTTCCTGGTATCTGTTATCAACTCCCTGTGTAGGGATTAGTACTGTGTTTTCATGTGGGATATAAACATATCCGGATAATTCTCCTGAGCTTCACTTGTTGAAATTTGACATTTGTCCTATCATTTAATTATGGCTTAGCTCCCAGACAGCTTAGCTGGCACCTCTTTGACAGCTGCCTGCCCCTCCCACAACACACAAGACTCAGTCCTAGTCCCAATCCTTGCCTTAGCTAAGGAAGCAAAGCTAATAACAGAATACAGACTAGGCACCCTCCATCTTGAAAGATGAGATAGTCTTTGTGTGGGTTAGGGCTGTTACCTACAGAGAGGTCAAAGCATCAGATATTTAAGTTTTCCTACCTTGGCTCTGCAGGGCTTACAAATTTCTACCCCAACCCTTTCTCCTAGCCACTCCTCCCAGCCTACCATTTTGTCTTTCCTCACCGTCTGCTTGTCCTGCTTGCTCCCTCAAAATGCATCTTTTCTAGGGAGCATTTCCTCTCTTCAGTGTTGCCCAAACAGAAGCTGTTGCCCTCAAACTTAAAGACCCCACAGCTGAACACAGAAATAGAGCACTGGAATTAGTAGAAAAGACCAGAGAAGACAGAAAAGGATAGAAAGTCCTTATTTGAGATATTTGAGACATGAAGGAAACATACAGTGATCCTAGCAGTGAATTCCAGTTCATGTTAGAATCCTTGTTCCACTACCATAGAGTGTTTTCTCTCTCTGTAAAGTCAAACACTGGGTTGCATCCAGTAGGATGCTGGTAAATGTGTAAAAACTAGCTCTTTGGGGAAAGAAAAAGCACTGATTTGTAGCATTTGCTGATTTCCTTGGAATAAATGCTCCCTTCATGGTCAATGTCAAGATATCAAAGTGAAATTACTAACAAGGACATGGGAAGAGATGCACACAAGCAGCTTTTGACAGCCAGTACTAGCCAGGTCCAGCACAGGGGAGGGTTTATAGAGCAAACATTTCTTGAGCCTGAATCTAGAAAGATGATTAGGTATTTGTTGAGTAGGCAGAAAGGCAGGAAAAGAAGGCAAGAGGCAAGTATTTTTGGCAAAGGGTGAACAACTTTGGCTGCATTCTAAACGTATATGTGTGCAATGTGTATGCACACACTTGTGTGTGGCATGCATGGTAGTGGGGTGGACTGGGGAAAATAATCCCTCAAACAGGTCATCTGTGGCCCTAGCAATGAGCCTTAATCACCTACGTGATTCCCAGGACTCAATATAACAGTCTCCTTTCAGGACTATTGGTTCCAAATCAGGACGAAGGTCTTCGAACTGGACTCCTTTCAAGAAAGAGTTGTTTCAAATAGAGACATACCTCATTTTATTATGCTTTGCTTTAGATACTGCACTTTTACAAATTGAAGGTTTGTGGCAACCCTGCATCAAACAAGTCTATTAGAGCCATTTTTCTAACAGCACGTGCTCACTTATGTATCTGTGACACATTTTGGTAATTCTTGCAATATTTCAAGCTTTTTCATTATTATAATATCCTTTATAATGATCTGTGATCAGTGATCTTTGACATTACTTTTGTAATTGCTTTGAGGTGCCCATATAAGACAGCAAACTTAACTGATAAATGCGTGTGTTCTGACTGTTCTACCAACCAGTCATTCTCCCATTCTCTGTGGGCCCCCCTGTTCTCTGAGACAGAATAATATTAAAATTAGGCCAATTAATAACCTTACAATTGCTTCTAAGTGTTCAAGTGAAAGAGTCATATGTCTCTCATTTTAAATAAAAAGCTAAAAGTGATTAAGCTTAATGAGGAAATATGTTGAAAGCCAAAATAGGAGGCTAGACCTCTTCCACCAAACAATCAAGTTGTGAATGCAAAGGGAAAGTTCTTGAAGGAAATTAAAAGTGCCGCTTCAGTGAACACACGTATAAGAAAGCAAAACAGCTGCATTTCTGATACGGAGAAAGTGTTAGTGGTGTGGATGGAAGATTTAAACCAGCAACAACATTCCCTTAAGCCAAAGCCAAATCCAGAGCAAGCTGTAACTTTCTTCAATTCTGTAAAGACTGAGAGAGGTGAGGAAGCTGTACAAGAGAAGTCAGCAGTAGGAGGGGTTGATTCATGAGGTTTAAGGAAAGAAGCTGTTGCTATAACATGAAAGTGTAAAATGAAGGGGCAAGGGCTTATGTATAGGCTACAGCAAGTGATCCAGAAGATCTAGCGAAGACAATTAGTGAAGTTGCCTACACTAAACTACAGTTTTTCAGTGTAGATGAAATAGCCTTATACTGCAAGAAGATGCCATCTAGGGCTTTAGCTAGAGAGGAGAAGTCAACTCCTGGCTTCAAAGGACAGGAGAACTGTCTTGTTAGGGGCAGCAGCAGTGACTTTAAGTTGAAGCCAATGCTTATTTACCATTCCAAAAGTCCTGGGTCCCTTAAGAATTATGCTAAATATGCTCTGCCTGTGCTCTAGAAATGGAAGAACAAAGCCTGGATGATAGCACATCTGTTTACAGCATGGTTTAATGAATATTTTAATCCCACTGTTGAGACCTACTGCTCAGAAAAAAGGATCTTTTCAAAATATGACTGCTCATTGTCAATGCACCTGGTCACCCAAGAGCTCTGATGGAGATGTACAAGCCAATTCATGTTGTTTTCATGCCTGTTAAGACAGAATTCATTCTGTAGCCCATGGATCAAGAAATAAATATGGACTTCAAGACTTATTATTTAATAAATAAATTTTGTAAGGCTATAGCTTCCATAGATAGTAATTGCTCTGATGAATATGAGCAAACTCAATTCAAAACCTTATGGAAAGGATTCACCATTATAGATGCCATGAAGTACATTTGTGATTCATAAGAGGAGGTGAAAATATCAACATTAACAGGAGTTTGGAAGAAGTTGATTCCAACCTTCATGGTTGACTTTGAGGAATTCAAAACTTCAGTGGAGGAGGTAACTGCAGATGTGGTACAAATATTAAGAGAACTAGAATTGAAGTAGAGCCTGAAAATGAGACTGAATTGCTGCAATCTCATGATCAAACTTGAACAGATGAGCAATTGCATGTTATGGATAAGCAAAGAAAGTGGTTTTTTGAGATGGAACCTATTCCTGGTGAAGATGCTGTGAACATCTTTAGTGACATCAAAGGATTTATAATTTTACATAAACCTAGTTGATAAGGCAGTGGCAGGGTTTAAGAGGGCTAAGTCAAATTTTGAAAGAAGTTCTACTGTGGGTAAAATACTATCAAATAACATTGCATAGTACAGAGGCATCTTTCATGAAAGGAAGAGTCAATAGATGGTGCAAACTTTATTGTTGTCTTCTTTTAAGAAATTGCCACAGCCATTCTAACCTTCAGCACCCACCTCCCCGATTAGTCAACAGCTATTAACATAGAGGCAAGACCCTCCACCAGCAAAAAATTATGACTCCTCTTAGACATGATACTACTGTGCACTTAATAGACTACAGTACAGTGTAAACATAACTTTTAAATGCACTGAGAAAAAAAAATGTGTGGCTCACTTTATTGTGATATTGACTTTATTATGATGGTCTGGAACTGAACTTGCAATATCTTCAAGGGATGTCTGTAATTCTTTGGTTACAATGGTCTGTGAAATAGTCATTATTCTGGGAGCCAACATCAATACGTTATTATAACAGAGAGTGGCCACATAACAGAGAACAGCCAAGCAAGGAAGAGGGAATTTCAGACTGAGAATCTGTTAAAGGTCATGCTGTGATTTGGTCTGATAGGAAATGGGGAGAGTTTAAAGGGTAAGAGTGATGCATTGATTTGCGTCAAAATAAGAGCTCTGTGTAACAGGAACTATTTCAAAGTGGTCTAATTACCAACTGTCTCCATCATATTAGCTTGCCCTCTAAAGGCTGCATTTCCTTTGCTAAATACAAGGGCAATTCAAACTATTGCTTTAAGGCAAGATGTTTATTATTCAGAATCTGAGCATGGTAGGTCCCAGCTCTCTAAATAAAATAAACAAATATTTACTGAGTGTCTCAGACCATGATATCAAGTTGATCCTTACTTTGGGCACAGCATCCCAGGGCTCTGAAGGTCCACTGGTCACCTGCTCTCACTGGCTTTTTCAGGAAGACAAAGGGATGTCTTTAGAGGATTCTCATCAGCTCATTTCCCCTCTTGCTTCTTGACCTACAGGGCAGGCTCTGGAGTTTAAGGATTCTCTGACACTATTTATTTGGCTTTTCTCTTTCATGAAGATTTTATATTTTAACTTCTGAAATTTAACTATTTTAATAATTTCTTACACTATTTAATTATATTTAGACATATACTTTAACTGGAACTAGATATAAGAATAAAAATAACTACAACTAATTTAACCACTTTTTAACATGGACATATACTAGAGGCCTTTCAGTAATGGGTATTTTTAAAATGAGCCAGAAAAAGTCATAATAAATCAGAAGCACAAGTTAAGTGTCTTCTCTGAGGTCTCCTATTGAAAACAGGGTTTGCCTTTTTTTAAAACTATGGGAAAAATGCTAATTTTCTTGCGTAGGAAATTTTAACAGTCCAATTACAGAAAAAAGTAAAAATAGTTTCCTAGTGGGAATACATTGAGGATATTGAAATAAAAACCCACTCATAGCATCAAATATCAGCTAAAGTATATGGATAATTAGGATAGAAAAGTTCCAGTGAAAGGCAGAAATAAAAATTTGGAAATAGTTTATTATCTAAGTCATTGTCTGGCCCTGGTGGCTAGCATGGTTCTTTCTATATTGTTTAAATGATGTTGTACCAGGATAAATATGAGATTAAGGTTCATATAATACTGCTGCTGCTGTTAACAGACTAATTTTACAATGCTATTTTTCCTTCAGTTACTAAGTAGTTCCTCAGAAAATATCTAAGAGCGAAGGATGGCCATTATGAGCCCTTTCTTCCCCAGCACAGTGAAGGACATGTTGCTGTAAAGAAAAAACCTATTATAACAATTTATGTTAGGTAAACAAACGTTATATTTTAACAAGATTGGTTCCAGCAGGGTTCTGAGTGCGTAGAAAGCAGCCCCTACCAGGATCGCAGACTCTGAGGGCTGGTGGGTCAGCCTTAACATCTGTTCCCATTATCTTAAGCCAAGCCCCGCTGCACAACAGAGGAATGAAGATGGAGAATGAAGTCATCCTCTAGAACTCCAAGCTTGGGAGGTGGGCCTCTTCCCATGCCAGTGGTGGCCCAAGAATTATCTCTTCTATTCTCAATTGTCCTGAGGGCATGGAGGAGCTCAGTCTGGAGGGAGATTTCCTCTGGAACACAGCATTCAGTGAGAGGGGACAACATCATGCAGTGGGCTAAGCATTGATGTCAGAAGTTAGCCTCTTAGCAGCTGAATAAGTGGGGTGGGCTGTTTAATGCCTCTGAATCTGTCTCCTCATCTGCAGAATGGGAATAGTAATACTTAGCTTACACAGTTGTTTAAAGCATAAAGTGAAGCAGGGATGTAAAGTGCCTGGCACAGAGAAGAACCCACCAATTGTGGCTCTGGTCGCAACTCAAAGTGGCCTCAGATCCTTTTCATTCAGAGTGGAGTCTCTTTCTCCCCTCTCAGCTCCTTTCCCCCTTCACTCAAGAAGAAAAAGGAGTGGCCATCACTGCCTCCCCAAGCGTCACCACAGGCGGTCCAACTACAAACTGAGTTTGAGACTCATGGAAAGGAATTTCCCATAAATGGGGACCAGGCAGAGCTACTTTCAGATCATTCCAGAGGAGCTGGCTACTCTGAGGCCAAAGGTCGCTTGGTGGGGCAGGAGTAGCATTCAGTGGATTTGAGCCCTGCTCAGTAAAGAAGAGCCAAGTCCATGGCCTGAGAGGATGGGCAGCCCCACCTCTTTGATTAAGTGGCAAAAGCATCCTGTAACATTCTCCCACTTGGCTGAGATGCAGAGGGCTTCAGCTATCCAAGCGGATCTATGCTATACACAGTGTACATTGCTGTCTGTCTGTCTGCCCATGTTTGTTTTCAGTGTCTTAGCATATTGGCTCTGAGTTCATGCTGTGTGTTGTGTTTGGCAGGAGGAGGTGTTTTAATATCCTTGCTTGACTGGAACTATCTCAATGCTAGTGAATTCTATTATTTTGAATAAGATAAAGTATAGCCCCAGGTTTCTGCATAATCACAGCAAGGAATAGTTCAACTTTAAATTTGAGTTATCTACCTTAATAAATACTAAAATAAATGCATCTGGAGTGTTCCCTTACAGGTTCCTGGAGCTCTGATCAACTCGGGCAAACCAAGCATGTCAAAATACACTGGATCCTTTGTCTGACCTGTAATCTGGGAAGCTGAAATTGATAGCATACCCTTGTCCCTACCCTTGAGCTTGCTCTATACATACCTGTAATCCAGCACCTTAAGTGGGTGACACCAGTGAAGATATAACAGTGATTTTAGTCAAAGTTTCTGTGACTTATATTCAATCCACAAAGGATGTGATCACCTACCAGAGTGAATGAGGCTGAATTTATTCATTCACAAATATTTTGCTGTATTCCATTTGTGCCGATATTTTGTAAGCATGAGGGACACAAATATACATCACCCAATCCCCGCCTAAGGGATTATTCACAGGCTAGCGGAAGGGGCCTTGTTGAGTGTCCCAATGAGGGGGGTGGTCAATTGGAAGTCAGAAAACACTTCATGGGAAAAGTGGCCCTTTTCCAGGGTCAGGAGTTCAAATCAAGAAGTATTTTCTGATTTCCAGTACTCATAGAATTGACCACTCCCCTCGTAAGCTCAGAATTATCCTGGCAGCCAATGAGTATAAATCATACTGTGACAACTTTGCTGCCTTGAATTATCAGTGTAGACAGTTAGAATGACCCTAAATTCACTAGATAACTGAACAGCTCCTGATTTTATGGCATGTGTTCATCTTTTAAGTCAGCAAAAGTAACTCTGTTTTGAAATTTGACAACCTCAGCATTTCTAGCCAATTCTGTTAAAGACCCACGTGATCACACTCTAGAAACAGAAGCATTTGGGAAAAAGAAGTATCTGAAATTGTGCCCTTTGTGTATTACTCAACTCTTCTCAATAGTGAAAATTAAGAGGTTGATTTTTAAAAAGATTTGAGGTTAGGATGAGCTGCCTGATATCAAGGGTAAGGAGAGATGGAAGATCAGACATACCAATTCATTGACAATTAGTGTAATTTTAGAGGCACTTTATGTTTTCCCTAAATGTTTCTTACATGTCTACTGCCAAGTAATGATACCTGAGCTTCCACTGGTAGATTCTCATTTCTCTATCATGAGATTTCATCCTAAATGTAGCCATACCTGCAGGTGTCTTTTATACCTCAGTACAAATAAATTTATCAGATTCTTTCATCAGACTGCTGGCACCATGGCTAAAAATGGGGTTGCTGATAAGGTGAAAAGAGGGGAGGAAGAGTGAATTAGATAAAGGCTGGGGCATCCCAACTTATTCTACTTGGAATTTGCTAAAGACTAAAGACTAACCTTTATCACAGTTTAGAAGCACAGAAATTCACAAGTGAGAAATGGTGCCCAAGACCTGAGATCCTGAGATTCTATAGCGCTGCAAGACAGACAAGTTTGATGGTTTTGATAATCAAGACTAAGACACCCCACCCTTTTTCCCCTGCCTTGGCTTGTAGTCATATGAGAGTTTCTGGTCTAGAACCAATCAGATTGCAGTAAGAGCCTGATGACATGGCAGGATGTCACCTGCCCCTATGGCACTCTGACAAAACAGCTACAGTCACTGATCCTCAATAAGGATGTTGAGAGTCAGATTTCACCTTTTTCTAGAGAGGCTCTCACTCTGTTGCCCAGGCTGAGTGCAGTGGCATGATCACAGCTCACTGCAGCCTCAGCCTCTCAGGCTCAAGTGACCCTCCCAGCTTAGCCTCCTGAGTAGCTAGGACTACAGGTATGCACCACCATGACCAGCTAATATTTTATTTTTATTTTGTGTAGAGACAGGAGTCTCATTATGTTGCCCAGGCTGGTCTTGAATTCCTGGACGCAAACAATCCTCTCACCTTGGCCTCCCAAAGTTCTGGGATTGCAGGCATGAGCCACTATGCCAGGTTTCACTTTTTTTTTTTTAAGTTTTATTATAACTCTGTGTTCCTTGTTCTCAGTTCTTATCGTTGTGCAAAGCACCTCATTTCTCAGTCCGCATCCACAGGCCAGTGCAGGCCTGCTAGGGAAGGGGGTGAGTCAGTGTCTCAAAGCCCCAGTACAATCGCCAATGGAACCTTCCACTCCTACCTTGGCAGATATTTGTGCCTGCATGCATTCATTCAAAAGCACGGATTGAACACTATCTGTGTGTTCAATAAAGTCCAGGATGCTGGCCTTGCCCTGTGATAGATATCAGAACAGTATCAGACACAGTTGTAGGCTGTGCTTATAACTGTACCGGGAGACCAGTCATAAATCTATGAAAAGTTGAGTCACAGTAGGAGGTAATGGGGGACTAACTATCCAAAGAGAACTATAGCAGGTCAGAAAAAGAGATCCCTGTAGGCTGGAGGGGTTAAGCTCCTTGCAGTAGGGATCAAGGTTTACCACATAGTGGATACTTAATAAATATTTGTTGAATAAGTGAGTGGATGGATTGATAGATGGAAGGATGATTAAATGATAAACAGATGGTTATTATTAAATGTTCCATGGAAGAGGTGGTTTTGAAAGTTCATTAGGCTTTTGATATTATAGATGATGTCCTAGTTCATTTGGGCTTCTATACCAAAATACCATAGACTGAGTAGCTTATAAACAACAGAAATTTATTGCTCACAGTTTTGGAGGCTGAGAAGTCCAAGATCAAGGCAGCAGCATATTCAATGTCTGGTGAGGGCCAATTTCCTTGTTCAGAGATGGCACCTTCTTGCTATGTCCTTACATAGTGGAAGGGGTTAGCTAGCTCTCTGGGGTCTCTTACAAGGTCACAAATCCCAATCATGAGGACTCCACCTTCATGACCTAATCAATCACTCTCCAAAGGCCCCACCTCCTAATACTATCACCTTGGGGGTTAGGATTTCAACACAGTAATTTTGGGGTAACACAAACATTCAGGCCACTGCAGAGGAGAAGAGGGAGGGCAGATCAGAAACAGTTCTTCTCCTCATGTTCCTCAGGACATTCAGCAGGACTGGGAAATCACCAAGATATAGCAAGCATTCACATACCTGAGGCCAACCCTAAGCCCTGAACAATGCCACAATTTTAACCTTGGTGGTAGAGACTCCCACTACTAGACAGGCTAGAATCCAAAAACAAGTGAGAGAAAGGAGAAGGGAAGCTTTTGGTTCTAAACACAACCTCAATGCCTATGAGCACAAGCTTCTTCCACCAGTGACTTGTTCATCCATGTAGCAGGCTGACAGAAAGCCCAGATCACCAGGACTGCCTGTATCCATGGTTAACAATAAACAAACCAGAGCCTACTTTTATCAGTCACAAGTTGGGCACAAAAGTTGGTGTGAAAATGGGAATTCAACAGGTCCTAATTTTCCCCATCCCTTTCTGGTGGGCCCTGCCAGCTTTGGGCTTCCAATCTGAACCCTGACTTTTCCCCAAGCTGATCCACTTGATCCATAACCACAAGCTCTTAATACCAAGTACTTAATACTTCTAAGCACAGCAACAGAATCAGACCTATTGTAAGACTCAGTAAGCTCATCCTGCCAACTTGCAGGCAGCAAGAGGTATTCAAGCTGAAGGCAGGGACGACGTTTGCTTTTATATTCCCAGCACTTAGCACAGTGCCTGACACAGAGTAGGTACCCAGCAAATACTTGTTGAATGAAGGAGGAAAGCAGCTCCAGTTCCATAATGCAGTGCAGGTCAGGCCTCTGCCAGTTTTCCCCTGCCCTAAACCCTAGTTTAGATAACTGGACTTTGACACTGCTATGATCTGAGAACCTACTATCAGGAGTGGAGTTCCTACTTTTGTTTCAATACCCAAGACTGAAATTTCCCGTAGGACCCAAATCTATTATCTTTTTCTTGGACAGCAAGTTGTTTGCATTTCTCAGATGTTGCTTTTCCCAGATTACCTTTGGCCTCTTTGTTCGCAGGCTCTCAAATACATACTCATTTTTCCCTCTGTCCCCAACTCTCCTCTGTATTGGTTTCTATTCATGCTCCAAAGCTTATCTTGACCATCACCTCCTCTTGGAAGCCTACCCAGGTGTGGATGTGTATAATGTATAATACGCCATCATATAATGTGTACATATCTGTACTCATTAAGTTGCACTGCAATCACTAATCCACTTATCTCTTCTCCATACTTGACTGTGAGCAAAGAGAGAAAAGGGATCACGTGTTCATCTTTGTATCCTCATCATGTACAATAGTGTCTAGCACACAGTGTTCCATAAAAGTTTTAAAAACGAGTGAGTGAATGAATGAATGAATGTCTTTACCCATCAGGATGGCCCAAGCTGACACTTGTTCTTGCTCTGACCTGGATGCCAAATGTTGCCTCTCACCCTGACTATTCCCTTGCCTTGGAGCTTGTAGGTCAAGTGCCTGAACTACTCCCTCTCCCTCCCACTTACCACCCTCCTGCCACAAGTGCTTTGCCGTATGTTGTGAATTATGTGGTACTGTGCGAGGGTAGAATGCCTTGTTTAGCATTTGCCACAGTAGGGTCCCATCAGATGCACATTTAACTTTTATAAATTCAACTATATGCCCTCACTGCCTGTGATTTCAGAATTTAATAATACACATTTCTATGCAATTTGGCTCCTAAATATATGCCTTCTATTTCATTTGGAACATGGAAACACTCATTTGTTCAAAGAGTAAGGGTAAAACCATTAGATTTATTTAAAGATGATAGACTTCGTTCTGTATTTTTGGACAAATTAAAGGATTTTTCTAGAATAATTTTTATCTATAAAATGTTTTTACTTTATGATCTGATTTTATTGTGTGCTTTAAAATTTTCATCTGTATAATTTAGTATATACTTCCTAAAGACAAGGATTCCTTATTAAACACAATCACAATACCATCATCACAAACACACCCAACATAATTCCTTAATATTATCAAATGTCCTTTAATGTTCTATACATGTTTCTTTTTATTTTTAAACTTTTTCTAAGTTGGAAGTTTGAAATGGGATCTAAATAAAGCCAACACTTTCAATTGATTAATATATCTCTTGAATTTCTTTTACTATATGTTTAAAAATGTTCCTTTTCCATTGCTTTTTTTTAAAAAAATTACACTTTGTTATTGTTGTAAAACCACATTGTTTAACTTACAGTTTCCCATAGTCTATTGCATCTTCATGGTTTTTGTTAACATGTTACTTTGTTCTCTGTGTATCCTTCAAATGGTAGTTAGATCTGGAAGCTTGATTAGATTAATATTTTTAAAAAATACTATATAGGAAGTGCTGTGTTTCCACCAGGAGGTACAAGATGTCTGGTTGTCTCCTGTTTTTGACCATTGATGATTGTTGCCTAGATGCATTATTTCATTAAGTTTTGCAAATTGGTGAAATTCTAATTCCATCATTTCTTCTTCAAGTATTAACAGAAATACTTGTAAAAGGCAAACTTTTCCTCATCTATTATTTATTTACCTTAAGCTACAGTTTTTTTTAGGAATGGCAAAATTAATACTTGATTGTTTTCTTTTACTTCCCAGTTTTAAAAATATTAAGTAGGTCTTCTAATATCCTTTAGAGGGAATCAATGAAAAATAATTTAAACTATTATTATATATGCATGGATTTGACACATTTCATGTATTTTATTCTATTGTGGATATTATCTGTATTGATGCTTTGATTGTTCCCCTTCATCCAAAGGGAGACTATTTAATTGGCTCCTAAGCCATTTCTACTAGTAGTTGCTGATGGGTACTTTTGCATTTTGGTATGACAAGACTTCTCAGACTCATTTTGTATATTTCCTACCCCACACCTCAAATCAGCCATTTATTTATCCAAGAAGCCCTGGTTTCTTTTGGTGGGAAATAGTATTTAGAGATAATCATTTTGGCCCTAGGGGAGCTCATTGTTATTGAGCTGCTCACAGCCTCTAGGTCTTTTTGGTGAGCTAGAAAAATCATGAATTTACCCAGACACCTTGATGTGATTTGGCTGTGCCTCCACCAAAATTTCAACTTGAATTATATATTCCAGAATTCCCATGTGTTGTGGGAGGGACTCAGTAGGAGGTAATTGAGTCATGGGGGTCAGTCTTTCCAGTGCTAATTTGGTGCTAGTGAATAAGTCTCATGAGATCTGATGGGTTTATCAGGTATTTCCACTTTTGCTTCTTTCCCATTTTCTCTTGCTGCTGACATGTAAGAAATGCCTTTTGCCTCCTGCCATGATTCTGAGGCCTCCCCAGCAATGTGGAACTGTGAGTCCAATTAAACCTTTTTCTTCCCAGTCTTGGGTACGTCTTTCTCAGCAGTGTGAAAATGGACTAATACAGTAAATTGGTACTGGGAGTTGGGTGTTGCTAAAAAGATACCTGAAAATGTGGAAGTGACTTTGGAACTGGGTAACAAGCAGAGGTTGGAACAGTTTGGAGGGCTCAGAAGAAGAAAAATGAGAGAA
Source organism: Homo sapiens (assembly GCF_000001405.40). Lineage (NCBI taxonomy): Eukaryota > Metazoa > Chordata > Mammalia > Primates > Hominidae > Homo > Homo sapiens. Next base: position 115,396,234 of record NC_000001.11, on the reverse strand, counting down.
AGTTTGGAACTTCCTAGAGACTTGTCAAATGGCTTTGACAAAAATGCTGATAGTGATATGAACAATAAGATCCAGGTTGAGGTGGTCTCAGATGGAGATGAGAAACTTGTTGGGAACTGGAGCAAAGGTGACCCTTGTTATGTTTCCGCAGAGACTGGTGGCCTTTTTCCCTGCCCTAGAGATTTGTGGAACTTTGAACTTGAGAGAGATGATTTCAGGGATCTGGCAGAAGAAATTTCTAAGCAGTAAAGCACTCAAGAGGTGACTTGGGTGCTGTTAGAGCATTCCATTTTATAAGGGAAGCAGAGCATAAAAGTTTCAAAAATTTGCAGCCTGACAATGTAATAAAAAAGAAAACCCCATTTTCTGAGAAGAAATTTAACCCTGCGGCAGAAATTTGCATAAGTAAAAAGGAGCTGAATGTTAATCCCCAAGACAATGAGGAAAATGTTTCCAGGGCATGTCCAACGTCTTTGTGGCAGCCTTTCTCATCACAAGCATGGAGAAATAGGAGGAAAAAATGGCTTTGTGGGTGGAGCCCAGGGTCCCCATGCTGTGTGCAGCCTAGGGACTTGGTGTCCTGCATCCCAGCTGCTCCAGCTGTGACTAATAGGGGTCAAGGTACAGCTCAGGCAGTGGCTTTGCAGGGTGCAAGCCCCAAGCCTTGGCAGCACATGGAAATGTGGTGTTGCGCCTGCGGGTGCACAGAAATCAAGAATTGAGGTTTGAAATCTGCCTAGATTTCAGAAGATGTATGGAAACACCTGGATAACCAGGCAGAAGTTTGCTGTAGGGGCAGCATGCTCATGAAGAACCTCTGCTAGGGCAGTGTGGAAGGGAAATGTGGGGTTGGAGCCCCACACAGAGTTCCTACTGGGGTACTGCCTAGTGGAGCTGTGAGAAGAGGGCCACCATCCTCCAGACCCCAGAATAGCAGATCCACTGACAGCTTGCACCATGCACCTGGAAAACCCACAGATACTCAATGCCAGCCTATGACGGCAGCCAGGAGGGAGGCTGTAACCTGCAAACCCACAGGGGCAGAGCTGCCCAAGACCATGGGAACCCACCTCTTGGATCAGCATGACCCAGATGCAAGTCATGGAGTCAAACAGATCATTTTGGAACTTTAAGATTTGACTGCCCTGCTGGATTTCGGACTTGCATGGGGCCTGTAGCCCCTTTGTTTTGGCTAATTTCTCCCATTTGGAATGGCTGTATTTACCCAATGCCTGTACCCCTATTGTATCTAAGAAGTAACTAACCTGCTGTTGATTTTACAGGCTCATAGGGAGAAGGGACTTGTCTTGTCTCAGATAAGACACTGGACTGTGGACTTCTGAGTTAATGATGAAATGAGTTAAGACTTTGTGGGGACTGTTGGGAAGGCATGACTGGTTTTGAAATGTGAGGACATGAGATTTCGGAGGGGCCAGGGCAGAATGATATGGTTTGGTTGTGCCCCCACCAAAATCTCAACTTGAATTGTATCTTCCAGAATTCCCACATGTTGTGGAAGGGACCCAGTGGGAGGTAAGTGAATCATGCAGGCCGGTCTTTCCCGTGCTATTCTCGTGAGAGTGAATAAGTTTCATGAGATCTGATGGGTTTATCAGGGTTTTCCACTTTTGCATATTTCTCATTTTCTCTTGCCACCACTGTGGAAGAAGTGCCTTTCACCTCCCGCCATGATTCTGAGGCCTCCCCAGCCTTATGGAACTGTAAGTCCAATGAAACCTATTTTTTCTTCCCAGTCTCAGGTATGTCTTTATCAACAGCATGAAAACAGACTAATACATACCTCCAGTTCAACTTTGAGACTACAAGGTTTCTACTCGTTCTTATTGTTCTTATCTCTTACATTTCTCCCACAGCAAACATCTTTTCTCTCAATGACACCACATTATTGTTAATTTACTTTGTCCCTCATTATGCACATAGTCTTAGAATAACAATATTACCATCATAGCTTACTGAAAATAATCTAATTTTTTAAGTTTTTTTATTAGTTTCTTTTTTTTTTTTTTTTTTTGAGACGGAGTCTTGCTCTGTTGCCTGGGCTGGAGTGCAGTGGAACGATCTCGGCTTGCTGCAAGCTCCGCCTCCCAGGTTCACGCCATTCTCCTACCTCAGCCTCCCAAGTAGCCGGGACTATAAGCGCCCGCCACCGCGCCCATATTAGTTTCTTTTTTGCTTTGGGGTATAGGCACATGACTGTGCTTTAAAGTCACCTAGAATATAGTTTCTTAATGTTGTTTATGCGCCCAAATAGAGGCACATCATTAGACATTGCTTTTGAAAATTTAATTCATGTTTATAATATTTAAAATATTTACAAGGTTTCAAACTTAAGTTTACACAGAACATAAATTCAAAAAAGTCTAACTTCTCTATCCATTCCTTATTCCCACCCAGTAACCAAAATTTTAAAAATGTTATGGCTTATACTTCAAAGCATTAAATATAAACATATATGTATGTGTATGTATATGTGTCATCCATTCCTTTGTGAAAGGTGGAATATTATACATACTTTTCTTCACCATGCCTTTCTTTACTTAACAATATATTCTGGCGATCACTCCAAAGTAGTATGGTAGTATATGGAGAGTCCTCATTCCTTTATACATGTGCCTAGGGTTCCACCTATGGTCCTCCATAGGGGTTCAACCTTTTGTAGATACACTAGAAATTTATGAGTTCCCACTTCCCCATAGAACTGCCAACAGAATTTGTTATTAAACTTGAATTTTTGCCAATCTGATAGCATAGTTAAATTTCAATTTTCTTATTATGTTTAGGGTTGAGCATTTCCTCATAACTTAAGAGCTATTTGTACTGTTTTGGTCAATGGTCTGTATTTCTAGCCCATCGTTCTATATGATTGTTGGCTTTTTTCTTCTGCATTTGTATAAACTCTTTATATTATTATAAATGTAAGTTGCAAATATTTTTCCTATTTTATCTTATCTTTTATTTTACTTATGATGTATTTTCCATATAAAATTTAAATTTTTTAAATATCACAATTTCCATCTTTTTCCTTAATCAGAGTTAGATTAAATTTTCACTGCTCTTAGATTATAGAGGAATTCAACTATGTTTTCTTTTGGTCCTTTTGTTTGTATTAGGTATTTGGAATTTATCCTGGTGTACAATGTGAGGGATTCCATTCAATTTTATTTTTTCCATGTGGCTATCCAATTATTCTAACACCACTTTTTAAAAAGTTGACCTTTTCTCCCACTGATTTGAGCTGCTGCCCTGATTGTATTGTAAATACCCATATGCAGTTGGATCTATTTTGAGATTTTTTTTTCATTTGTTCTATTAGTCTGTCTGTCTATTCACACACTAACATCAAACTATTTTAATTATAAAGGCTTTCCAGTACATTTTAGTGTCAAGTATGGCAAGACCAACTCAATACTCTTCTTTTCCATACTTATTTATTTTCCCACTGAACTTTATAATGAAATTGTATATGTTCAGAAAACAATCTGGTTGCATTTTATTAGGATTGCATTGTATGCATAAATGAACTTAGAACTGACATCTTTACAAATTTGAGTCTCTCTAGACAAGAACATGGTATGTCTTTACTGTTCAGGTCTACTTTTATATCATTCAGGAGAAGCTTATAGTTTTTCTCTTATAGGTTTTGGACATTTCTTGTTGCTTTTATGCCAAAGTATTTTATATTCTTATTTGGTATCATAAATGGATTCTCCTCTTCCATTATGCCTTTGGTTTGTGTGTGTGTGTGTATATATATATATATATATATATATATATATATATATTTGCTTTTGATTTCATGTTAATTTTTTAACTTTCTACTTGCTAAATTATTTTATTATTTTAATAGTTTTTCATCGATTCTTTTATATTTTCCAAATATATAATCATGTTACCTGAAATTAAAGATGCTTTTACTTATTTCTTTCCAATTCTTATGCCTCTAATTGCCTTCTCTTATTTACACTGATTACTACCTCTAATGTAATATTAAATAGTCAAGGCTTAAAATGTAACTAACATCAATGTCAGAAATGACTGTTCTATATTTAAAACAAACTCAGTCTCCAAGTGCCACCTCTGTTCTCAAAGAGCACTATGTGGTTTCAGACGGATAAGCCAGAAGCAGAATGCTCGTATCAAAGCAGAGAGATGGCTGCCTAGCCTAGCCACAGGCCACCAAACACTGAAGTTGCTCTTGGGTTTATTATTCAGTAGTTGTGGGTAACTGGCAAAAATGAAGGGAGCAAACCTCTTTGGTCAGATCAATTTGCATTAGGTCAAATCTCTGTAATAAATGACATATTCTATATCAACCAAGTGCTATTATTTCTCTGATCAAACATTAATTGATATATGCATTGGTAGTAAAAATGGATGCTATTGTAACAAAACTTAAACATATAAGTCAGGGATCTCCAGAGCACAGGATTCAGAGGATATAAATATACAAAAGGAGATTTGTTATGGGAATTGGCCCATGTGATTGTGGAGGCCAAGAAGTCTTATGATATGGCATCTTCAAGCTGTAGAACCAGAAAAGCCAGTGGTGTAATTCAGTCTGAATCCAAAGGCCTAAGAACCAGGGAAGATAATTATGTAACTCTCCATGCAAGGCCAAAGGCCTGAGGACCAGAGAGTAGTGGGGATGCTGGTGTAAGCCCCACAATCTGAAGGCCCGAGAACCTGAACCTCTCTCACATCTCAGGGTGGAAGATGGATATTCCAGCTCTAAAAGAGAGAATGAATTTTTCCCTCCTCTGCAATTTTTTTCTATCTGTGACCTCAACATACTGAATAATGTCTGCCCACATTGGGAGCTCAGATCTTCTTTACTCAGTCCATTGATTGAAATGCTAATCTGTTCTGGAAATAACCTCACAGATACACCCAGAAGTAATGTTTTACCAGCTATCTGGGTATCCCTTAACCCAGTCAAGTTGACACATAAAATAAATCATCACAAGGCAGTCTCTTGTCAACTTGGCACCCATATGCATCTACTTAAAGCATATTCAATCTCTAGATAAGGTAATAACATAACATTAATCATTCCACTTAACATGTTACAACTATTTTTCATACAGCCAAAAATGCACAAATTCCTTACCTAGAAAAGAAAGTAGTTCTTGAGTGTTGTTTAGTCTTCTCCTGATATCCTGTAGCTTAAATACTAAAATATAAAATTAACAGTGCTTAAATACTGATACAAAGTCAATACATCTTATGTTACATAATAAGGAAATAAGAGAGTAAAGAAAAGAAAAATATTTGCCTAACATATGTATATATACATACAAAATGTATTTCTAACAAAATAAAGAGGAAATATTCATGACAATTGTAATCCTCATTTCTGTAACTGGTCATGTGGTTGTAGCTGGTATTTATAACTACCTTCTTCTACTACCCATTTTGTATTTTCTTTACCTGCAGCAAGCACCTCAGCTGGGTATGGTTCTTCACCTGGTGGGGTAACATAAACCTTCAATTACTCAGGGTCTGAGCTATTCATAGTCCTGCCCGGATTAGGTTGTCATAGTTTTCCATTGACCTTAATCACAGGGCATGGTAATATTAAGAGATACCCTAAAGATTCTCCTCTATTCTAGAATACTCTTCCTTAACTCCATTGTGGAAGAGTAGTCCAGTTTCCCCTGGGTAGTCCAGATTAATAACCCCAGCCAAAACCATAACTTCCCTCTTGGGTTGTTTACTCAGAGGGACGAAAAGCCCAAAGTGGCCAGGTGGCAGTCTTAACTTCCAGTTTAATGGAATCATTGTTGTGTCTACTGGTAGAAGCATTCCTCCCTCTGAAACTATGACTTCTGGGACGGAAGAGCATAAGGTTGTAGAAACAGGAAGTAAAAGTTTTGCTAGTTGTTCACTAGTGGTAATAGTGAGTGATGCCACTCCCATTTCCATCCCTTGATCATGAATCTGTGAGTCCTCGCTATCAGAGAAATAGTACCATATATTGGATGTTGATTCAGAGCATATACAGTCTGGAGAACCTTCCTTCAGCCCTGCAAAATATTGCTGCCTCACTGGCACTGTAAGGGAGTCTTCAAAAGGCCATTTCTTTATTATATCAAACCGGTTGCTTCAGGATGCTGGAAACATAGTAACGCCAGTAAATTCTATGTGCATATGTCAACTGCTGCACTTCTTTAGCTGTGAAGTGAGCTCCTTGGCCAAAAGCAATGCTGTGTAGAATGACGGTGGATAAGGCATTCTGTAAGTCCATGGATGATAGTTTTGGCAGAATCATTGCAATCAGGGAAGACATATCTATATTCATTTTAAGTGTCTATTGCAGGAAGGACAAAACACTACCCCTTCCATGATAGAAACAGTCCAAAGTAATCAACCAATCTTTGAATTGCCTGCCAACAAAAATTCAACACTGTTTAAAATACAACAAAATCCAGCACTCAACAATATAAAATTCACTGTATCTAGCATCTACTCTAATATTGCTAAGATACAAAAAAAAATGAAATAAAATGACCCATGACTAGGTCAAAAGTCAGCTAATAGATGCAGAACTAGAAAAAACAGTGTTGATGAAATTAACAGGAAAGACACTAAAACAACTATTATAAATATGCACCTTGCTATGGACTGAAGGAATAAAGATTTCACCTGCTTAATATGAAGATAATTTTCTGATTTTTAAAATCCATTTAAGAGAAAATGGATGGTTTAAAACAAAATCAGTAGTGTATTGGTCCTGGAGCTTCTGTTCCAAGATGGCCAAATAGGAACAGCTCCAGTCTGCAGTTCCCAGAGTGATTGATGCAGAAGACAGGTGATTTCTGCATTTCCAATTGAGGCACCTAGTCTATCTCACTGGGGCTGGTTGGACAGTGGATGCAGCCCACAGAGGGCAAGCCAAAGCAGGGCGGGCTGTCGCCTCACCCAGGAAGTGCAAGGCTTCGGGGGATTTCCCTTTCCTAGCCAAAGGAAGCCATGACAGACTCTACCTGGGAAAACGGGACACTCCCGCCCAAATACTGTGCTTTGCCCATGGTCTTAGCAACTGGCATACCAGGAGATCCTCTCCTGGTATGGCGGGTCCTGCCTGGATGGGTGGGTCCCACGCCCATGGAGCCTGGTTCACTGCTAGCTCAGCAGTCTGAGATCGACCTGCGAAGCTGCAGCCAGGAAGAGGGAGAGGTGTCTGCCATTGCTGAGGTTTAAGTAGGTAAACAAAGTGGCTGGGAAGCTCGAGCTGGACGGAGCCCACTGCAGCTAAGCAAGGCCTACTGCCTCTACAGATTCCACCTCTGTGGGCAGGGCATAGCTGAACAAAAGGCAGCAGAAACTTCTGCAGAGTTAAATGTCCATGTCTGACAGCTCTGAAGAGAGCAGTGGTTCTCCCAGCATGACATTTGAGCTCTGAGAATGGACAGACTGCCTCCTTAAGTGGGTTCCCGACCTCCGTGTAGCCTAACTGGGAGATACCTCCCAGTAGGGGCTGACAGACACCTCATACAGGCGGGTGCCCCTCTGGGACGAAGCTTCCAGAGGAAGGATCAGGCAGCAATACTTGCTGTTCTGCAATATTTGCTGTTCTGCAGCCTCTGCTAGTGATACCCAGGCAAACAGGGTCTGGAATGGACCTCCAGCAAACTCCAACAGAACTGCAGCTGAGGGACCTGACTGTTAGAAGGAAAACTAACAAACAAAAAGGAATAGTATCAACGTCAACAAAAAGGGCATCTACACCAAAACCCCATCTGTAGGTCACCAACATCAAAGACCAAAGTAGATAAAACCACCAAGATGGGGATAAACCAGAGCAGAAAAGCTGAAAATTCTAAAAACCAGAGTGTCTTTTCTCCTCCAAAGGATCGCAGCTCCTCGCCAGCAAAGGAACAATGCTGGACAGAGAATGACTTTGAAGAGTTGACAGAAGTAGGCTTCAGAAGGCCGGTAATAACAAACTTCCCCAAGCTAAACGAGCATGTTCTAACCCATTGCAAAGAAGCTAAAAACCTTGAAAAAAGGGTAGACGAATGGCTAACTAGAATAAAGAGAAGACCTTAAAAGACCTGATGGAGCTGAAAACCATGGCATGAGAACTTCATGATGCATGCACAAGCTTCAATAGCTGATTTGATCAAGTTGAATAAAGGTTATCAGTGATTGAAGATCAAATTAATGAAATAAAGTGAGAAGACAAGTTTAGAGAAAAAAGAGTAAAAAGAAATGAACAAAGCCTCCAAGAAATATGGGACTGTGTGAAAAGACCAAATCTATGTTTGATTGGTGTACCTGAGAGTGATGGGGAGATGGAACCAAGTTGGAAAACACTTTTCAGGATATTATCCAGGAGAACTTCCCCAACCTATCCATGCAGGCCAACATTCAAATTGAGGAAATACAGAGGACACCTTGAGAAGAGCAACCCCAAGACACATGATTGTCAGATTCACCAAAGTTGAAATGGAGGAAAAAATGTTGCCCTTGCAGCCAGAGAGAAAGGTCGGGTTACCCAAAAAGGGAAACCCATCAGACTAACAGTGGATCTCTTGGCAGAAACCCTACAAGCCAGAAGAGAGTGGAGGCCAATATTCAACATTCTTAAAGAAAATAATTTTCAACCAAGAATTTCATATCCAGCCAAACTAAGCTTCATAAGTGAAGGAAAAATAAAATCCTTTGCAAACAAGCAAATGCTGAGAGATTTTGTCACCACCAGGCCTGCCTTACAAGAGCTCAGGAAGGAAGCCCGAAACATGGAAAGGAACAACCGGTACCAACCACTGCAAAAACATGCCAAATTGTAAAGACCACTGATGCCATGAAGAAACTGCATCAATTAATGGGCAAAATAACAAGCGAACATCATAATGACTGGAACAAATTCACACATAACAATATTAACCTTAAATGTAAATGGGCTAAATGCCCCAATTAAAAGACACAAACTGGCAAATTGGATACAGTCAAGACCCATCAGTATGCTGTATCCAGGAGACCCGTCTCACATGCAAAGACATGCATAGGCTCAAAATAAAGGGATGGAGGAAGATCTACCAAGCAAATGGAAAGCAAAAAAAGCACGGGTTGCATTCCTGGTCTCTGATAAAACAGACTTTAACCAACAAAGATCAAAAGAGACAAAGAAAGCCATTACATAATGGTAAAGGGATCAGTGAAACAAGAAGAGCTAACTATCCTAAATATATATGCACCCAATACAGGAGCACCCAGATTCATAAAGCAAGTTCTTAGAGACCGACAAAGAGACTTACACTCCCACACAATAATAATGAGAGACTTTAACACCCCACTGTCAATATTAGGCAGATCAATGAGACAGGAAATTAACAAGGATATTCAGGACTTGAACTCAGCTCTGGACCAAGCAGACCTAATAGACATCTACAGAACTCTCCCCCTCAAATTAACAAAATATACATTCTTCTTAGCACCACATCACACTTATTATAAAACTGACCACATAATTGGAAGTAAAACACTCCTCAGCAAATGTAAAAGCACCGAAATCACAATAAACTGTCTCTCAGACCACAGTGCAATCAAATTAGAACTCAGGATTCGGAATCTCACTCAAAACTGCACAACTACATAGAAACTGAACAACCTGCTCTTGATGGACTACTGGGTAAATAACGAAATTAAGGCAGAAATAAAGATGTTCTTTGAAACCAACGAGAACAAAGACACAACATACCAGAATCTCTGGGGCACATTTAAAGCAGTGTGTGGAGGGAAATTTATAGCACTAAATGCCCACAAGAGGAAGCAGGAAAGATCTAAAATTGACACCCTAACGTCACAATTAAAACAACTAGAAATGCAAGAGCAAACACATTCAAAAGCTAGCAGAAGGCAAGAAATAACTAAGATCAGAACAGAACTGAAGAAGATAGAGGCACAAAAAACCCTTCAAAAAATCAATGAATCCAGGAGCAGGTTTTTTTTTTTTTTGAAAGATCAACAAAATTGATAGACCGCTAGCAAGACTAATGAAGAAGAAAAGAGAGAAGAATCAAATAGACGCAATAAAGAATGATAAAGGGGATATCACCACCAATCCCACAGAAATACAAACTACCATCAGAGAATACTATAAAAAAATGGATGTATTCCTGGACACATACACCCTTCCAAGACGAAACCAGGAAGAAGTTGAATCTCTGAAAGGACAATAACAGGCTCTGAAATTGAGGCAATAATTAATAGCGTGCCAATCAAAAACATTCCAGGACCAGATTGATTCACAGCCAGATTCTACCAGAGGTACAAAGCGAGCTGGTACCTTTCCTTCTGAAACTATTCCAATCAATAGAAAAAGAGGGAATCTTCCCTAACTCATTTTATGAGGCCAGCATCATCCTGACACCAAAGTCTGGCAGAGACACAACAAAAAAAGAGAATTTTAGACCAATGTCTCCAAAGAACATCGATGCGAAAATCCTCAAAAAATACTGGCAAATCAAGTCCAGCAGCACATCAAAAAGCTTATCCACCATAATCAAGTCAGCTTCATCCCTGGGATGCAAGGCTGGTTCAACATATGCAAATCTATAAATGTAATCTATCACATAAACAGAACCAATGACAAAAACCACATGATTATCTCAATAGATGCAGAAAAGGCCTTCAACAAAATTCAACAGCCCTTCATGCTAAAAACTCTCAATAAATTAGGTATTGATGGAACACATCTCAAAATAATAAGAGCTATTTATGACAAACCCCCAGCCGATATCATACTGGATGGGTAAAAACTGGAAGCATTCCCTTTGAAAACCGGCACAAGACAAGGATGCCCTCTCTCACTGCTCCTATTCAACATAGTGTTGGAAGTTCTGGCCAGGGCAATCAGGCAAGAGAAAGAAATAAAGGGTATTCAATTAGGAAAAGAGGAAGTCAAATTGTCCCTGTTTGCAGATGACATGATTGTATATTTAGAAAACCCCATCATCTCAGCCCAAAATCTCCTTAAGCTGATAAGCAACTTCAGCAAAGTCTCAGGATATAAAATCAATATGCAAAAATCACAAGCATTCCTATACACCAATAACAGACAAACAGAGAGCCAAATCATGAGTGAACTCCCTTTCACAATTGCTACAAAGAGAATAAGATACCTAGGACTCCAACTTACAAGGGATGTGAAGGACCTCTTCAATGAGAACTGCAAACCACTTCTCAATGAAATAAAAGAGGACACAAACAAATGGAAGAATTTTCCATGCTCATAGATAGGAAGAATTAATATCATGAAAATGGCCATACTGCCCAAGGTAATTTATAGATTCAATGTCATCCCCATCAAGCTACCAATCACTTTCTTCACAGAATTGGAAAAAACTACTTTAAAGTTCATATGGAACCAAGAAAGAGCCTGCATGGCCAAGACAATCCTAAGCAAAAAGAACAAAGCTAGAGGCATCACATTACCTGACTTCAAACTATACTACAAGGCTACAGTAACCAAAACAGGATGGTACTGGTACCCAAACAGATACATAGACCAATGGAACAGAACAGAGGCCTCAGAAATAACACCACACATCTACAACCATCTGATCTTTTACAAACATGAGAAAAACAAGAAATGGGGAAAGGATTCTGTATTTAATAAATGGTGCTGGGAAAACTGGCTATCCATATGTAGAAAGCTAAAACTGGATCCCTTCCTTACACCTTATACAAAAATTAATTCAAGATGGATTAAAGACTTAAATGTTAGACCTAAAACCATAAAAACCCTAGAAGAAAACCTAGGTAATACCATTCAGGACATAGGCATGGGCAAGGACTTTATGACCAAAACACCAAAAGCAATGGCAACAAAAGCCAAAATTGACAAATGGGATCTAATTAAACTAAAGAGCTTCTGCACGAATAAAGAAACTACCATCAGAGTGAACAGGCAACCTACAGAATGGGAGAAAATTCTTGCAATCTACCCATCTGACAAAGAGCTAATATCAAGAATCTACAAAGAACCTAAACAAATTTACAAGAAAAAAATAAACAACCCCATCAAAAAGTAAGCAAAGGATATGAACAGACACTTCTCAAAAGAAGACATTTATGCAGCCAACAGACACATGAAAAAATGCTCATCATCACTGGTCATCAGAGAAATGCAAATCAAAACCACAATGAGATACCATCTCACACCAGTTAGAATGGCAATCATTAAAGAGTCAGGAAATAACAGATGCTGGAGAGGATGTAGAGAAATAGGAATGCTTTTACCCTGTTGGTGGGAGTGTAAATTAGTTCGACCATTGTGGAAGACAGTGTGGCGATTCCTCAAGGATCTGGAACCATTTCTGGTCAGTGGTATCTCTACCATTTGACCCAGAGATCCCATTACTGGGTATATACCCAAAGGATTATAAATCATGCTACTGTAAAGACACATGCACACATATGTTTATTGTGGCACTATTCACAATAGCAAAGAATTGGAACCAACCCAAATGTCCATCAGTGATTGACTGGATAAAGAAAATGTGGCACACCATGGAATACTATGCAGCCATAAAAAAGGATGAGTTCATGTCTTTTGCAGAGGCATGGATGAAGCTGGAAACCATTATTCTCAGCAAACTATCACAAGGACAGAAAACCAAACACCACATATTATCACTCATGGGTGGGAATTGAACAGTAAGAACACTTGGACACAGGGTGGGGACCATCATACACCGGGGCCTGTCGGGGGTGGGGAGCTGGGGGAGGGATAGCATTAGGAGAAATACCTAATGTAAATGACGAGTTGATGGGTACAGCAAACCAACATGGCACATGTATACTTATGTTACAAACCTGCACGTTGTGCGCATGTACCCTAGAACTTAACATATAATAAAAAAGTCAATAATGTAATGTTTATAAAGTATGTAAAAATAAAAAGTATGACAATAGCATAAAGAAAAGAGGTAAAAGGGAAGTAAATGATGGTAATATACATGAAGGGTATAACACGTGAAGGGTATAACACTATTAAATAATAGTGTTTTTTTAATAATATACATGAAGGGTATAACACTATTAAATAATATACATGAAGAGTATAATACTGTTTGACTAAAATAAGCCAAAAATGTGTATTGTAAACCCTAGAGCAACCAGTAAAGTAATGAAACAAATAGGCATAGCTAAAGCCTATACCTTTCCAATAGTGGGAAAAAAACATAAATCATAAACAAATACTTAAGTTTTAAAATAAAGGGCTGGTGGGGAAAGTAGAAAACAAATTGCAAGATGTTAGGTTTAAACCCAACTATATCACTAATTATGTTAAATATAACTGATCTAAGCACTCCAATTAAAATGGAGAGATTGTCAGATTTGACTTTAAAAAAGAAAAATTCAACTATCAATCATCTATGAAATACTTACTGTACTATAAACACACTGATAAATTAAAAGTAAAAGAATGAGAAAAACTATACTATACAAGCAATAAAAAATAGTGTGAAGTGAATATAAGAATGCCAGAAAAAGGAATTGTTTCAAGTATAAAGAGGAGCATTTCATAATGATAAAGCAATTAATTGATCAAGCAGACAGGCAATCTTAAATATATATGCACCTGATAAAAATTTTTTAAAGTAAAAGCTGATAAAACTGAAAGTAGAAATAGACATCCATTATCTTAATTGGAAATTTCAATATTCTTCTCTCAGTTATTTATAGAACAAGTAGACAAAAGAATCACTAAGGATACAGAAGACTTGACCAATACTATTAGTCAACCAACCTAATCAACATTTATAGAACACATCACCCAACTAGAGCAGAATAGACATTATATTCAAGTACACATAGAACATTCACCTAGATTATACTCTGGACACTTAAATAGGTCTTAATAAATTCAAGACAACTGGAATTACACAAAGTATATTCTTTACTGCAGCAGAATCAAACCAGAAATTAATAACAGAAAGTTAGCTGGGAAATCCCCAAACATTGGGAAATTAAACCATAGAAGTAAAAATAAACCATGGGTCAAATGAGAAATCACAAGGGAAATTAGAAAATATTTTGAACTGAGTGAAAATGAAAACACAACATATCAAAATTTGTGAGATTCAGCTAAGTCAATGCTTAGAGGGAAATTTACAACATTACATGATTATATGAGTGGGGGAAGGGTCTTAAATCAATTATCTAAACTTCTACCTTAAAAAGCAAGAAAAATAAAAGCAAATTAAATTTGAAGTAAATTGAAGGATGCTGATAATGTAAATGCAGAAACCAATAAAATAAAAAAAATGGACAAGTAATAACAGAAAAAGCTATGAAACCAAAAGTTGGTTATTTCCCCATTGATAAGCCTGTAGTTTAAGTTAACAGATTCATTATGACTTGCCTGGGACTGTCTCAGTGTTAATACCAAACATTTCACATTTCAGGAAACCTCTCAGTCCTGGGTAAACTGGGAACATTGGTCACTTTACTGTAGCCAGATTGATCAGAAAAGAGAAAGAGAAAACACAAATTACTAATTTCAAGAATGAAGGAGAGACATCAATATATATCCGAAAGAGAGACATCAATATATATCCTAAAGACGTTGAAAGGATTATAAAAGAATATTATAAACAATTTGATACCAATAAATTTGACAACTTAGATGAACTGTAAAAATTTCTTGAAAGAAAAAACACAATACCAAAAGTTACGCAAGAAGATAGATAATTTGAATAGCTCATTATCTAAAAATGATAACAAAAATTTTAAAAATAAGTTAAATTTATAGTTCAAAGCTTTTTCACAAAGAAGTTTCTAGATCCAGATGATTTCACTGATAAAGTCTGCCAAACATTTTAAAAAGTATTAAAACCGGCCAGGAGTAGTGGCTCACAACTGTCATCCCAGCACTTTGGGAGGCCGAGGCAGACTGATCACCTCAGGTCAGGAGTTTGAGACCAGCATGGCCAACATGGTGAAAACCCGTCTCTACTAAAAATACAAAAATTAGCTGGGCGTGGTGGCGGGTGCCTGCAATCCCAGCTACTCGGGAAGCTGAGACAAGAGAGTTGCTTGAACCCGGGAGGTGGAGGTTGAAGTAAGCCTAGATTGCCCCATCGCACTCCAGCCTGGGCAACAAAAAGAGAAAAGAATTTCTAACTCACTTTCTGAGGCTAGCATTGCTCTGATACTAAAAGGAGGCAAAGACATTACAAGAGAATAAAACTATATAGATCAATATACTGCTTGAATATAGATGTCAAAATTCTTAACAAAAATTTTAGCAAATCCAATCCAGCAATGTATAAAATAGATAAGAAATTAAGACCAAGTTAGTTCTATCCCAGCAATGTCAGTTTGACTTAGCATTTAGAAATGATTAGTGTAACGCTCATCATATGAACAGACCAAAATAGAAAAAACTCTGTGATTATCTCAATAGATGCAGAAAAAGCATTTGATGAAATTCCACACCTATTCATGATAAAAGTTTTTAGCAGCATAGGAATAAAAGGGAATGGCTTCAATCTGCTAAAAGGTGTATAGGAAAAGCCTACAGCCTATAATACACCTAACAATGAAAACAGTAAAATATTGAATGCTTTCCTACTAAGAAAAAAAAAATGCTGTCCTAACACTTATTTCTATCTGACTGTGCTACACAATGATACAATACTAATATTCTGATCCTTTGCAATATAAGCTTGTGTGAGTATGACCCCAGACACAAATGGTTAGAACATTTAAGCCTAAATTGAGACTCCCTGACTTAACTCTCCCCTGGCCAACCAGGAAAAGACAATTCAGGTCTTTCTATGTGTAATAGATTTCTCTTTCTGAAAGCAGCTACTGAGGCAGAATTTGGGGTGCTAATACCTATGAAAGGAAGGGAGAGAAAGCAGGATTGGGGAGAAGGAGAAGTCAAGCCACATTATAGACCCAATTAAATCCTGGTCAACTCAACGAAGAACTCTGGAGCAAATACGGCCCAGCAGAGCAGACCAGGGTGGCTGAAATAACAGAGCTTTCATATTCCCGCCTCACTTAGTGAGTACCTGAGGGTAGTCCTAGGAAGGGCATGACCTTTAGCAGGGAAACTCTGCTGCTGAGGCAGCCCTAAGTTGCTGACAGCTAGAGGCTGCCAGATGACTACATCATGTGGCTGAGGAGAAGTTCTTCCCCGAAGTGGGGACCTCTCTTGAAGTGGGGTGCACCTCTGCATCCACAGCATTGTATACCCTCTTAGAATGCTTCCTCATGGCACTGCAATGTTACTAAATTATCCCCCACTCCTCCCAAGAGTTCATTTTTTTAAAGCTTATAACATATTATTTCGATGGACATTCGATACTTAAAAAAAGTGAAGTCTAGAAAGTATTGTCTTAAACAAAGGACTAATATCCAGAATCTACAAGGAACTCAAACAAATCATCAAGAAACAAACAATCCCATCAAAAAGTAGGCTAAGATTATGAATAGACAATTCTCAAAAGAAGATATACAAATGGCTAACAAGCATATGAAAAAATCCTCAACATCACTAATGATCAGTGAAATGCAAATCAAAACCACAATGTGATACCGCCTTACTCCTGCAAGAATGGCCATAATTTAAAAATCAAAAACTAATAGATGCTGGCATGGATGTGGTGAAAAGGGAATACCTTTATACTGTTGGTGGGAATGTAAACTAATACAACCACTATGGAAAACAGTGTGGGAATTCCTTAAAGACCTGAAAGTAGAACTACCATTTGATCCAACAATCCACTACTAGGTGTGTACCCAGAGGAAAAGAAGTCATATGAAAAAGATACTTGCACACCCATGTTGATAGCAGCACAATTGCAAAAATATGGAACCAGCCTAAGTGCCCATCAATCAACGAGTGGATAAATAAATTGTGGCATACACACACACACACACACACACACACACACACACACACACACCATGGAATACTACTCAGCCATAAAAAGGAATGAAATAATGGCATTTGCAGAAACCTGGATGGAGACCATTATTCTAAGTGAAGCAACTCAGGAATGGAAAACCAAATATTGTATGTTCTCACTCATAAGTGGGAGCTAAGCTATGAGGATGCAAAGGCATAAGAATGATACAATGAACTTTAGGGACTCAGGGGAAAGGGTGGGAGGCAGATGAGGGATAAAAGACTGCACATTAGATACAGTGTATACTGCTCAGGTGATGGGTGCACCAAGATCTCAGAAATCACCACTAAAAAACTTACTCATGTAACTAAACACCACCTGTTCTTCCAAAACTTATTGAAATAAAAAAAAGAAACTGCTGTCTTATGAAACTTGCTTTAATGATTTGAAACAAAAACCATTTAACATAATACCAATGTTTTACTTGTAACTAGGTGTTACAAAGAATAATAAACTCAGTTATCTTATCATTATCTTCCATTTACTCATCTAAAGTGCATAGTACACTCCTTCTATACACCAGGCACTCTAGTAACTACTGAAGATACAAAAACAAATACAATATGGTAAGAATGAGCAAATAATCTAAAAGACATGCTTCCTGTCCTCCACGAGTGTATAGTTTTCCATGTAAGGACAATAAGGAATTAAGCAACAATAAAGCAGTGTGCTGCCTGGACTTCGGGCAGACAGAAGAGAAGGTTTTGTGGCATTTGAGATGGTGCTCAGGACAAAATGTTGGATAGAAGAGGATGGAAGGACACCTTAGGCAGAGTTGGCAACATAAGCAAGGTCGGAAGCATGCGTAATCCAATTTGACTGTTGTGTAGGATAGGACTGACAGGATGAGGGAAAGGAGCATCAAAGGCTTGCTGGGATGGCTTGAGAGTGGTCTTGAACATCATGCTAAGGAGGCTTGATGGATCCCATGGAGGCTCTGGATAGACCAAGGCAAATCCATTCCTAGGACTGGACAGCTTGATGCATATGTCCTTCCAGGTTAACAGCATCCTTTTTTTTTTTTTTAATTTAAAAAAACCAAAACTGTCTTTGGTCCTTGTTTCAGGCCTTATCCCTACATATGTTTCAGGATTCTTGATTTGTTTTCTTTTCAAATCCATCATGTTCTTATTCTTCCATGTTATTTCTGTCTATGGCTTCTAAAAACATGCCCCTCATCCCTTTGTTAAGCAAGACAGGGATTTCAGGCCACATCAGTAATAGCAAAATCTTTAGCTACAACAGAAAACCATCATCTTACAACAGAATACCATCATCCAGTGGGCAGCAGACAAATATGCCCATCCCTTCATCTCGTCCTTCTCTTTTTACCAGTGCTGAAAAGAAGGGGTAGCATTGTCCCTGCATTTTATGCTCTCTGTAGGTTTTGTTTTCTCTTTCAAATTTCTGCTCTCCTTTCAACAAGACTAGATACAAATACTTTATTTTGACACAGTCCCTTAGAAATCAGGAGAAATTGAACAGATTCACTTAACTCAATCAATTTCTAGAAAATCTGTCTCTGAATAACACAGCCGATTTACACATGGTAAGTAAAACAGGAATTGGCAAATATTTTCTGAACTTGTAAAATGTTTTTAAGACACTCTGATGAGTCAGTGTTTAATCCCTTCCCCCATAAATAGAATGAAATATCTTTGCCATGTTTTCTTTTAAGTAAATATATTTTAAAACTGTGCCTACATAGTGTTCCAAATTTCTTTTCAGCTGTCTCTGTGAATGGACATAGCAGCTGGAATGAAGGAGAACACATCACACCTCAACTTCGAATTTCCTGCCTTTTGTTTTCTTGAATCATAGCCTTGATGTTGTTTAAATAGTGTGCTATGCATTTAATTTCCTTCTTCTCTTCACAAAGACCAAACAATTTTTAAAAACCACCCCGTCTTTCACAGCGGGTTATAAAAGTGTTCTTGAGTTGAAATTGAACTGGTCTCTTATTTAAACATATAAATATATATTTAGTCATTCTAACCCATTGTCATTTATTTTATTGGTTGACTACTTAAGCAGAAATGTATTTGTGCACATTTTATCCATGTCGTGTGTTTTACATTTAAAGATAACACCGCTGATAGTGGCTTCTAATTGTGTGCACAGATGGTTGAGCAAAGAACATGCACCTTCCAAGGTACATGTATGCAAAGTCTGTCCTTCACTGTTAGCAGACTGTGTTGTTTGTGACTCTCCTTCTTCTTCTCAGGTCCTCCCAGAAGAGCCAAAGATATGTAGAGTTAGAAGGGCATTTAGATATTATTAAGCCTGACTACCAGCTGAACCAGGCACCCAACATTCTCCAGCCTCTGCTTGCAACTTTCAGTGTTAAAACATTCAGCTCTTCAAAAAGGCAGCCCATTTCATTGTCAGTTATCTCTAATTATTAGAAAATGCTTCCTTTAATTGAGCCAAAGATTTCCTTCATCTAACTTCCACCTATTTGTAGTGCCCTTTAGACCTACACAGAATAAGTACAGAGGAGTCTTCTCACGTCTTCTCTTTTGTCTTCTCCAAATGAAGATTTATCATTTCCTTAAGGAGTTCCTCATTATCCTGATAACTGTGTCTGAACCCATATCAATTTGTCAATTTTCCCCTTTGATGTAGCTCCTGAAACTCCTGGTATGGCCTGACCAATGTAGTAATACAGAGAAAGCCACACCTCCCCCTTTCTTCTTTAATTCTTGTATAACTAACTTATACTTCAAAGCTTTTATATATTTTTCATATGTAGTTAAGTAATATTTATTACAGCTAGTGTTTGTCTATTTGAATATTGGATCTAAAATGTAGGACTTTGCAATTAAATCTCATCTTGCTTCCTGCTTCCTATTTGTCCAGAGTTATTTTTGCCAGTTCTATCAACAAACACTTTAGTTTTCCCTTCAAGCTTGGTTTCATCTGAAAAGCTGAAAAACATAGCCTTTATGTCTTCATTTAAGCCATGGATGAAAACATTGCATCGTGTTGGGCTCAATATGGAGCTTCTTGATCTGGTATCAAAGACTCCTACCTCTCTTAAGTTTGTATTAATTTATTAATCAACTTACCCCATTAATATTCCTTCAGCCACTCATCTCTGGCCAAATATCTGTCTTATTCAAAAATATATAAGAGAAATTTTATCAAATGGTTTAGTCAAATTATGCTAAATCAAAACAACACTTTCTTGACCTACAAATTAACAATCCAATCACAAGTGGATTAGATGTCCCTCCTAAGTGCTTCAATAGCAAACTATACTTATGCTTGTTACAGCAACTAATATGTTGCATTGTAATCATGTATTTATATATATTTTTGTGCCAATTAGATTTTAGGTTCTTTGGTGGCAAGGACTAACTCTTTTTTATTTACCTCTATATTCCTATTACTTACTGGTGGGTAGTAGATACTCAATAGATGCTGGTTAAGTGAATGAATAAATTAAGAGTGGGATAATGTAATAGAAGAAGTCATTTGGCAGGATAAGTTGAGTCTAAAGTGTCTGTACGTAAGTGGAGTAGATTTCCACCTTAGTAGGTTAGGTGAAATTAGGAGAAAGGGTTGCCTTGACAATACGGATTTTAGAATAATTAGGATAATAAGTGAAGTTAAAACCAAGACCATGAGTAGATTGCTTAGGGAGACAGTGTTGGGTGAAAATGAAAGGGAGGCAATAAGGCATATTGAATAAGGAGATGAAATTCTAGTGTGAAACTGCCTGAATATAAATAAGTTCTGCCACTTTCTTGGACAAGTAACAACCTCATGGGCTTCGTATTAGAAGAAGCTTCTGTCAAGATGTAGCAGGAGAAGCCTGATTTCAGTGGCCAGAGGACAGGCTAGGAGGTAAGCAAGTGGAGACAGCATGTATTGATGATTCTTGCAAAGGTTGACTGTTCAGGGAGAGAGGACAGAGGCTGAACATGGGAGGAGGTCAAGGAATTCCTTTGCTTGTTTGTAAGACAGACTTGATATGCACAGGGTTATAGGCTGGGGAGAAAGTAGTCATCTGAGAACAAAAGAATTTGGAATTACAGAATAGAAAGAAGATAATTAGGTAAGAACAAGACCCAAGAATAAACAGGAGGTAGGAAGAAGTCTCAAAAGGAAAAAAGAGAGACCTCTGTACCTCATCAGCCCATCATATCCTTGATAACAAAAGAAGTATGGTACTTATCTTTGTATAGCAGGTGGTTAATGAATGCTGAGGCCATTTTCTAGGGTGGGAAGAAAGGGAGATAGTATGGTATGCATAGCTGTAGGTAGGTGAGGGCAGCAAGCCAATGAGCTCTGTATGCTCTGTGGGATGAGCAATGATGACATCTGAGAAAGAAGACTCTAGGGTTGAGGGGTTGAGTAGTGAGCTTGAAAAGAACAGTTGAGGGGGTACCCAGAGGGAGCAGACCAGGGTCAGTTATGAGGATAATTGGTGGAAGCAAGACAGGGGTTGATTATTCAAAACGCAAACTGTGTTTATTGAGCAGCTACTATGTGCCAGGCACTGTTCTAGGTGAACAGTAAACATAGCAGTGAACAAAACAGAGATTTTCTCTGCCTTCGCAAAGCTCACATTTTAGTGGATGAGACAATCAAGTAAACAAATATGGATAATTTCAATAGTGTGTTATGAAGGAGGTTAGCAAGGTAACGTGACTAGACTAGACATTGACTAGAGGTGGAAGGGGATAGCATTTGCATGTACAGTAGTCAAAGAAACCCTCACTGAAAAAGTAACATTTGAGTTAAGCTGAAGGAAGAGCAGTGGGGTCCTGATTAATTCGCTCTCAAAAGAGAAGAAAGAAAGCCTTGATTTGTAGGTTTGCTGATTTTCATGGTGTAAAATTACAACAGCCAATTTCCAGGCACTAACATACATGACATTACTGAATGCAGAGCTGGGAAGAAAGGCACACATTTAGTCCTGGATCTAGATGAAGAGCAGGTCAAAAGACACTGCAGCAGGAAGGAGCTCAGGATGATTGGAAATGGGAAATAGGCTACTGGGGAGGGAAGAGTGTGGAGAGTCAGAGAGATTGGCAAATGCTAGATTTTCCAAGCTGGATGGTGTTTTAAATGAAATGCGATTAAATCTAATTTACATTGTTAAAAGATCATTCTCATTGTTATGAGGAGAATGAATATGGGCAATAATCGAAGCAGGTAGCCATTTAGGAGTTATTGAAGTTATCCAAGCAAGAATTAGAATGAGGAGGTGGGAAAGAAATGATGCGAATAAATTTGGGAACATATTTTGGAGGCAGAAAAGAGGAATTATTGGTGGATTGGACGTTACAATTTAAGGAAGGGATCACAAAAGAATAATTCCTAGGTTATTATCTTGACCAACTGGGAGATTCCTGATGTCATTTATTGAAATGTAGAAGAGTGGGGGAAAATAAGTTTGGGTTTTGAAACCAATTTGAGATGCATATTAGGCATTCAAGTGAAAATGTCAGGTAAGCATTTACATACATGAATCCAGAACTGAGGGAAAAGATATAGATTTCCAACTCATTTGCATAAAACATGACAGTTGAATGGCTGGACTTGTTGGAATTAAGTAGAGTGTGTTGGTAGAGTAGATTAATCCCTGAGGAGCTCAAGTATTTAGTGGTCAGCTAGAAAAGAAGTCAGCAAAGGAGACCAGACAGAATGAACAATGAAAAAAGAGAGAAATGGGTCATTGTGCTGTCACAGAAGCCTAGAGGAGAAAGTATTTCAAGAAGGAGGAAGTGGTCACTGTGTTGAATGTTGCTGAAAGGTCAAGTACCATGCAGACAGAGAAGTGCTCATGAGTGAAGCAACATGGAGGCCATGGATCATCTTGAGAAGAGACATTTCAGGCCCTGGTGATACAGAGTGAATCAGGGTGATATCATCAAGTCTGACATGGCAAAGCAGAAGCTTACTTAGACTGATCCATCCCAAAGGTCCTCTCTCCCCTGGAGAAGCTAGTAGAAGAGAGCAGGAGACTAACAGGCTCTCTCAGTCCACCCACTAAATAGCTGTGCAATTCTAGCAAGCCAAGAAACCTCTCTGGACTTTCATCTTCTCATCAGTAAAATTAGATGCTCTGAAATTCCATTTAATCATTTATTCATTCAGCAAATTAGTATCCAGCAGCTGTTCTATGCCAGGTCCTGAATATGAAGAAGACCATGTCTCTGTCTTTGAATGATTGTCTCTGATGTACGGACTTGCATCATAAACTTTTTTGTGTATATATGTGGCTTACCTCCTCAATGATACGGTAAGGTCCTTGAGACTGTATCTTCTTCATCTTAGTATCTCCCATAGGCCCTTATACAGTGACTGGCACATATTGTGCACTTAATATTGGGGTCATAAATATAATGTTGTACTATTAAAAATATTTATTTTTTATGATTAATATACAAATCCTGACTCTATCATTCATTATTTGGGCAAGTTACTTATCTTCTCTGTGCCCCAGTTTCCTTAAGTGTAAAATTGGGATAATAACATCAAAATCATAATATATTGTGGGAATTAAAATGGGAGTCTGGTATGTAATAAGCTATTATTCTTAATAATACATACTCATGGTAGAAAAGCCAGAAAAAAACAAAATTTATAAAGAAGTAAACTAGATTTTTTTACAACTTCACAACTAGAGATAACCATTGCTAATATTTTGGTGTATGTCCTTCTCACTCTTTCTCTGAATGATACAATGAGTTATATCTTGCACTCAAGTGGCTCAAATAGCAGTTGTAGATGATGGGGCTTTTATTGGAAATAGCATATAGAGCTCTTAATATCATGTCTTTTGCTTTCCCTTCATGCAAAAGAGATGTTATGTCCATGCTATTACATTTTAACATATATAATAAAAACTCCCAATTATCTGAGTGTTTGCAGTTTTAATTCTAAGCATTTAATATACATTTTCTTATTGACTTGACATAATAATCCTTTGCCATTTTATTGATGAGGAAAATGAAGGTTAGGGAATGCGGCATTATAATTGTTCATTGGTATCCACTTCTGTCTTCTTTCTGCGCACATGGAAGTAGCTATGCTCTGCCATATGGATATTAGTTGTGGTCATATGAATTCTGTCCAGTGAAAAGGAAGCAGAAGTAATGTTGTTTTTCCTGGATAGGAACATTTAGTTGTTGATGCTTAATTCTCCACTTAACCTTTCTTGTGCCATGGTGACCCAGGAAACCAGTGTAGACGTGAATGGTTAATGCTGAGCCATCATGAAGACAACAGCTGTGCTAGAGAGCTGCCCATACCTGTATGAGACTTTGCTTAAGCAAGAAATAAACATTTCTTGTTTTAATCCATTGAAATTTTGAGATTGTTTTTTACTGCAGCATAAGCTGGCCTATCTAGACCAATTGAGGGTACTTAAAAGACTCCCCAAAGCCACAAAGCTAGTAAGTAGTGCAACCAGGATTTGGATCAAGACCTGTGTGACCCAAAGCCCATGTCTAATAGCTTATCTGAGAAGAGCCAGGTAAAGATTTGGTGAGAAACAGATAATAGACCTACTCTAGCAGTTACTGTCATCAGCTTTCTTATGTCACTGTGAATGTGATGATAATAGCATTATCTCTGAAGTTATATAGTATTTCTCCAGATCTGCACATGTTGGGGAAAAATAAGCAAAACAAAATGACCTTACCATTGATGATGGGATAGATGTTTTAGACATGTGAGAATAAGGGAAAAAGTTATGTTAAACTTGTGAAGAAAAAGAGGGCAGATAGCAAACATGGGAAACATTAAAATTAAATACTATTAATAATAATCTTTTACCCAGAAAGAAGTTTTAATCATAAATCTTTTAGAGTATCTCTGGGAAGCTAATTCAAGGATCAAAGTGAAAGAAGCAAAGGTGTTAAAATTGGTTAAGTCAGTCGAAAGGTTTGAAACACAGAAATTGCTGAATCCCAGCCAGGTTGAATGATTAAAAGAGGACAATACAGGCAAAAAACAAAATCAAGGTAGTTTTCAGACAAAAACTGTTAAAACAGCATCAAGTCCTGTGTTGTTTGAAGGACTATGACAGTAATCCCATAACTTGTGGAAAGAGTCCTTCACCACCAGCATCTAATTGCTGGCATGTCTTTTCCAAGAATGGAGGCAGAAGCTGTAGTTAACTTTTGTCTACTTCATCCTTCATAATGGAAGATCTATTAAGATTGAATATTAAATTATTCGAAGAAATTAAAGACAGCATCTTCTTATTGTCTCTTATCCATGAGCACAGTCTGATCAAATTAGTAATTTCTTAAAACCAGAACATAAATAGGAAAAGGAATCTCTTTCTTAGATCAGCAGACAAGGAAGGAAATGGCTCCAACTGCCTATTTCCCTAATCCCAGGACAGGATATTTTCATAGTCCTTGCACTCTCTCTTTAGGGATAGATGTGATGGGTGACAAATGAGGTCTTAATGACTCCCCCTAGACCGAAGTTTAGATGTCTGTGAGTCTCTGCCAAGGCTCTTGTCCAGGGAGAACCAAAGGAAGGGGATTGGGTCTTGGTGCATCATTCAAATAGAATGAATGTAGCATCAACTACAATAACCCTGGGCCGTGACAAGGATTCCAGCATCTTCTAGTGCTCCTCACCAGCTCCATTCATGAAAATTAGGCCTACTCCTCCCACGGCCATCTCCATCATGGCTTCATCAGCACTGGTTTAATTGCTTTATCTAATATAAGAAATTTATAATTAATAATTTAAAAATTGTATGGTCAAGTTGTGCTGAGCATTGCAAGGTTGTCTCTAATGTCCTGACACTCTAAACCCATAAATTATCAAGTGCTAAACTCAAATAATGTTTATTCTACCTTTCCTCTTTTGGAGACCATCATAATATTGTATAAGGAGTTCCTCACAATAAGGATGTGCTTTTGGCATCTTGATGGAGACTCCTTCTGCTGGTACAGTGTGTAAAAGTACTGTGGTCCTGCATCAACCCTCCTTATGAGTGTAAAGAGAGGCCCATGTGGCTGGGCTCAGTGGCTCACGCCTCTCATCCCAGCACTGTGGGAGGCCAAGGCGGGAGGATCACGAGGTCAGGAGATCGAAACCATCCTGGCTAACACGGTGAAACCCCATTTCTACTAAAACACAAAAAATTAGCCAGGCATGGTGGCATGCAACTGTAATTCCAGCTACTCAAGAGGCTAAGGCAGGAGAATCACTTGAACCTGGGAGGCAGAGGTTGCAGTGAGCTGAGATCGCGCCACTGCACTCCAGCCTGGGTGACAGAGCAAGACTCCATAAAAAAAAAAAAAACAGAGCCCCATGTACTACAGATCTGTTTATAATTTCCTAGCTTGTTGGCCTAAAGCACAGCTTGGGTTTCCAGGGACATAGAACAGGCCACTAACTGGTGGCTTGGTGACATTAAGTCTCTCCAACTACAAGTCACAACTTGCCTTCAGTCAGAGTTCTTGTTCTTTCCAATCAGCTCTCAGCATTTCTCTGCTCACAAAAGGAAAATCCCAATTTCTATGCTGGCAAAAAGTATATGAAGAGTCCACATTTGTTCAACAAACATTTATTAAACACCTACCATGTCCTGGCCTTGTGCTAGATAGTAAGGGCTCAGACTCAAATTATACCTCCTTCCAAATAAGTAGTAAGAACTTGGAGTTGGATAGAACCCCAAGATCTGTTTGGAATTTTGGCTTCGTTTTTTACTAGCTTTGTGACTTTGTGCTAGAAACAACTTCTCTAAGCTTTTTTTTTCCTCTCTCTAAAACATGGACAATAAGAGTGTTCATCTAATTAGGATCATGTGACTATTTAATGAATGGACATAGTGAGTTAGAACAGTGCCTAGCACATAATTAGATCTCATCAAATGTTAATTCTTCTCACTATTGTTATTCTCATCTTACAGGGAAGCTGAGAATGAGAGAAATGAAGTAATTTGTTAGTAAGAGCAAGAGCTAGAACAAACTAGGTCTACCTGAAACCATGCTATATCCTGTTTTTCCAACATTAACATGTTGGAAGGCCTAGATGTTTTCCATCTCTCCATTCCAACATCCACATGGCTGTTTCATCCTAAACCTGGTTCATATCGCAATTGTAGGATGGCTGATGTGGAAGTCAGGACTGTCATTCCTGGTTCCTGTCCACTGGGAGAAAAAGATTAAACCCATCCATGTGTCTGTCATTTGAGAGCAAGAAGAAACATTCACAGCAAACCCATCTTGCCATCACTTTGGTCAAAACCAGGTCACATGGCCACTGAGCCACTCATTTATAGGTGGGGTGGAAATGTCCTTGGAGTTTTGGGCCCCTTGGAATTTTCAGGGCACCTCCTTACTGATTTCCTTACTCACTTACTTACTTTATTTATATTCCTTATAACTTTTAAGACTGGAAAGATTTAAGTATGTTTAACTATCTGTAGTTCAAGCCGTGATCGATAATAGATTGTAACAGAGAAAGATGGTAAAAGTGATAGCATAAAGTTCCCATAAATGAGGAAGAGGATAGGAGCCAAAGCATTGGTGGGCAATGGGGAGAGTTGTTCTCAAGTGAGAGAAGGACCCCTCCTCCATTATAACAGGAGACACAGAGCAGATGGGTCCCCATCTAGGTAGGTGACTGGCCAACCTTGCTCCCTTCAGAGGTCTGAGTCAAAGCCACCCACAGCACACTTTTAGCTGAATCTACTTCCAAAGGGACAAGTTTTCGCTATCTAAGCAGGTGCGTAACCCACCAGAGGAAATTATTGAAAAGTGTGTCCTCACCCACAGTGCTAGCATTTTTAGCTGGGCTTTTTTTTTTTTTTTCAATCAAGATTTGACATTGAAGAATGTGTTCTAAGAAGCATAGAGTGTTTAGTTTCCTCTTTGGATAATGCGTCCTCCTCTAATCACTGATACCTCATGACAAGCTCTGGCTCTGCTTTGGACAAAGTGACCCAGAAAGCCACAGGCTTGTGGGTCAAGATAAATATGAAAGCTAAGAATACACCATCCACATTTATCAAAGTTCCGTTAAAGAAAGCAATTTCCTCCAAAATATTTATTATTTACTAAGGAAAAACAGTAATTTCACAGCAGAAAAAAACCTGGCAGACACCAATTAACCAATCTATTAAAGTTAATATCACCAGTAATGAGACATATTGACTTCATGTACTCCTTGATAGGATGAACTCAGAAGGGCACAGCCCTTTTGTGGTATTCATGATGATAATGCATTGCCATGATCTAAATATGTGAAAACATCAGACCAACTCAAATCAAAAGACATTCTACAAAAACTGACTTCAAAAGAACTGAGGTTGTGCAAATGTCCTTCGACAATTGAATGCCTAAACAAACTGGTCCATCAAACCATGGAGTACGACTTAGCAAGAAACATGAATGAATTATTGACCAATGCAACAACATGGATGGATCTCAAGAAAATTAGGCTGAGTGAAAAAAAGCCAATCTCAAGAGATTACATACTGTATAACTCTATTTATATGATATTCTTGAAATGACAAAACTATAGAGATAGAGAACAAATTAATGGCTGCCAGGGATTGGGAGCTGGGGATAAACGGAAATAGCTATAGAAGGGTAGCACTGGGGGTCCTTGTGATAGAACTGTTCTCTGGTAGTGGCCATATGAATCTACACATGTGATAAAACTGCACAGAACTGATACAAACAGACACACACACACACACACACACACACTGATACACACAGGTCCATGTGAAACTGGTGAAATCTGAAGAAGATCCATGTACCTCATCAATGTGAATTTCCAAGTTGTGATATTATGCCATAGTTATTGAGATGTTACCAATGGGGGAAACTAGGTGAGGAATATAGGGATCTCTCTGTATTATTTCCTGCAACTGCATGTGAATTTAAAGTTATCTCAAAATAAAAAGTTTTAAAAACATATGTTGAAGTTGTCAAGAAAAATTTGGGACAATTACAGATTGGAAGAGACTAGGGAGTCGTGATAACTAAAGGCAATTTGAGATCCTGAATTGGATCCTGAGCCAGAAAAAGGATACTAGTGGAATAACGTCTGTAGTTAGGCCCATAGTGTCGTACCAATGTTCATTTCTTATTTATGATCAATGTATTATTGTTAAGTATGACAGTAACACTAGGGAAAGCTAGTTGAAGGATATACAGGAACTCTCTGTACTATTTTTGTAAATTTTTCTATAAGTTTAACATAATTTCAAAATAAAAAACTAAATAGTCTATGAGAAAAGATTTCTTCTATCTTAATTAATAAAAATCTGATAACTGCTTTTTAAACCTATATTGAAAAGCTAGTAATTAGAGTAAGCGAAATTAAAAACTAAGTGAAAACAAAGGGCATATGTAATTTCACAATATTTTTACCTATAGATTTCTACAAGGTTAGAACCATTGACAGCAGCTGTAATATAAAATCCTCTTCCATTTTTCCTTCCAAGTGACTCTACAGTCCACTCTGTTAAATTTCCCCATCTGGTGCTCATATCTTAGAGCAACTCTCTGCTCCTGATCGTCCTGTCCTGTGAACGTTCTACCTCCTGCTCCCCTCACCTGCCCTTTGTAGTGGAGACTCAAGCTGGTCCTGTGGCCATTTTGGCTGGTTCCAGTGAACCCACCCAGGCTGTCTCTAGTCTAGAAGGGTGACCCACCATGATTCAGCACTCTTTACTACAGGATGGGTTGAAATGCTCAGTAAAGATCCCACCACATGTCATAAATATGAGATAGATTTCTCCACACCCCTGGTCTCAGTGTCACACTCTCAGGTCCAGGGAACTCAGAAAAGACAACTGACTCCCACCCAGAAGTTGCACTGTGCAGGCATGTTCTTGGGTTCAGCTTCCGCCATGTTCCTAGACCAAGTTATCTAAACAAGCCAGGTTTTGCTTTGGAGACTTTTTTCCTTCCTTTAAATAAGTACTTTTCCAAGCATGGAATTCAGAGGAGAGGTCACTTTTTCTTCATGGGAATCTGTCTGCTTTCTTTTTATGGTCATTTCTATATCAAGAAGGTCCTAGGTCCAGTAAACCATGAGGTATTCTAGCAAAGCTCTGAGCAAGTATCCCCACGTTCACTTGCTGTCTCACCACCTCAAGTCTCATTCAAAGGCCACACTCCTCCAGTTCCCTTAGTCTCCGATTTTTCTGCTCAAGTGGAAAGAAATACTTAATGCTACACCATTTGTTTCTTCTTTGGGTTCTTATCTTTGCAGCTCTGGTCCATGGCTGACTGGTCTGGTTTTCATCCATCTAACTGGAGAGGTTATAGCAGGATGGACAGAAGTTTGGACATAGTGGTCTGGGAAGACTTCTCCCATAAACCTGACTTGATGCATCTGTCCTGCTGGCAGCGGAGGCCCACCAGGCTTCCAGCTGGCTCTTCGCCTCTTCCCAGAGGCTCCATCGGATGAGGAGCTCCGTCATATTCTTTACTCTGGCAGAAGCAGTCTTCCTGTCCAAGATCCACCCCAGAGAGCTAGGCATGTCATAGGCCAGGTATGCTGCGAGCAGTCTCCCACCCCAGCAGGTACACAAGGAAGACCCAGACATTCAGCAATGAGAATCAGAGTGGGGGATCAGACTTGCCAGTCCTTGCTTCTTCAGACCCGTCTTCCTAAAAACAACCAAAAAATCCAGATCAATTGGGTGATTCTAGCTTACAATTGTCTATTTTATATTTCAAAATAACTGGAAGATAACAATTGGAATGTTTCTAGCTAAAGAAAGGACAAATATTTAAGGTGATAGATATACCAATTACACTGAGTTAATCTTTACAAATTATACAAATGTATGAAATTACCACATGTACTCCAAAAACTTGTACATCTATTATGTATCAATGAAAATAAAACTAATTAAAAACACAAAAAACAAAGCCCCCACATTCATCTTTGTCTGGTTATGTTAGGTGAACCAACAGAACTTAGAGCTAAGTTTCCAACATTCAGGCTCCTGAATAAATCTGTTCATTTTTATACAGAAGATCAGGCCTAGAACTTCAGGTACTTTATTTCCAAGCCAAAGTCCTCTGACACAAATGACTTTAAAGGAAATCTACCCATCCACCCAAATCCCACTAGTATAATGTTAAGAAAATCCACTGCATTAATATCTTAAGTTGTGGCTGACCAGGGGCATTGGCCATGAAGGAGAAGGGGAAATAGTCCAAGACAGGGAAGGAACTGTTTGGTATTTCAGGCCTGCCTCAAGGGTCTCTGTCACTTTGGTGAAGCTGCTAAGCTGAGAGGGTTTCCAGGTCTCACAGACCGACCTCTTCCCACTGGCAGTCTGTTGGCACTTACTGAAGGTTGGCTAATGACTGTCACATGGCTGCACTTTATATCTCTGCCCCAGGGCTCAGAGCACACTGCAGCCACAGCTCCAGGTACAAAGTGGCACCAGGAGGGACCAGCCACTGTGCTTTGCACCCAGCCTCACTGCACCTTCTGGTGCATCTGGAAGGTCCTGAAGGAGGAGTTCCAGGGCCCCGGCTGCCATGGGCCCTGAAGGTGGGGGAAATACTTCACGGAACTCAGTGACATTTTCTTTCTGTTTATTCTTTATGTTTTAATGGAATTCTGTGGTCCAGACTTGGTTTCAGGCTTCATGCTCTCAGAGTCAGCTAAAGTACAAAGGGGGCGGGGGGAAGAGAAAGTAGTGGGAAAAATTAGATTCTTGATTTGTGTCCAGATGGTACTGGACAAAAATAGACTCAGAGATTCTCACTGCAAACTTGCCTCTGGTATGAAGCTCCCCCCACCCCCCTTCATTTAAAATCTTCTTGGTAGAAGAGGGAATGGGAATGGGAAAAATACTGGGAACGTTCATTTTTCTTTTTCCCAGCCATATATTAAAAGTCTTGCACAGGTTCCAGTTGAGGACTTTTGTGCAAAACCAGGAGTCACACCACATGCAGGCGTCTGGGGTGATGTGATTTCAACCAACTTGGAAGAGCCCCTCGGTTGCTGGCCTGAAGGCAGGATGGAGGGAGCAGTGTGCTCTGCTGGCAGCCTCAGTGTGTGACATGCTGGGAAGCCCAGCAGCAGCTGGCCCAGCTGTGGCTCTGAAGGGCCCAACCTCAGCCTTTCTAGGAGCAAAGCAGCCACCCACACTCCCTCTGGTGCCATGTTCATGGAGCTCAGATCAAAAGGGACACAGGCCCTGGGGCTCTGGGCCCGCCACACCTTCAGGAAGCAGCAACATCCATACATGTGCAGTTCTCCACCGCTCAGAGAGAAGCTCACAGGGCTTTTTCGGTGCCTGCTGGAAGGCCAGGTACAGAGTAAAGGGCACACAGTCCTCCTGAGGAGAGCACGGAGAGCACTGAGGAAGTCCACTTGTTAGAAACACAAAAATGTGACAGATTTAACAGCTCATGTGAGATTCCCCAGAACATGGGCTTAATCACAAAACCAAAGCAACCCAGAACCCCATCCAAGCCAGCTTGAGGCCATACCCTGTGTGGTTCTCTCATCCCAAAGCTTATCCCAGAATTTCTATCATTCCTTGCTGTTCTCTGGGAGTGCAGTCCATGAGTTACCAAACAGAGCGGACGTCAAAGTCCAAGACCTCTCTCCATGGACTGGCAGCCCAGTGGTGGTCAATCAGATGCCAACAAAATGAGCAGAGGCCAGTTAGAAGGTGCTGCTTTTTAATGCAGCTTTCTCACAATTGGGTTTTCTTCCTAATATTTAGGAATAGTTCGGTGCTGGAGCTGGGCATGGGAATAGAGCCAAGCATTTGAGAGGCAGGGACCAGGCAGATGTCAGAAACAAGAACCAGCAGACGTCCAAAGAAGGCATCTGTCTGAAGGCCAGGATGCAAGGTGAGAGCTGCTACCAGCCACCAAGACAGACACTGCAGGAGAAGCACAGCCCAGGAAGTGGCCTTCAGGCACTGGGGTTTAGATGCAGGAACCTCTGTATAGTTGCCTGTGGCCACATCTGGGTTCAGGCCCTGATGTCTTTCAGAGCTTGAGGGTTTGAACTGAAACTGTTAAACTTCCTTAATCCTCTTCACCTGTGTGTTAAGTGTTTTCTCAATTTCAAATCAGCATTAGGTGGAACCTCATTGTATGGGCAATGCTATCAATATATTTGAAAAGAGAATAATATTTTGTTAATCTTTTTTAAAAAATCAGCTTCTGGATTCATTGATTTTTTGAAGGGTTTTTCGTGTCTCTATCTCCTTCAGTTCTGCTCTAATCTTAGTTATTTCTTGTCTTCTGCTAGCGTTTGAATTTGTTTGCTCTTGTTTTTCTAGTTCTTTTAATTGTGATGTCAGGGTGTTAATATTAGATCTTTCCTGCTTTCTCCTGTGGGCATTTAGTGCTATAAATTTCCCTCTAAACACTGCTTTAGCTGTGTCCCAGAGATTCTGGTATGTTGTGTCTTTGTTCTCATTGGTTTCAAAGAACTTATTTATTTCTGCCTTAATTTTGTTATTTACCCAGTAGTCATTCAGGAGCAGGTTGTTGAGTTTCCATGTAGTTGTGTGGCTTTGAGTGAGTTTCTTAATCCTGAGTTCTAATTTGATTGCACTGTGGTCTGAGAGACTGTTTGCTATGATTTCCATCCTTTTGCATTTGCTGAGGAGTGTTTTACTTCCAATTATGTGGTCAATTTTAGAATAAGTGCTGTGTGATGCTGAGAAGAATGTATATTCTGTTGACTTGGGGTGGAGAGTTCTGCAAATGTCTATTAGGTCCACTTGATCCAGAGCTGAGTTCGAGTCCTGAATATCCTTGTAAATTTTCTGTCTCATTGAACTGTCTAATATTGACAGTGGGGTGTTAAAGTCTCCCACTATTATTGTGTGGAAGTCTGAGTCTCTTTGTAGGTCTCTAAGGACTTGCTTTATGAATCTGAGTGCTCCTGTATGGGGTGCATATATATTTAGGATAGTTAGCTCTTCTTGTTGCATTGATCCCTTTACCATCATGTAATGCCCTTCTTTGTCTTTTTTGATCATTGTTGGTTTAAAGTCTGTTTTAGAAGAGACTAGGATTGCAACCCCTGCTTTTTTTTGCTTTCCATTTGCTTGGTAAATATTCCTCCATCCCTTTATTTTGAGCCTATGTGTGTCTTTGCATGTGAGATGGGTCTCCTGAATAGAATACAGCACACTGATGGGTCTTGGCTCTTTATCCAATTTGCCAGTCTGTGTCTTTTAATTGGGGCATTTAGCCCACTTTTATATTTAAGGTTAATATTGTTACATGTGAATTTGATCCTGTCATTATGATGCTAGCTGGTTATTTTGCCCATTAGTTGATGCAGTTTCTGCATAGTGTCGATGGTCTTTACCATTTGGTATGTTTTTGTAGTGGCTGGTACTGGCTTTTCCTTTCCATATTTAGTGCTTCCTTCAGGAGCTCTTGTAAGGCAGGCCTGGTTGTGACAAAATCTCTCAGCATTTGCTTCTCTATAAAGGATTTTATTTCTCCTTCACTCATGAAGCTTAGTTTGGCTGGATATGAAATTCTGGCTTGAAAATTCTTTTCTTTAAGAATGTTGAGGGCAACCCCGCTCGGGTCCCCTTCCACATTGTGGAAGCTTTGTTCTTTCACTCTTTGCAATAAATCTTGCTGCTGCTCACTCTTTGGGTCTACACTGCCTTTATGAGCTGTAACACTCACCGCGAAGGTCTGCAGCTTCACCACGAACCCACTGGGAGGAATGAACAACTCCAGATGCACTGCCTTAGGAGCTGTAACACTCACCGCGAAGGTCCATGGCTTCATTCCTGAGCCAGCGAGACCACGAACCCCAGCAGAAGGAAGAAATTCCGAACACATCCAAACATCAGAAGGAAACAACTCCGGACACGCCACCTTTAGGAACTGTAACACTCACCGCGAGGGTCCGCGGCTTCATTCTTGAAGTCAGTGAGACCAAGAACCCACCAATTCCGGACACATAGGGACAGCAATCCACTACTTGCCATGATGTACGATTGAAGCCTATCACCCCTTCTGCAGCAGTGGCTCCAGAGAGCATCAGTAAAGATGGCAAGATTGAAATCCAAGCAACAGGATTTCCACTGAATAGAAATTTCTGAGGAAAGTGTAAGGACAGGTGTGAGAACTCTGGTGGCAAGGATGAGGAAGCATCCCCCTTCTCAAACAGGAAAGAAGAGCCAAGAGGCCTGAAAAGGAGCTGGAGCCAAGAAGGTGAAAAGGAAGTGAGCAGCGTCTCTGCCTGGCCACCCATCATCTGGGATGTGAGGAGCCCCTCTGCCTGGTCGCCCCATCTGGGAAGTGAGGAGTGCCTCTGCCCGGCCGCCACCCCATCTAGGAAGTGAGGAGTGTCTCTGCCTGGTCGCCCATCGTCTGGGATGTGAGGAGCGCCTCTGCCTGGCCGCACAGTCTGGGAGGAAGTGAGGAGCGCCTCTGCCCGGCTGCCCCGAATGGGAAGTGAGGAGCACCTCTGCCTGGCCACCCCCTCTGGGAAGTGAGGAGTGCCTCTGCCCAGCCGCACCATCTGGGAGGAAGTGAGGAGCACCTCTGCCCGGCTGCCCCAAATGGGAAGGGAGGAGCGCCTCTTCCTGGCTGCCCCCATCTGGGAAGTGAGGAGCGCCTCTGCCCGGCCGCCACCCCACCTAGGAAGTGAGGAGCATCTCTGCCTGACTGCCCATTGTCTCGGATGTGAGGCGCACCTCTGCCCGGCCACCCAGTCTGGGAAGTGAGGAGCACCTCTGCCCGGCTGCCCCATCTGGGAGGTGAGGAGCGCCTCTGCCCGGCCGCCCCGTCTGGGAGGTGAGGAGCGCCTCTACATGGCCGCCCCGTCTGGGAAGTGAGGGGCGTCTCTGCCCAGCTGCCCCATCTGGGAGGTGAGGGGTGCCTCTGCCCAGCCGCCCCACCTGGGAAGTGAGGAGCGCCTCTGCCTGGCCGCCCTTCGTCTGGGAGGTGGGGAGCGCCTCTGCCTGGCCGCCCCGTCTGGGAAGTGGGCGCCTCTGCCTGGCTGCCCCGTCTGGGAGGTGAGGGGCGTCTCTGCCCAGCCACCCCATCTGGGAGGTGAGGCAGCCCCGTCTGGGAGGTCAGGAGTGCCTCTGCACGGCCACCCCATCTGGGAGGTGAGGAGCGCCTCTACACGGCCGCCCCGTCTGGGAGGTGAGGAGCACCTCTGCCCGGCTGCCCCGCCTGGGAAATGAGGGGCGCCTCTGCCCAGTGGCCCTTTGTCTGGGAGGTGGGGAGCACCTCTGCCCAGCTGCCCCGTCTGGGAAGTGGGCACCTCTGCCTGGCTGCCCCGTCTGGGAGGTGAGGGGCATCTCTGCCCAGCCGCCACCCCATCTGGGAAGTGAGGAGCGCCTCTGCCCAGCCGCCACCCCGTCTGGGAGGTGAGGGAAATCTCTGCCCGGCTGCCCCGCCTGGGAAGTGAGGGGCGCCTCTGCCTGGCTGCCCTTCATCTGGGAGGTGAGGAGCGCTTCTGCCCAGCCACCCCATCTGGGAGGTGGGGAGCGCCTCTGCCCAGCCGCCCCATCTGGGAGGTGGGGAGCGCCTCTGTCCAGCCACCAACCCATCTGGGAAGTGAGGAGCGCCTCTGCCTGGCCACCCCGTCTGGGAAGTGAGGAGCACCTCTGCCGGGCTGCCCCGTCTGGGAAGTGTTCCCAACAGCTCTGAAGAGACAGCGACCATCGAGAATGGGCCATGATGACGATGGTGGTTTTGTCGAAAAGAAAAGGGGGAAATGTGGGGAAAAGAAAGAGAGATCAGATTGTTACTGTGTCTGTGTAGAAAGAAGTAGACATAGGAGACTCCATTTTGTTCTGTACTAAGAAAAATTCTTCTGCCTTGGGATGCTGTTAATCTATAACCTTACCCCCAAACCCCTGCTCTCTGAAACATGTGCTGTGTCAACTCAGGGTTAAATGGATTAAGGGCGATGCAAGATGTGCTTTGTTAAACAGATGCTTGAAGACAGAAAAAAAAAAAGAAAGAGAAAAAAAAAATCATTGAAGGATTATTTATGCCCTATGGCATCCCTTTCTCCAACACTTGTCACCTAATGACCAGGGATCAATACCCACAAATACAGTAAGACCTATTTTTAAAGGTTTTCAGCTTAACTGTTTTGTCTCTTAATAAATTTTTATATAGGAAAAAAAAAAGAATGTTGAATATTGGCCCCCACTCTCTTCTGGCTTGTAGAGTTTCTGCAGAGAGATCCACTGTTAGTCTGATGGCTTCCCTTTGTGGGTAACCCAGTCTTTCTTTCTGCCCTTAACATTTTTTCCTTCATTTCAACCATGGTGAATCTGACAATTATGTGTCTTGGTGTTGCTCTTCTCAAGGAGTATCTTTGTGGTGTTCTCTGTATTTCCTGAATTTGAATATTGGCCTGTGTGGATAGGTTGGGGAAGTTCTCCTGGATAATATCCTGAAGAGTGTTTTCCAACTTGGTTCCATTCTCCCAGTCACTTTCAGGTACACCAATCAAATGTAGGTTTGGTCTTTTCACATAGTCCCATATTTCTTGGAGGCTTTGCTCATTCCTTTTCATTCTTTTTTCTCTAATCTTGTCTTCAAGCTTTATTTCATTAAGTTAGTTTATATTTGACTGTGCTTTATACTTGACAAAGCACTTTCACATTTCTTGTCTTTTTTGGGCCTGATAATTACTCTGCAAGTTAAAAAGGAAAAACTCCAAGTACCATTACGCTCCGTGAGGACAGGGACTATTTTGTTCATTGTTGCAACCTAAGCACTTAATATGTTGCCTGGTCCAGAGTAGATACTCATATATAAATACTTGCTGAATAAAGGGATGAATGGGTGGGTGGTTAGATGAATGGAATTTGCCTTAATTTTCAAGATGGATTCAATTTCCAATTCCACTTACTGGTGAGAAGCCTTGTCTAAGTCTTTAAACCTTACTTTCCTCATCTATAAAACAGTGACAATGATATTGTTTCTGCTACCACAATGGAAAAAAGGACAGAATTACTTAGTGTCATAGTGATCAGGAATAAAGCCAGGGCTTGAAGCATCTCCTGATTCCTAGGGCATTGTTTGTCCCAATGTATATGGCAGAGGGAGAAAGAAAACCGTTGAGTCTTAATCTGTCAGGCACTATTTTATGAACTTTAAAATCCTCATAGCAGGGCCAGGTGCAGTGGCTCACACCTGTAATCCCAGCACTTTGGGAGGCCAAGGCAGGCAGATCACTTGAGGTCAGGACCAGCCTGTCCAACGTGGTGAAACCACATCTCTACTAAAAATACAAAAATTAGCCAGGCGTGGTGGTGCATGCCTATAATCCCAGCTACTTGGGAGGCTGAGGCAGGAGAAATGCTTGAACCTGGGAGGCAGAGGTTGTGGTGAGCTGAGATTGTGCCACTGTACTCCAGCCTGGGCAACAGAACAAGACCCTATCTCAAAAAAAAAATCTCATAGCAGCTTTATAGAGTAAGTATTATTATTCCCAATTTACAGATGAAAAAAATTAAGATTTAGAGAAGTAAAGTGACTTGCCCAAGTTTCCACACAGTTAGGATGGGATTAGAATGCAAGTCTACTGACTTCAAAACCCATTTTCTTTCGCCACCTGCAGTATTTTCATATTAGCTCACACTAAATCCAATGTTGGAGGCCTCCCACTTTCCCCATCCACTTTGGAAATAAGATTGGCAATATCTGCCAGTGACTCCAGTCCCGCAGAGAAACAGCCAGCCGAGTGGTCATCATGGTTTTAACTATCGACCAACACGTAAAAACAATCTTGCAAAGTTGGAGTATTTTGGCAAAATCATGGCTATCCATTGCCACATTCTAGATAATCAAACCACTTCTGGTTGCCTAAATGTTTAATTCCAGACCATTTGAAAAATAGCAGGTAATGGTAACCTTTATGAGACTGATTCTATGGAACCATTTATGGCCCAAAATAAACTTGAGGTATATAAAGATTTACTGTGGAAGTCGCGGTGTAGGAAAACCTGCAGGAAAATGAAAACAGGGTTTAGTCTAAACCTTTTCATAGCCTTTCTATTATAGTAATTGGCTGAGTTATCTTCCATCCAGGAAGCAGGTATACAAAGCAACATGAGACTCAAAACTCTGATTCAGAATGTTCCAATGTGGGACACACCTGTGCTCAGGAGGAAGGAAAGAAAAATGGGGTAGAGGAGAAAGAAAAAGCTTTAATCCTGGAACAAATGGAAACTCTTAACATGCAGGACTCAAACATGCCGGTCTCCAAGATGTGTTTCTCTATTAGTTAAAGCTCAGCTACAAGTGACAAAGAACTCAGCCCAATTAGTCTAAAGCCAAATATTAATTTATAAGTCTATATAACTTACAAGTCTGAATGTTTGTATGCCCCTCAAAATCATATATTGAAGCCGCCAATGTGATGGTATTTGGAGGTGGGGACCTTGGGATATGATTAGGTATAGGTGAGAGTGGGGCACTCATGGTGGGATTTTAGTGTTGTTATAAGAAGGACCAAAAATTTCTCTCTCTCTGTCTCTCCTCTGGGCAATGTGAAGATACAGTAAGTAGGCTGCCAGCTGCAAGCCAGGAAGAGGGCCCTCACCAGAAGCCAACTATGATGGCACCCTGATCTTGGACTTCCCAGTCTTCAGAACTGTGAGAAATAAATGTCTGTGGTTTAAGCCACCCAGTCTCTGGTATTTTGTTATAGCAATGCCCACAGACTAAGGCATATGTCCAGCCTCAGGCACGGCTGGCTAGAGGGATCAAAGCTGTCCTTATCACCTTGTTAATCTGTCCCCGTATCTCAGCTCTGCTTACTCACCCAAGGCTCCATTGTCAAGAAAAGCTCATGTCCCAGTGCAACCCAAGCAGCTCCAGCTTACATTGCCTCAGGTTTAAGTTGGAAGGACAGCCTACTTTGAGGTCTCTCCTCCCAGCAGAATCTCATTGCATCTCACTGAGCCTGTCAGGGCCACATGCCCACTCCTGAACCGAGCTCTGTAGCCAGGGAAAGTGATGTGCTGATTGCCTTAGGCCTAGGCCACAGGCTTCACCCCTGAGCCTGTGGGTGGAGCATCACTCAAAGAACCCAGAATAAGGTGAGGCCACCAGCTCATCAAAGGACATGGCGAGGGTGCTGAAGACACAAAGAACACAGCCTACCAAGCAGCTTAACAGAGGCTGGGTGGGAGCCAGGCCAGATCTCAAAAAGAAACCCTCAGGACCAAGAAAAGAGTGATACAGCAAATAAACAGATCAACACTAGAAAGTAAATAGATCAACATCGGCAAATAAAACACTGACTTTTCCCAATAATCTTGTAACTGAGTTTGTTATTGAGCCTTGAAATATTTTAAACTGAATTATAAGTTAAGAGGGGAAATTTGTTGAGATGAAAATTCATACCTTATGTAGCTTAAGCTTCAAAACCCAGAACCCAGGACTCTGTAAAAAGGTTGTTTATCCTAGAGAAATGCTTTCTTATTAAATAATGTACAGGTGTGCCTCGCTTTACACTGTGCCTGTATTCCTAAAACACTGTGCGTAAATTGAATTTGCGATTCTTTTTTCAAATCTGGGGCACTGAAAGGGGCATTGCAAAATGCATTTCTGATATGTGGAAAATCTCCCTATTTTCTCTATATGTTTGAGTTGTAGCTTACTGGTTTTTTGTAAAGTGGATCCTCTTGGTATCCTTACACACACACACACACACACACACACACACACACACAGAGAGAGAGAGAGAGAGAGAGAGAGAGAGATCCATGACCCGCTGGATATGGACAAGCAGTACCTGCAGAAGAAGCTTAAAAAGTTTTTTTCCTCAATGGTCTTTTTCCATATGAGTCTGTCCTTGAGGGAATAAATCTTTAAATTCACTTCCCCAGATTCTATTCCTCCCCAGACAATAAATTTCATAAACAAATGGCCCTTCGGCAACTTGACAGCAGAAAGACTCCAGGAGCCAATACTCCCCGAGCCAACAAACAAAATTCTGTTTCAATAATGTCTGTTTTCATCAGATCAAAGTTCAGACTTCTGAACATCTCAGTGGTACCAATTAGCACAGCAGTCTGGCTAAGTTAAACAGATTTCACCAGCAGAATCTAATCCAGAGAGGTGGTGTCACAAGGACAGATGCCAAACTAGGAATATATTGTGGACTGTGCTGATTTGTTGATTTGGAAATTCTGTTTAAACTGTTGATAAAAGCTGATATTCAATCAGTGCAAACTAAAGTTGTGCTGATTAGGAATTTTCTCTCAAATAGCCTGGGAACTCAGAGGTTTCCTTCGGCCAAGGGAATGCATGACAATTTTTTTAAAAACAGCCTCTTCCAGCAGCAAAGCTCTAGAATATATGAATATGATAATGATATAACATTCTAAAAGCAAAATGGCAAAAAGACATATTTTTGGCTCCTGTATCATAAGTCTTTTTTCAAGAGAAAAAGGAGGGAGAGCAGATTGTAAAGGACTTACAAGTGCTTGTCAGACCTTATTTCATCATCGCCTGCAACCTCCTTCAGGAAGGAAGCAGAAAGGGTCTTTCCTAGAAGGAGCAGGTAACTCTCTATTTAATGTGGTTTCCAGGGGCACTGGAGCCTCAAACCCAGGGAGCACCTCCCCAAACTGCTGTCCTAATGCCAAGGCTCCTTCCATGGGGGTCACTCTGCTAAAGGCAGCTGTTCTTGGGAAATGCTGGCTTAAAGCTACTAACATGTAAAGCAGTGATGTCAGAACCTCTCGTGAGAGGCAAAATTGATGATATCGGGCATTCATTATGGGAACTATCTCATTTAATCCTCCAAGCAACTTTATAGAAATGCATGTTTTATTACTATCTTTTTACAGATGAAGAAATGGACAAACACACAAAGATAAAAAGCTCCCTTGGGCTACACAGTTTCAGTTTAAGGCTACATAGGGTTTGAAGAAGCAACAGGGTTGGGAAGCCACAGAGAGCAATGAGCACAGGTAAGTTTTACCTGCTTCACCATTGCCCCTGGGGCTAAGCCCCAGACAAGTCACAAGCACAGCTCTCCCTGTTTTCCCAGTAAGAGAAAGGGGACCCAACAGGGATGGGGTAGGGCGGGGGTGGAGAGCTCCCAGCAAGTAACCTGCAAGGCGGGCACTGGTGGAGTAAGCAAATTGGCTGACAACTTCCCATGCCAAGTCCCAAGGTGAAAAAGAAAGCAACCCCCTGATTCTCGCTTCTTACCTCATGTCATCTGTGGAGGGCTCCCATCCTGTGGACCTTTTTCACTTAAGGCCCAAAGGTTGAGAGAAGCAACAAACAGGAAAGGGATTCCCCATGGGCCTTGCACAGAATCAGACGTTGGCAAACAGAATCAAGTCCAGAACTAAGAATTACAGTACCTGATACTCTCCCCGGGCCTCCTCTCACCCCTATACACCTTAAAAACTGCCCATATGTAACATATTTAGGAACACGAACCATTCTCAGTGTCCTCACTGCCAGGAATTTTCTCTCAGCATCTACACTTTGCTTTGTAACCCTAAGCCAGTTCCACCATGGAAAGCTGCTGGGCACCCTGGATGGGACAGACCAGGAAATTGCTGATTTCACCCTGAGCTCCCTCAGGCTGATGACCCACCTGTGAAGATCTGATACATTGGACCAGAAAGCACTACAACATCCCAGAAATCCAAATGCTCTCCATTAAGGTAGTTCAAGTTCGTGCTGTTAAGTTAATTTGTCCAATTACAAGGAAAACATTTGACTCTGATAGCTCTCTTTGCAACGTCCCATACTTCGAGGGATTAAAATTCCCTCAAATATACCAGAGAGTGTGTGCAGTTTGGCTTCCACTCAAAGGGGTTTAAGAATCCTTTGGCTCAGTCATTTAGCAAACCTTTATTGAGCAACTACTATGTGCCTGGCCCAGGGACCACTGCTGGGCACTTAGCACTCCCCACAGGAGACAGACAAATCATGACAATAGCAAGTGGCCATTTTTCAAAACGAACAGGCATACCTGGCACCATGGGAGCAGAGTGTGGGGTTCAAGGCAGTACACTCTGCTCCACATCGGGGCTGACTTTCTGATGACCCAGAGTCTACTCAGGTTTTATCAGCACTCTGGGGTCCATTTTATACTCAGACTCAAAGTGCATCAGGATGCTTCCCGATAACATGAGCCCATGCCACCCATCACACATCATCACATCTAGGGAAGTCCCCTCAGTGATGGAGGAAGTTGCTTCGGGGACCCTGAGCATGTGCAGTCTGGCTGGGCGGGAGGAGCCATCCCCTCTGCAGTCCTCCCCATGCTGAGACCCAGAGACCTTGAAGGTCATTAAGGGGCCAGAGGACAGTGAGTGCAAGCCAGCTTGCCGGATGCACTAGTCATTCAAGCAGTCACACTTTAATGCAAGAAATATTTCTGCTGTGCCTAGTGTGTGTCAGACATTGCTCTGGAGTTCGGGGCTGAAATAGGACAAATATTACTTCCCCACAGAGCTTACATCCCAACGCAGCAAGTCAGACAACAAATAAGAATAGCAAATGCTATTACTGTGCGCCTGCTCTGCCTGCTTCACATATTTCACCTTCACCACCAGTCTGTGAGGTAGGTGCTATTACTAACCCTCTTTACTGACAAGGAAAATGGGGCACAGAGAAGCTAGGTAATTTCCTCAAGGGAGCTAGCTAGGAAGTGAAGGAGCCATGGATTTAACTTCTGTAAGTAATACAGAGCTCAGTTTTCAAACAACTACACTGCCACAAAATAAATCAGTTGCTTATACATTGTACTACATGATGATATATTCAGGAGAAAAAACATAAGGCAGAGAAGCAGGATAAGGAGGCTGGGGTGCGGTGGGGAGAGTGGGGTGTGTATTTTTAATTACAGTGGCTGGGAAAATCCTCAATATGAAGGATGCACTTGAGCAAAGACTTGAAAGAAGTGAGGGATGTCTTGGGGAAACATCTTGGGGAAGATGTCATGGGGAAGAGCATTCTAGAGTACTTAGAGAAGAGCACTGCAGGTGTCTTGGGGAAGGGCATTCTAGAGTAGACAGCAAGTGCAAAGGCCCCGAGGGCAGCATGCCTGGAGTGTTGAAGGAGTGAAAGTGGAGGGAGAGGGAAGGTAGAATGAGGTGGGATCAGACAGGTAATGGGGCTGGGGGCAATGGGGCACACCATGCAGGACCCTGGAGGAACCTGAGGAGGATGAAGTGGGCTATCCTTTGAATAAGATGGGAAACTGTGGTTGCTATTATGCTTTTAGTCAAACAGTTCCATTCTTCCCCTCTGGCCATACGATAGGATTGCCTGTTTTTGTCCCTTTGAAGCTATATATGGCCATATGACTTGCTCAGCCAACAAAATGAGAGTGGAGGAGATGTGTTCACTTCAGGCAGAAGCTTTAAGAACCATTGTGTGAAATGCGCTGACAGTGTTGCTGCTTTCAGTGACTTCAGGAGTCTCCTTCAGGCTCAGTTCTCAAGGGACTGTGACGAACAGAGCCCTTCTGCTCTACCTCATGGGACATGTGGTTTGAATGAGAAATAAACTTTGTTTGGTGAAGTCACTGAGATGTTGATGTTGCTTGTCACCTGAGCATAATCTAGCTCAAACTGACTGATGCAGAGACCAAGGGAAGGTTTTGGGAAGATAAGTTTTAGCAGGGTCAATCTGGCTGGAACTGGTGTTCAGAATAGACTGAAAGGAGACAAAGTTGGATGCAGAGAGAGCAGTTAAGAGAGTATTGCTATAATCCAGGTGAGAGATGAAGATGATGGTCTATTGGATCATAGTAACATGGGAGGCAATGAGAGGTAATCATGTTCTAGATATTCTAGTGGAACCACTAGGATTTGCAAATGAATCAGATATTAGGTGGAAAAAGAAAAGTCAAAGATAACCTCAAGATTTTCAG
Source organism: Homo sapiens (assembly GCF_000001405.40). Classification (NCBI taxonomy): domain Eukaryota; kingdom Metazoa; phylum Chordata; class Mammalia; order Primates; family Hominidae; genus Homo; species Homo sapiens. Next base: position 115,351,436 of record NC_000001.11, on the reverse strand, counting down.
TGTGGACAACGAGAAGGATAAAAATGCTCTTGAGCCTCCAAACCACCTGCTACACACACACACACACGCACACACATACACGCACACACACACACACACACACACCTTAAAAAGCAAACCGCAAACCCTGTTCCTTATTTGGCAAGCAAAGGAGTTATTCCTCTCGAATAAGCATTGCCCTTTACAGGCAGTTTATGTCAAAATGAACAGACTTATGATAGAGGTTGCCTTATTGTGGATCAATTTATTTTAGCAACTTTCAATTCAAAGAAACCCTTGAAATCATATAGTCCAAGCCACTCATTTTATCTGAAGAAACTGGGGTCCAGGGAGATAAATGATCTTTCCCAGGTTCAAGTAGAAAATGAGTCGAGTTGACATGAAAATGGGTCGAGTTGACATGAAAATGGGTCGAGTTGATATCCAAAGATTCCTGACTGCTAGTGCAGTGCTTTACCTCCCGCCTCATGTCCAGCCTGGACAGGGGATGTTCCTAGGTGTGCATAGGCCTTGGAGGGGATGCAGGGAGGAGAGGAGAGACATTTAAAAGGAGTGTTACCTCCTTCACTGTTTTGTATAGACCCATCCTGAGCAGGCCTTAGCAAATATCTTCCCTTAAGGTTGCAATTACTTCCATCACACTAACCTTGACTTCACTGGTCCTGATCCAAATACCAAACCTGAGAAGAAAAAGTATTAAAAGAAACTAAAAAAATACATCCTGCTCTGTGTGTGTGTGTGTGTGTGTGTGTGTATGTGTGTGTGTGTTTGACACCTACAAAGCATGGAACACATTCAGGTCCCTTCTTCACTTTGTCTTGTTTGGTGTCTTCTTGCCCTGCCAGCTTTGTGCCATTCTTCTTGCAAAGCATTCTTTGAGCTGCTCCGCATGGGTCGGGCACAGCTAGAAACAGACAGTGCCAACACATCTCTTCGTATCCTAGCACAATGTATCTTAGCACACTAACTAGAATCATTTGTATTATGCACTTCTATGACATACTTTAAATTTGCGAGATGCCTGACTATAATTTTTATTATGTTTTTATTATTAGTTTTACCTTTTAAAACAGCTATTTGAAACCATTAACATTGGAACCCTTCTCTGGCTTTTTGCAAACCTTGGACAATGCCCATTTTTAGTGACTATTGTTGTAGACCTGCTCTGAGGTCTAGGGAAGCCAAACCACCTTTTTATAGTCAGTGATTGGAGATTTCCCAGGGATGACAGAGTGGTGAGAGGCAACAAGGAGTTTAGACCTGAATCTCTTCTTCTAAGAAGAAGGCAAAGAATAACCTGAAGAGGAAAATGCTACAAAAGAGAGTCACATTGTTAGAGGCCAAATAGCAATCCTCAGAGCCATCAGCAGCTGGAGGGACAGCTTATAATGTTTACCAGGCCCTAGTATTGGAAAAATGTGTAGAATAAACTGAAATTGTGTTAACTTTTCTTTCTGAAGTTTAAACGAATATCTGCATTACATAAAAGTGCCAAAAAGTATATCAGAGCCTATAAAAATGTTAACTAAGACAGGGTGTTTCCAATGAACTTGTTTTCATTGGAAAAGAAATGTCCCCATAAAAAGACATGCTCTGTGCCTCATTTCTCTATTGAGAGATCTGCAAATACTGCACTTGATGTGCAGGGTAAACCTCCCTTTCTTCCAATACAAACCAATTTTGTCTTTCCCTCCATATGTGCAAGGAGTGTGGTGGAAAGATCACTAAAGCTGCAGTTGGAACAGTGTGACATTGTGTGCTGTTCCTGGACACGCGACCTGTTTCATATATTAACTGCATTCTAAATTCCATTAATGACAATGCCATATGCGCTTTCTTTAGTTTTACCTCCATATATACCTTTATTCCACCTTAACAGATCCCAGCTGTTATTAAAGAACGTGGTTTAAGTCCCATCACAACAAATATTTCTCTACAATGAATGATCCCAAATAATAGCCCATTTCTTGGAATAATTTTACTCAATTCAATTTAATGACTATATTTGAAGACAAATTCTTCCAAGTACTATACTGAATTCAGCTCTGCTGATCAGAGACAAAAAAGAAAGGCTGAATACTCTATGCCGAAGGGCTCAGTATTTGAAATGACAAAATTCCAACGTAACAAAGGAACTGTGGTTATCCCTTGAACTAATACAGGATTCCAAGTGGGAATGGTGGTTTTATCCTATAGATGCTTTAGATTTTATTATTTTCCTTCTTCCATTTCTGCAGCTTTTTGTCAGGGGCCTATAGTTTCTAGGTTCCATTTCCAGGATAGGAGTTCTTCACCTCCAGTTGCTCCTGCCATAACATAGACTTACTTATTTCCAAGGGAGACTGAGGAGGCCTCCTTGTCACTTTAATCAAGTCAATCAGGTCTGACAGTGTGATATTAGCATCGATACCATACAACTGAATTGGGATTTATCTGCACCAAAGTACACATCAGATGCAGAGTTTAAATCAAGCCTTTGCCCCACCCTGTGGCGTTGGTGGCAAAGCAGCCATTTATTTCATCTCTGTCCAGTGGAACTACATCACACATAAGAGCTTTTCTCCTCGGGCTTCTTGTGCAAGCATTTTTTCCCTCACCACAAAATGTTTTTCTTTTTTCAAAAATGAACTTGTTGCTCCAACCAGCTTGGTTTCTGGCTCTGGGTCCAGAACTTGAGGGTAAATGGTGAGGTTGAAATGTGTTTCTAGATTCTGCAGCTTCTAAGTGGTTACCCTTTCCAAACCAGGGTGGGCCCCCTGCAAAACTGTCAAGTTGGCGAAGTCTGCTTCTCCCCCTCATTGCCCCTAGCTTGGTCTGAGCAGAAGGAAATGTGTCTGTGGAATCAAAGGACCCCCTGACTGAGCACTCACCATATGCCAAGAAACATTCCAAAGTCCCTTATCTGCACTGTCATGGTTAAAGCTCTCCATCCGCATCCTTAGCAGGGTTCTTCCACCTCTGAGGAATTCGGTGCTCAGAGAGGTTAAGTAACTTGCCCAGGGTCATAAAGGTAGGAAGTAGCTGAGGCAGGCTGGACTCACATGTAAGATAAAGAAACCTCAACGGCCACAGGCCCAACTCTGTCCCTTTAAAGCCTTCTATCAAACTCCAGCTACATTCTTTAGGCTATGTGGTACAAGGACATGCTATTTTTTAAAAAGACAATGAAGAAAAATTTTTGGCAAAATATATAATTCAGCTTCATAGTCAATATATATATACATATAATTCAAGTTATTCACAGTCGTCCTGTGACAGCAGAAAACCCCAGGTCTCACTTGCTCCCTGGGACTTGAGTTCATTGCTGGAGATGTTGCCATTGTAGGCAGTACAGGGCATACGCTTGCTTGGTGGGACCAGAGAAGCCTGTCTGTCAGGAAAATGCCTTCCCCTAATGCACTTCCTTCTTAATTAAAATAACATTTTGAAAGTAAAATTATACAGTGTGTAGAATAAACAGTACAACAATAGCTGTGATTAATCTGTCATAGATTGTATAATGTGATGCTAATAGGAAGAAATAAACTCCTGCTAAAGATCAAAGTCATCTCTGCACATGGGGAAATTTTAAAATTAGAATGCAGATAAATGAATCTCCAAACTGAAAAAAAAAGAGCTCTGCACTCTGCAGGCTCAAAAAATGAAGGAGAAAAGACAGCCTAAGGACTTCCCACAGCCCAGAGGAGCTGGGAGCCTGAAGAAGGAGTTCTGGTCTGAATCCTCGCCTTCTGTTTTTCCCAAGCATCTGGCAGCCTCTCTTTCTTTAACCTTGTGACAATCACTCAAGCGTCCCTTAGTCTGCCCAAATACTGCTAATCCCATCAGGCTCAGCCCATGAAAAGGCATGTGTGCCTGTGTATGTGTGCTGGGGGGCTGTATGGGTAGAGCATGTGTGCTGGAGCTGTGGTGGAAAAGGAGAGACACCCAAGTCTGTGCTGTGTACTCCCTACAGAGCACTCCCTACACCCTCTCATGTGCCTTACACGCAGGTGTCATTTTCATTTACAAGCATTGGACTCAATGAGCAAAGGGGCTGGAATTAGGAACTCAAATCTTGTGGTTCTAAAGCCTAGGCTTTTTTTGTTTTGTTTTGTTTTGCTTCTCTTGGGGAAAGGTGTGTCCTAAGAAAGTATGATTATCCACAGAAAGGCAAATGAATCTAAGAGTGTGCATGTAAGCATATTGTTAAGCAGCAATTAAGAATGGAATACCTACTGCATGCAGTCATGGTGTTATGTGCTGGGGATGCCAAGGCCCCTGCCACCCCAGAGAGTAGCTTGTAAAGGAGGTGGGGAGGAGAAGGGGGTCAAACGAGCAGATAGGCCTTTATAATACAGTGTGTAGACTGCAGAGTGTTGTGGAGACCCAGTCAGAGGGGATGATGGGGTCACAGAGGAGGACACCTAACCCAGACTTGGGCAGTAAGAAAGTCACATTTGCACTGAAGTCTCAGAAATGAGGTGGAGTTGGCTTAGTGAAGGAAACACAGAGCAGAGAAAGCGTCCCAGGAAGAGGAAGGAGCATGTTGCAAAGGCCCAGAAATGAGATAGAGCATTATTCATGGAAGTCAATACAGTCTGTCTGTGAGCAATCTTAAAACCTAAGCAAAATGATTTCAGGGCCTGCCCATTGACCTTGTATTCTCCCAATTATCTTCTTCACTCCATTTACAAACTATCTCCTCCATCTTTTGAGTTACCTCTGCTGCCCACTGAAATGCAAATACTCCTGCAAGAACCAGTGGACTCCAGTGGTTTCATCTCAAGCCCAGCAAGTATTCTAGGCCATTTACTGAGGGTAGGATTGAGACCTGAAGATGACCTAAGGTCCCCTAGAGCAAGGCAATTTTTGCCAGACTCAGAATTTGGCAGAAGTTGAAGTCCTGCTCGAAGCAAGCCTCTTGTCAAATAAGGGGTGATGCATGTTTCCCATTGGCTCTGTAGCAGCTCAGCCTGTAATTCCACACAACGGAGGCACATCTCCAGTACCTGAAGAGGACCTGGGAACCCCCTACTTGTCCAAAACTGCTGCTTACATAACAGTAGTACAGCTTTGAACTGAGCATGGCTGAAGGGGCACAGCTAAAGGTCATGGTGGAGTTAAATCAGCCAGCACATCTGAGTGACAAAGACAGTCTTCTTAGCTTCTACCATGCTGACAAAAATTGATTTGGTTCTTTAAGAATTTTCCCAATTATTAGTCTGTAAGGTATAGTACTGAGGGCATGAGCTTTGCAGACTGTCTTAGACCATTTGTATTGCTATAAAGGAATATCCAAGGCTGGGCAATTTATAAATAAAAGACATTTATTCAGCTTAGGATTTTGAAAGCTGCACAGGGAGCACAGCACTAGGATTTGCTTCTGGTGAGGACCTCAGGAAGCTTCCACTCATGGTGGAAGGTGAAGGGGGATTGGCATCACATGGGGATAGGAAAAATGCAAGAGAGAGGGGAGGGTGGTACCAGACTCTTTCAAATAATCAGAGCTCATGGAAACTAATAGTGAGGCTTCACTCATTACCGTGAGGACAGCACAGGGCCAGCCATGAAGAATTGTCCCCTTGACTCAAACACCTCCCACCAAGCCCCATCTCCAACATTGGGGATCAAATTTCAACATGAGATTTTGAGGGGACAAATATCCAATCTGTGATATAGATACAGACTAGGTTAGCTATTTGCTAGTTTTGTTCAACATGATTATTCAAACCCTCTGAGCTTAATTTATTCATCCATATGAAATGCATTTGTTGAAAACCTATTATATTTCAGGTATTATGATGGAGTTTAAGGTTCCTGAAAATTTTATAGTTTAGTGGGGATAGCAGATTGTTATTTATTGTACAAATGTGATAAGGAATGCATAGGTATTCTCTTTCACATTTCCCAGTTGTGTGATCCCCCCCGATTCCGCCAGGGGCATATGATTTTCACAGGGTACCCTTGGGACTGTTGCAGCTGGAATGCAAAGGGAAAATGTCCATATACATCTTTAGCAAGACATTTCATAGCGAGACAGTGGTTTTGAAAGTCAGTCATTCTTGTGAAAGAAAAAAAGGGGAAGGGATTCTGAATTTCTTAAACTCTCACAGATTATAAAGAGCCAGGCTTGGAGAGCTTGATCATAGAGTTTTATGGGAAAGGCAAGGTGGTCATCCCCTAGGGTACCCAATTGCTCTCACACTTTGGCCTGCACCTCAAGGTGGAGAGTGAGTATTATAGAAATAAACAGGAAGGAGGGAACCAGGTAACACTGGAGCGAGTGATCTGTTTCCCTGGGTTCTAGCCTCTGGGAGATGCCCCATAGTTGGTATGGTGCCAACATGGTGGACAGTGAGAGTGTGGCTTGATGGGGAGGTAAGTTCTCAGTGGAGACTCTGAGATGATGCTACTGGTTGCCTTCAGCCTGTGTGCAGTGTGCAGAGACAGCTAGCCTCGACATCATTCCTGATCTCCAAACTCCATATGTTGCACATATGTCCTTGAGTATTCCATGGGCCCAGCAAAATCCTAAATTGAAGACCCCTGCTTCCAAGGCCACTACATAGGCCCCACCTCTGGATGCTCCATCTCCATAGCCAGCACCATCATTTACCTGCTCAGGCAAATCAGGAATCCAAAGGGCACCCAGGAGACCCTTTTCTCACCCTACCCCTGCATCCAGCCATTCCCCACTTCCTGATGAATTTACACGCTAAGTTTTGTTTGAATGTCTCCTCTGCATGCTTAGCTCCCCATGCATGGATCAGGCTGCTGCCATCACCGTTCACCCTGACTATAACTACCGGCCCTAGGTGGTCTCTTTGCATTTGGTTTCACCCTTCATTATCCATGCCTTCCTCGACCTTCCCAGTGACTGATCCAGCAGTATCTCCTACCACGTCATGCCCCACCAGTTCTGAATCAGCTGCAGTTTCCCGTACGCAACATACCATCTCACACTTGCACACCTTGGTTAAAAGTGTTCCTTCTGTCTCAAATGATGTCCTTCCCAGCATTCTTCTCCTGGCTCCTACACATGCTTCAAAGCTTATCTTGGGCAATATCTCATTTTAAATGATTTATTGAGCATGTGTTTTGTGCAATATGGAGGGCTGGAGAAGCACCTAGAAAGGGCACTCAGTCTTGACTTGGAGGATCAGGGAAATCACCTGACTAGAAATGTCATTGAAGATTCTCAGAGCTGAGTTTCAGAGGAAGAGGAAATGGACAGGTGAAGGAGTAGGGAGAAGGCTAAAAGTTTTTGAAGCACTGGAAACACCATATAGGACCTGTGGGGCTGGTGCTGCTTGTGAAATGAACTGAAGTAAATTCACCACGGCAGAGGCTAGAGCAAAGAAAAGAAAGTAGCAAGAAAGGAAGATGAAGGGGCTGGAGGAGCCAGATGACACAGAGCCTCGTAAGTCTCTTCAAAGAATATGGAATTTATGCAAAATGCAATGGGATGACAACAAAGGCAAAGCTCTAAGTTGGTTGAATTTCCCATCTCTCCAGCTTCTAGATCCTCCCTTACAGATTTCTTATCAGTTTATGTGTCTGATGCCCCATTGGATAGTAGGTTCCTATATAGCAATAATCATTTCTTCTTGATCTTTGTTTCCTTGTACCTAACACAGATTCTACCCCAGGATAGGATTTTAATAAATGCAGTGAGCTCAGTGTCACCACTGAAGGGACAGAGATCTACCCAGGATGTGGCAGAGCCCATCTATCCCAGACTCCTGCATAGGAGCATCACAAATGAAAGTGTGGGGTTCTTGCCTGCCTCAGCACCACAAAACCTTAATTGTCAACATGATACCATGTGACAGGAAAGAGCAGCTGTGATGCTATGCAGGCAAACTTGATCCCTGGGGAATCCTGCCCCAGAGGTATCTCTTGGGTGGCCCTAATAGGAATGTACCAACTCCAGGGCCAGGGAGGGTTGTATAGTGAGGACCCAGATGGAGGCACACTTGAATTGGCTGTAGGCTCGTGAGGGACACTGAGGGTTTGGCTCAGTGGGAGAGGAGTGAGAGAGCCTCAGGGGACTCTGAAGAAAGCACCAGTGAAAGCCACAGGGTCACCAGGGGTTCTTGTGGAGACCAGTTCCTGTGGAGACTGGAGTCAGACCAGCCTGAAAAGGTGGAGGCTCACAGCTGTTTGAATCGGGACAGCAGAGGAGAGGATCCAGTCCCCAGAGGGCTCACCTGACTCTCCTTGCACCTAAGGAGATCATTGACTTGGTTGGCACTGACTGTGTCTGCATCTGTCTCACTCACCTGCCCTGCAACTCACCAAAATCACAACTGACTTTTATGGGCCTGGCATATAATATACATTAAATAATGCACATTTATTAAATAGGTGACGCAAATTAATATAATTTAAATTCCATGTATCTACTGGGGACTACTAGAGTGGGGAGGAAGGAAATGGGGCAAGGGTTGAAAAACTAACTGTTGGGACTATGCTCACTATCTAGGTGATGAGATCAATCATATCCCAAGTCTCAGCATCAGGCAATATACCCCTGTAACAAACCTGCACATGTGCCCCCTGAATCTAAAGTAAAAGTTGAAATTATTAAAAAATTTAAAAATAAAAAATTCTATGTGTTTATAGGCTGTTTTGTTCATTTGCTGAATCCCCAGCACCTAGAATGGGGCTGGCACGTAGCAGGTGCTTGAAAATTGTTTAACATATTCACTCCATATAATGAAAAGTAATTATTATTATTACGGCTCAAGGAGGGTCAATCTTTCTCCCAAGGACACACCACTTAAGAGGACAGATGGGCTAAATCTTGCCAGTTCCAAACTGGTGACTTTCCTGGGCTGCAGGAAAAGAGCTGAACTGTCCTGGGCCCACGTGGATTTCCTGACCTTTCAAGAATGGGATCTGTGGGGCAGCTGCCTGGCTGAGTTAAGAGCAAGGGCTTTGGATGGAGGGGCTGAGAGTCAGAGGAGAGGCAGAAACACAGTCCTCGCCAGGGCCTGTGCAGATTCGCTGAAACAAGAACCTAGGTAGTGCTTCGCACATAACACTCAAAGTGTTGGTGATTAAAGGAGAGGCCAGAGTTGAAACCATGCTTGGAATTATAAAATTAGTAGAAAAAAACACCTGGAAGAACAAGAGTGGAGGAGAATGTAAAGCCCCAGGACTGAGTTGTGGGAGGCCCATGAGTGCAGAGGGCAGATGAAATCAGAGAGGTGGCTAGTAAGCCAGGATAGTGTGGTCACAGGAGTTCTGAAAGGAAAGTTGTAGACAAAGGAGGTCATGAATAGAGTGGACTAGGACTGTCAAAGTCAGCTGAGCTTGGCTGAAAGGAGGAGGAGGCGTGGCATTTAACAGCAAGGGATTGGGTTCAATTCTCTACTCAGCCGTTTGGCTAGCTATGAGACCTGGGAAGTGACTTACCTCTCAGAGTTTCATCTTATCTACAAATCAATAGGACCAATTAATAAGGCTAGGAAAAATGCCTTGCCCAGTACTTGAAATAAGGCAAGCACTAGATAAATGCTGCTGAGATTGTGTTGGTGTTGGTGGTGTTCTTGCAACTAACGACCTTTAAAAAAAATTATCAGTTTAGTAGGGAGAAAGGAAAGGTAGGGGAGGAAGATGGGAACTTGGTTGCAGAAAGTTTCGGGGAGGGGGTGCCAAGGAAATGATGGGTATAGATTACCTTGCTGAAGAATTTGGTAGTGAATGGAAGCTAAGAAATCCAGAGTTTGGGCTAGCAGTTTCTTTAAGAGAGAAAAGGCAAGTGAATGTTCACAAGCAAAAGCGAGGGAACTAGTAGAGATGGAGGAACTGGAGATCTCAGCGAGAAACAGCAAAAGCCAGGAACAGGCCACAGGAGTAGGCAGGGATAGCCCAGAGGAGAAGGGGGCACCCCTGGCCCTCTCTGCACCCTTGCCTACTTTAGCTCCTTTACCAGCTTTTTCCTGTAGACTGAATTGGTCAGTTTTTCTCCCAGCCTCTTTCAGGGAGTGTAGTAAAAGGAAGGCTTGCTTAGAAGTCAAAAAGCCGGACACTGGCCACGTGTATTTGGCTGAGCCTTTGTCCTTCCTGAGCCCTTGTTTCTTCATCCATAAATAAGGTGGCTGGATTGATCATTTCTGTGATTCTGTGAACATGTCATCTCACTAAGCATTATGAAACATTTCCTCTTCTGAAGTTCTTCTTCACTCTGATTAGAAGGAAGAGGAAAAAAAAGTCTTTAAACGGAAGCTATCACTTCCTCCAGCAATTGGGACAATATTTCTGTGTTTCACATGAAGAACTAGCAGATCCAGTGATTCCATCCTTGCTGGCAGATCTCTGCTGAGCCTGCTGGTGTTTTAAATAGCACATGCACTTTGTCCTGGCCTCCTGGAATGAAGCAAGGGAGAAGCCAGGGGTTTGTGCTAGCTGACTGTTGCTGTTGATGAGGCACTCAATGGCTGCAGCCTTCTAGATCTTCAGAAATAACAACAATTACTGTACACGCCACAATCTCTCCTCCAAGTCAGCAAATGCATCAGCTGCTGGTTATTTTGATACCCTGGATAAAAGGCTCTTTCGAGAAAATCTAGTACAGAAAAACATTCTTATCCTCTGCTTGTCTGCACCATTCCTCTGGCCGCTGCCCTCTCAGCTGTTTTTCATTCCTATGAATGTAGCTGGTCCAGGCCCAGAAGTCCTTCTCTCAATGACCCAAGAGAAGGACATTTCTGTTTGAACCTTCTTGAAAGTGGAAGAGGCAGGGGAAAAGGCACCTGGCTGTGGTCTCTGTGCCAAAGGCAGGCTGATCTGGAACCTGCTGGAAACCAATCCAGTGTTGGTGGGTTGTCTGACAGTCACAAATGACTCTGACCGTTGTTGGATTCAACAAGTATTAACTGAGCACCTACTATAGGCCAGGTCCTATGCTAGGACCTAGGGAAACTGTGATAAACATGGCCAGGGACTAATAATCAAGCCCCCACTAGAACATAAGCTCTCTGAGAGCCGGTACCACTGCCAGCACACAGTGCCTGGCATATGGTAGGCTCTCAATCAATAATCTTTGGAGTATTTTTGTGTTTGTTGTTTACATGTTCTTATTTACTCAAGATCCTTGAAGTCCAGGGACAGAAATAGAGGTAGTTAGGGGCAGAAAGGAGCTCTTATTAAATCAACATGTGCAAGAAGAATATGACCAACAATTTAGGGGGTGAGGATGGAGCATATAAGCAAACTTATAATCTGCTTACATCACTTAAAGTTTCCCCCTTACATACCACATGGAAAAGAACCACAAGTGTCCCAAATCCTTTTGTCCTTCTGAATGATGCCACAAGAACACATACAAATGCTCTGCATTCAACAACCAAATTCTCTGTTATTCTAAAAGTTTAATTTCATACCCAAATTCTCAGGCAGCTATTATGTAAGGCTTGGGGCTAGTGCTTTCCAAACAAGTTTATACATGACATGATTGATGGATGAATTCATCCTGTTATCTGGAAATTCTTTTGTTTAATTGACGATGATAAATTTCCTAATGGATCACCTCGACTATGATACTACTTTTGTAGAAAGGGCCATTCACAGTGTTCCCTGGCCTCTTGCCCTCACTTCCAAAGTGTGTTCATACACCAGCCTGTATCTGAACAAGTCAGAAGTGGACAAGCCTAAGGCTGGGAAACAACAAGGTCACACCAAAGCTAAGGCTGACTTCCAATTCCAGGGCTTTTTGCCTATTTCATCCTTCTCAGAGCATGTGTAAATGGAATGAACTTTCTTATGGGAGCAAACGTGAAAATAGAAAGAAGTAAGACCTCAAGACTAATCTGAATCAAGGGAGTTGGAAATGCCTAGTCAGGGCTTCATCTTGCTCAAGTGCCATCCATTAAGGGTAAATGACCACCCCCAGACTTAGGACAGGAATCATCTGCTTCACTAAATCCCAGTTCCCTGGAGGGTGCCCTTCTGCTAAGTTGCACTGGCTGGTGTTACCAGCAATAGGGAGATTCTGTGCCCCACCTTCCCTCCCTGTTACTCTCCTCACACCTACTTCTCCTCTGTGGCATCCATACAGGGTAGGGGTCCAACCCACCTTTGCTATAGGAAGAAGCGAAGGCACAGACAAGCTCAACACGGGAGGGAGTGGGGCTGTAAATTTCCAAAGAGCTACGAATCCCCTGGAATGCTACAATTAATGATGCACATTTGGTGACAAATTTGACTTCAGGGGTATTTCTCCCTTGCTCATTTTATGCTGGGGTGGGAACAGCCCTGGCAGAGGGGCAGGGGAAAGTCAGGCAAGCTCTCCTGTCAGGCTGAATCGAGGGAACTCAAGAAATTTTGAAGGGTCAGGAAGAATTTGTGTGGGGCCTGGAGTGTGGAGAGGGGGGCATGGGGGCCTAGGGTTTGCTGGCTATATCAGTCTGGGGTCACAGACCCCTTGCAAAACTGATGAAAGCTGCGGACCTTCAGCTCAGAAAAGAATATTAGCATTGCACACAGTCGCGCAAATCAGCCTACAGTTTCAGAGGGGCCAAGGACTCCGGGAAGTTCCTGGAACCCAGGGCCTTAAGTTAAGGTCCCGGCTCTAGCTCCTGACTCCTGAAGTCCTCTGCCCCTTGTCCCCATGCTGGACTTGCCGGGCCTGGGGGCCTTCTAGCTGGTTCTGCAGCCGCCTTCCCTTGTCAGAGGAGCTTGGGCACCTGCCCCTCGCGGAGCTCCCCCTGGGTGCTCACCTATCCTGGGATAAGGAAAGGCGCCCCGAAGAAAAGGAGCAGCCGATGCCTGGGGCACCGAGGGCGACGCCGGGCAGACCAGGGAGGCACTGGCGAAGGGCAACGCGCGGGGGCAGGGCGGAGAGGTGAGGGAAGCTGCGAGCAACTCCGCCCAGCCCCAGCCAGTCGGCCCAACGACCCCTGCCGGTGCCCCAGAAACTCCCCCTCCCGGCTTTGCGCGCGCGGCCCCTCAGACCCCAGTGGGTTTCCCTTTGACCTCTGAAGGTTTAAAGTCCTTCTCTGGCTGGGTCTGGCCAGCCCTCCAGGAGCGATCCGTCTGTAGTCCCCAGGACCCCCTCCAGCCGGGCACCACAGCCCAGCCACAGCAGGTGCGGGGCTGGTGGTGGGGAGGGGAGGGATGGGGGCCAGGATTTGGAGCGTGTGACTCAGGAGTACGGGAGGAGGGGCTAAGAATTCAAGAAGCCTGTGTGAGAGCAGCTCGGCGCTCCGGCACAGCAGAGAGCGCTGGGAGCCGGAGGGGAGCGCAGCGGTGAGTCAGGCTGCCCCGAGCCGATCCCGAGAGGGGCGCAGCGCGGGCGCGGGCAGGGGTGGCTGGGCTTCGCGGGAGAGTTTGCAAGGATACCGGTCTGGCGAGCTCTCTGGTTACCCCCGAGGCTCCCGCAGGCCGAAGAGCAGCCCTGAGAAATGTCCCGAGTGGGTGTGGGGGCGCGGGACCCTCGCGGGAGGACGAGTCGGACCGAGGGAACAGCGTTAGTTCTGGTCGTGGAGTCCCTAGTCCCAGGATGGCCTGCAGTCCAGGGAGCAGCCCTGGCGCCTGCAGAAGCCCACGGCCATGCCAGGGTCTAGCTCGAGGGCTAGAAGTGGATAACGCGCAAGTGAGGGAGAGCGAATGGGCGCGGAGAGGGATGCGCCGGCAGCTGGCGCGCCAGGGCGGGAGGAGTGGCGGCCAGCACCGCGGGGGGAGCGCAGAGCGCGCTGGCTGAGGTGAGCGCCGAGTAGGGAAAGTGCTGCGCGGCCCCCAGGTAGGGGGAGGAGCGGAACGGGGCGCGCTAGACCTGGGGCAGTTCCCTCAGCGCGTCTCGGAAGGGCTGGGAGTCGTGACTGAGGGCCCCGGGGGTTAACGCAGGAAGTCTGCGAGCCAACGCCGGGGTCCGTCCGGCGTACCGGGGCCCTCCACGGAGCCGCGTTGGACAACCTCAGGTAGAGGTCGCCAAGGTTCAGCCCTGCCACTTGGGTCACACGCTTCATCTCCAGCTGTCTGCTGCCAGGTGTGGGAGAAGCGGGCGTGGAAGGTTAGGGCGGGGAGCGCCTTGAGTTCAGGCGAGGAGGATCTAGGGGAGGGAGAGAGGACTCAGGGGTCAGGGAGCTGCAACTTTGAGCCAGCAGAAACAAGCAGCTTAGCTCCCTCTAATTACAAACCTCCTTCTAAAAAAAAAAAAAAAAAAAAAAAAAAAAAAAAAAAAAACAAAAACAAAACAAAAAAAATTTCGAGATTCTTAAGGAAGGTGTTTCGTGCTTGAACTTTTTCTTCTCTTGTGATTTGAGAGATTAAAAAAGAGCCTGCTTGCTAGGCTGGTTTTTCCAAGTTGTTCCAGGTTGGAAGTTGTAACAGTTCGAAGGATAATTTATGAGTGTTTCATGCATTAAAGTGTATTACAGCAAAGCCTTTTGGGTGCTGTGGGTATTAAGGAAAACTTAGTGCACGTTCCCAGCTGGAAACCAAAATAGTGCTCTCCTGGGTGCCTCTGCCCCATCTGTCATCCAAGGCCAATGGAAATCCTGTAGAAAAGTCACTTGATTAATTGTTCTGGCTCCATCCTCTGGGCACACCCACTGCCAGTGCCAGTCCCCTCCTCCCCAATCCATGCACAGCCAGCTGCACTCTGCAAATGCAGAAATGACAGTGGAGACCCCATCAGTAACTTCTCTCCAGGGTCCTCAAACTCTTGAAGCCGTCAGTTAAGTCTGCTGGAAGGGAATCTTTCCCCTTCTCGAGGCAGTGCAGAAGGGCAGCAGCCATTGGCCCCTGCCAGCCCTTCTTATCCTGTGTTTACAGTTTCCTCCTGAATGTCTGAAACTTTCTCCCTCTGCAGAGTCACAGAAGAAAGAAGAAAGGCTGTATCAAACCTGATGGGTCTCTTTTGTTGAATAAGTCATACGTCAACCTGAGCAACCCAAATGTCAATTCATGATGGGCAGTGTTTCCAGAGGGTCAGAGGAGACAGGCGGGTCTGGGGGCTGAGACTGGCCTAGCTGGAATTGACTCACACAGAAAGTGAACATTCCTCTTGTTGAAGGGGGATAGGGTTAATGCCACATGTTGCCAAACTCCTACCCCACTCTTTCCCCAACATCTTTATGCAGGTGAAGGGAAAAAGGAAGCACCAAAAATGGGAAGCCAAGATCACTGGGGCATGAGAACACTAATTTGACAGAAGTATAGGAGCACCTCAGAGGATTTTAGAACCAGCTGCTGGCACCACTGCATTTCCAACAGCAGCCCAGGCCCACCAGAGAAATGAACTGGGCCCACTCAGGGCAGTCATCCCGGTATTGGTGACTCTTTCCCTACTTTTAACCTGTACCAAGGAATGAGGTTCTTGCCTTCTCCTATTGCCCACCCCACAACTCTCCTGCCCCAAGGGCCAGTGGGAGCAAGGAATGAGGCTTCACACTCTCATTCTCTTTCAGGGAGAAATCTGTGCCTTGGACAAGAAGGGGGCCCTGGTTGCCGACATCAGCAGGGAGAGTAGGGTAGGGCAGGGCAGGGCTGGAGCCCGAGGGAAGTTTCTCATCATTACCGAGAATAAACTGATGAAAAAAATCACACAACTTTACTTTTTAAAGAGTGCTGAGCACTCCTGCTGCTCATTGATGGAGTGCTTTACTGCAGTACCCTGCATCAGAGCAGCAGGGAAACTACACAGAGATTCAGCCACTGCTCTTCTCTACTGGGCATGGAGTAGGGCCAAGGCCCAGATCCCCAAGCAGATGTCAGTGCCAGACCTGGGAGCAGAGGCCCAGCCATTTACCTTTTCCAAGTAAGAACTTTCACTGACTTCAGAGTCTAGAGCAAGCCTTAAGAGACCTTTGCTGGCAGCAAATTCTCTGATCTCAGGAAGCAGTGGAAGGTTTGCTGACGGCTTGCATAAAATCTCTGGATATCTGTGTGCAAACAACCCATGCTCCCAGAAAACACCTTTCTGTGACACAGAAAGAGTTCCTGTGTGTTTCTTTCACTAGCTGATCTCACAAACCATCAGCTCTCAGGCTTAGCCAGTTCTGAGAAATCACTTCTGTGGTGGACCATTTTGAGAAAACAGTGTACACTGGCATTGGGTAAATAAATGAGGATGAAAGACCCTTCCCCAATCCATTCCCATGAGACATCGCTTGATAACAGTGGGAAAATAGTTAAGATCCTAACTCCAAATAGCAGTAAGGCCAGGATGATCCTGAGGCTGATATGTGAATGGAGAAACTGAGGCTTTGGGGTCCTCGGTCTTTTATTAGGCTGTGCAGAAGCATAGAAACGTCACTATTTGAGCCGAGGAGAATAAACCTTCAGCCACAAAGTTTAGTGAAGACCAGAAGAATGAAAACATGCAATGGAGAAGACTTTCTGGTGGTTCGTGATGTTTTCATTGCTCCTCTCTGGGCTACTTTACATGCTTTTGAGGCCTCAGACTAGGACACAGTAGGAATCAGATTAAAATGTTAGGATGATCCCTTGATATTCTTCTCCTATATTTTGGGTAAACTTCCTGTTACAGTTTCCTCACTTGTGAGAAAGGAAGGGAAGTAGCTTTGTGACCTTGAGCAAGTCGCTAAGCTTCTCAGGCCTCACTTTCCCAACTCATTAGGCAAGTATATTGGATTTATATTGTTTCTGAATGGAGCTGTCAGCATTTTGGGACAATTCTTGGTTAAGTGTGACCAATCTGCACAGTGCAGATAGTTTAGTATTCCTGCCTCACCTCCTAAATGTCAGAAGTCATAGTGACAACCTCAAATGCCCCTCATAAAGGGCTAAGTGTATTCAAAGATAATGCTGCTCCCAGTTGAGAAGTCTTTTGGAAATTACCAATAAGGGCCCTATTGTTGGGGTTTCTGTGGTTAATCATCAAACTGGGGCTCCAGAAGTCAATTCCTGGGCTTCATCCTCCAAGAGCCAGCAAATCAGACTCTAGGCCACCATCGGCAGGGACCTCAGTGCTGTAGTCCCACCAAGTGTCATCCTTTGCCTTTTGTGAGTGAAGTGGACTACAAATGACCCATGGGAAAAGAAAATCAGAAAGAGTAAGGTGAAGGGACAGGTGCTATTAGAGCATGGCAGCTTCCTACTCTGCCATATGTTATTAAAAACACAGGCAGACTGCATGCCTGTGGAGTCTGCAGCACTGGGAGGAAATCCTTCCCTCCTTTGCTAAGTGGATCACACTCTGGCATCAGGAGGTTCCTTCCCTGAAGCAGAAGCCCCCAACACTGACCGCACTTAATACAACATGAGTGCACATTGACATCGAATTAATACAACTGTGCCCAAGCTGTGAAAATAAATGAGAATTGATAACGTGACATTTCCTTGAAAAAAAGTAGGCTAGCAACACTACACTCGAGGGATGGTGCTTGTGGCACTGGGTTTATTCTCAAGTAGAATAGCTCATTATTCTCACCTCTGCTTCAAGGTCTCATTGGGGGACAGAAAATAGAACTATTTGTTTATTTATAGTACCTAGGGTTAAAATGAATAATGTCTTCAGAGGGTAGGAGGGTATTATAGGAACACATGCTTTCTACTCATGCCCAACTCATTACAAGTAGGAGTGAAAAGGAACTGCAGAGCTTGGCGCTGATTTCAAATGAGGGAAAAAAAAGAAAGAAAAGAAAAGAAAGAGAGAGAGAAGAGAGAAAGAAAGAAAAAGAGAAAGAAAGAAAGAAAAGAAAGGAAGGAATGAAGAAAGAGAGAGAGGGGGGAGGGAGGAAGGAAGAAAGAAAGAAAGAAGGAAAGAAAGAAAAGAAAGAAAGAAAGAAAGAAAGAAAGAAAGAAAGAAAGAAAGAAAGAAAGAAAGAAAGAGAAAGAAAGAAAGTCTTAAGGAGCTCCCTCCCCAAATGAGGTTGATCTGATGATGAAATCTGTCAGGTGGAACTAGCAACAATGCTTTTGAATTGCCTAAGACTGTAGCCAACGCATTCACGTGCGGGAAGTCTTTTTTTTTTTTTTTTTTTTTTTAGTAGTACTATTAGTCAGAGTCAGACAGTCAGGATTTCCCTGAAAATCCACCACTGGGCTAAGCAGATTGAGATGTTTTGGCACTTTTGGCACCGCCTGTGGTGGCTTCTGCAGGTGGAGAGCCCTGCGAATGAAAGAAGCTGGCTATGAAATCAGTGGGAATGAACCACCCAAGTTTCACACAGAAGCCCTTCCACATTGGGCAATTTCAATCCACTACTACAGGAACAGTTTCCCAATAACCACGAAGTATTTGTTGTCAGTACAGATGGGCTGATTTTCCCATTTCCTTTGGCTGCTCCTTCAGTAGTCAGAGTTGGTGGTATAGGTCACCTCCCCTCTGTGTGCAGTTGCTAAGTGAGCCCAGGGAGGATGGTCTCAAGAGCTCAGCCCTTGCCCAGGTTAGGGGGTGGGGGAGACTGTCCTGACTTCAGTTCTTCATCATTACAGATGGATTACAACCCTCATTAGTAATGGAGTGACTTGCATGTCTCACTTGCTCAGTCTAGTGAAATGCCAACCCATTTTTGGATCTGAGCAGACCTGGCTGAGAGGTCAACGATTGAGGTACTGCCTCATCACTATGGATATGTATTGAACCCCCATTGTGTATGAGTGATGCCAAGTGGGACAGGCTCCCTTTGGATTATGGAGAACACTTTCAGAAAAAGAAGTCACACTGTTTCTAGCTGCCTGAGAGGTGCTGGACTAGATAAGCAGGGGGAAGGACGGGGTACTCCAGGAAAGTGGAGACATAGGAGGGCCTCTCCTGTCCCTAAGTTTTCTCATCTGTAAGACAAAGATATTAGTAGTAGCTATGCTGTCATCTGGCTGTTGTGCACATTAAGTGGGAAGGCATAGGCAAAACAGCAGCACAGGCCTGGCATGAGGGGGGCACCAACGAACATGAGCTTCCTCCCCTCACGTTCTCCCTTGGAAGGGCTGATCTGAGGGGAGCCCCCACTTCATAGTTGTTTTTTTTTAATTTCAGGTAGGATAACATCTTTTTTGTATGTTTTTAATGTATCTGTGCATATATAGCTTTTCTGTTTTGGGAGGAGAAATCTTTTTGGTTGCATTGAAGACTTCTCTAGGAATTTACTCACTGATATTTTGACCTTCTGTAGTTAACATTCTCATTTTGATAGAATTTTAACCAAACATTTCATCTTGCGATTTATCTTCGCCTTGTAATGTCTGGGTAAGAGAAGACTCACGGAGGTTCTCCTGTAATTTTCTTTCAGAGGCAAACTTCTCCTCAGACTCTTATTTCAGAAATGTTATGCAATGCTCTCTAAATAAGGCATTTCTTGAGAATGACCATGTTTGCTTGCAGCTTTAAGAATGTTTTGCTTCCTTACTCCACGTAACAACTCCTCTGTGTCTTTAGGATTTTAAATGTCTTAGGAATTCTTCAAGTTTACAAGAAAAGAAAGAGAAAGTGAATTTTGCTATGGCAGTGGGGCATTTCTGCTCTCCCAGACCAAGAGCCAAGGGTTAAGCAGCTGTTGCTGAATTACATAGAACCTGTGGTTAAAGGGGAAGATTGTCCTCGCCCCACAGGGGAGGGGGCCCACCATGTATGAGGCTACTGGATAGATTTTCTTCTCTCAATTAGCATCCTTATTAATATGCTACCTGGGACACTGGGCACTCTGGGGACTCAAAATAAATATAAATCATGATCCTGCCCCAAGGAGCTTGCTCAGGAGTCATAACTAAAAGGCTTAGTGGCTCATGAGAGAATATAAATGAGCTGAGGCCAGAGATTGCTGGGGCTGTGAAAAACTAGAGAGGCTATGCCTCATTGTTAAGGGACAGGCCAACCATTGCTGTAAAGGATTATAGGTCCAATACAGATCTCTTCAAGAACTTTTCAAGAAAAGCCAAAACTTTGAGACTGAAAAGCCAAAACTCTGAAATTTCTTCACTTTCCACACATGGGTACAGACCAAACAAAATTTGTCTGCAGGCTTTTTAATCTTCTTATGTGAATTAACACATGGAGCAATTGCAAGCAGTATCAAAACTGGAACTAGTGGAAGTACTAATTCTGTGAATATATGACCTCCAAGAGGGACAGGTCTGGATGTCAAGAAGGCTTTCAGGGAGGCTCCTCGGAGGGCAGTGAGGGGCTGTCCCATAGGCAGGTAGGATTTTACAGGAGTCCTGGCACACAGATAGAACTGGATTTAGGTCCAAGTTCACTTCTCATTAGCTCTGTGAGCACATTACTTAACCCCTGTAAGCCTCAGTTTCTTCATCTGTAAAAGGGAATCATGATGCCAACTGATTTTTGAGGGCAATTGTGAAGGGGAAAGGAGAGAGTGCTGGAAAGTTCTTACCTCAGAGTCTGGAATATAGCCAATGCCCAGTAAGCTGAGGCCCCTTCCCGATGTGGACCCCCTCATTGACATTGCAGACAATTGCTTTTCAAGGATTTTGAATTGCTTTTTCTGCCCCAGGAAAAGCACAGGAGGTCTGGGTTATTTTTCTCCTCTGCTGCCCTCTTCTTGCTTCTCCCCGAGGCCTGTGGCTGCTTGCCCAGTTGCCCTTTGTCAGAATCCCACCCTTTAAAAGCCTGACCTGGGCCACAGCAGAAATCACAACCCTACTCAGTAAGGAGAAGTACTCCAGGAGGCTGTATAGACACGCACGGCAAATATTTAAGGAATTCTTAGGAATAAAAAAAATTCGTAAATCTGGATTTTTGCATGAGGCCATCACAGGAACATGTTTTCTCAATTAGCGTGCACATTGCTTGGAGTGAAGTCACCGAGTCCACAGCCCATCAGGGCTGACTCGAGCTGAGCCACCTGATCAGACTTCACTTTCCATGACCTAAATGTGATTCAACCAACCTGCCACTGCCCCTAGCTGCTGAAACAAAATCATCCCTGAAATCCCAAACCAGGGTGGAGATGTACATGCTCCTCTGAAAAGCAATCTAATTTCAGATCCTGGTTGTATTCACCCCAAATTGAGAAAGACAGCACTACTCTGGAGGGTGGATTGATAGAGTCACCACAACACCTTGCATGTTTCTTTTCTTTTACCATTTATTGTTAGATGGCGACTGTGTGTAGCCTTTCAGAACAGATGACTTCTTTAGGTTCTGAAAACAGAGAAAATAGTTTCTTTTGCTAAAGCATACATCAATTGCCTAAAATATTAGCAGTCAGTGCCTGAGATGAGTGATTATATATTCTGGATGGTTTCCTGGACTGACTCTTTTCCAAGCAAATGGCTTTGTCAGATATTTGTAATTTCTGAAATATTTTATTAATGATGTCCTCTTGCCAGAGGGATGGTCCAGAGTACACAATTAGCTGCATGCCTCAGAAGCGAGATGCTGCCCAGCATCCACTAAGATCAAGCAGGAGTTCAAGGACACTTCTAATCAACTGCCATAGAGCAGAGAACAGAAAATGTTTTTACAAGTTGAAGGCCGGGTGTGTGGCCCATGCCTGTAATCCCAGCACTTAGGGGGCTGAGGCGGGAGGATCACTTGAGGACAGGAGTTTAAGGCCATCCTGAGCAACAAAGTGAGACCCCATCTGTACAAAAATAAAAATAAAAAAATTAGCCAGGCATGGTGACATACACCTGTAAGTCCTAGCTACTAAGCAGATTAAGGTGGGAGAATCACTTGAGCCCAGAAGGTTGAGGCTGCAGTGAGCCATGATCATGCCACTGCACTCTAGCCTGGGCAAGATAAGTGAGACCCTGCCTCCAAAAAAAAAAAAAAAAAAAAAGAAAGAAAGAAAAAAGAAAACAAAATACAGGTTGTGAAATCAACTTAGTGTGCAACTCTCATTAGGGAAAAAAATGAAAGAGCATAGAGTAACATTTTCAAAAATTAATATGCATTGGATATAGCAAGGGAAAATTTTTATGAAACTTTTGTTTTAGTTGTACTGTATGTATGTACATATACATATATATGCAAACTGGCTCATGATGGAAAATGCATTTTTTTTACTATAAGTCATAGTCAAAAAAAGTGTGAAAGCCACTGGCATAGACAACAGCATGATTTCGAACAGCGGATGGCTCTGAAGCCAGGCAAGCTTGGGGTTAAGTCCCAACTCTGTGATTTGCAGTTGTGTGATCTTGGGTAACTTTTGTTCTCTAAGCAACAATGTCCTCATCTGTAAGGTGAGACTAGTTTCTCTCTTGTATAGCTGTTGTGTAGATTAAGTGACAAAGTGTATGAAGTACATCTGTGAAGTACATACATAGATGTATGAAGTACATACTATGAAGTTCTGTGCCTGCCACCAAGGACACCCTCAGTAAGTGAGAGCTGCTGTCATCATCTGCCTTCCCCTTGCCCATTCCTCCTCCTTCTCTTCTTCCTCTCCTTCTCTTCTTCTTCCTCCTCCTCTTCTTTTCCCTTCTCCCTTCCTCTTTCTACTTCCTTCTCCTCTTCTTTTCCTCTTCTACCTCTTCCTCTTCCCTCTTTCTTATCTTCATTGTAACTACTCAACCTCATCAGAACTATTGACAATGTTTTTATCCCTAAGGTTTGCTTTTTCTCTGGCAAACACAGCAAAGAAGCAACAATAATCGTATCCTGTCTTTGGCCCCACCTTCTGCACTGTCTTTCTCCCATTTCATGCTTGCAAAGCCATCTTTCTTTGATTCTCTTCCCCAAGCATGACCATAACAGTAATTGTCCAAGGGGCACAAGACATCCTCCTCCCTGTCACTGGGCACTGACATTGGGTAGCATGGCCTTTCATGGCCTTGCCACTGGGGTAAACGCTTTGGTCCTAGTGTGGGTTCAGTGACTTTGGCAGGAGCTTCTGATCCCACAAAATCATATCCTTCCCCTTCAGTATATTTTTATAAGAACAACAGGGCTAAGATACCATTAAAATGTTGATATTGTCAAAATTCTAAAGAAGTTTCTGCCCAGAGCAGAGAGTCTAACATTTTCTCCTGAGCGAGGCTCCAGGCTGCCACAATGCAGAGGGTTTCAATTTCTCCCCTGGTATAAACAGTTTAAAGGCTCTTAATGTGAATGCTGGAGCTGACACCTTCAGGTAAACCCTGATCCTAACTCCAGCCCTCAACCCAATGGGCAATCTATCACTGACCTCAGACCTTTGGTTCCCAGTGGAGGGCACATGAAAGAGTGACCCACACCAAGATTCTACCTTAGGGCCACAAAGGTGACATGTCCCAATTTTCTTGAGAGCCTGGCTAATGTAGCCTCTGAGGACAGATCAGTGATGACAAACTGCCTACCTCTTAGTTCTCATGGAAGCTTAGCCTGCCCCCATTCTGTATTCACCCTTGTTCCCCCAGGGCTCATTCCAACTCTCTCCCTAGTAAAATGCCCTCCCACTGGGCCCCATTTTCACCGCTAGTACTCAGAGAGGATTATTAGTGACATCTCCTCTCAAATGCTGAATTCCTGTCCAGACCAAAGATTTAATGCTGCTTTTTAGGCAGCTAAGATATCTCTATTTGAGGTTGCAAGGTAGTGGGACAGAAGGCGAGAAAAGAGACCTGCTTCTAGGGATAATGTTCATCTTTTTAAGTGTATCCTCTTCTCTCCACCGCTTATTCCACTATTGCCTGTAAAATTAATGTCGCCAAGCCAGTTGTCCATTTCAAATAATATTTATAGCAGAAGAGAGACATTTGTCACATCATGCCCTGCCCCCACCTCCCAAGCAGGTGAATGATATTGAGCCAAGCACCAGGGAGCTGGAGTGGACTGCAAACAAGCCAGCAGAGAGATGTTTAAATTCATTGCTGTTGCACCTGTTTTTAAAGGAAAAAGCAAAGGCTGACTTACTTTTTTTGTGCTGAAAAGGTGGCGGGGAGAGTGTATTTCCACCCTTTCTGAAAATTGCAATGACAAATGGAATCAATTGCCCCTGAAATGACACACCACTAAGAATGTTTCTTACGCATGAAACGAATTACCTTTCCTTTCACCTGTGTTCAAGAGTGTTGTGTTTGTGTTTTCACAGGGAAAGTGTGAACACTAGAAATGTTTTCATTTTCTGTTTTGAAGAGGTCAGACTCCAAAGCTTGACTTCAGATTTCATGCCCATGTGTCAGCATCTCTGTGTCTTGGAAATGAAAGAAAATATTTTGGGGGTGGGGTTTTCAAGTGCTGTTTTTGAACTTTTCCAAAAAAGAGCAGGAGATGTCAGAAAGCAGAGAGCTTCATAAAGCAACACAAATATGTTTCAAAGGTTCTTTTTAAAGCATCTTTATGATTAAGCCAAAAAATAATAATTTTAAGTTGACATGGTGCACAAAATGTTCATCTTCCAGTCATTTTGACTTCTTAAACGACTATGAACCTATTACAGAATTCTGACCGGCAATACTGGTGTTTAGAAAAGTTTGTTTGTATCTTCTTTCTTTTATGGTTTGGGAAAGTTATTATGTAAGAAATAAAAACTAATGGCTAAGTCAGGGATAGATTATTTCAGCTCAGTAATACCTAGATTTAGGAGATGAGGAATTTATTCCTGATTCAGAATCTTACTAGTGGTATAATTTAGGCAAATTACAGAACCTCTCTGAGCCTCTGTTTCTTAATCTGGAAAATGAGAATAATGCTACTTCCCCTGCATATCTATTAGGGCTGTTGCACTGGATATGGTTGATGGATGGGGAAACATCTTGGTTGTAGACACAGAAGGTAAGATGGGAAAACCTGGACCAGGAGTGTGAAACTCCAGGTGCTCGTGCTGGTTCTGGCCTTAGTTGCATGAGGGATCTTGACAGTCACTTGCCCTGGTATTGAGCAGTTCTGGCTCCTCCTGGTCCATTCCAAACGCAGTAGCAGATGTAGATGCACTCACATAAACTTGAGCAGAGATGAGGTATTCCTGCCATGGTCAGAATGGAGGTCTGTGCCAGGCATTGAGCGGAACCTTGTGAGGCAGAGGCCAAGAACACCACAGAAAAAGCATGAATGTGGAAACAGGCTTTCCAAGGTTCCAGTCCCAGGAGTCGTGCTTAAAGTGCATGTGATGGAAAGCGAGTTGCTATAGTGCCCTCATTTTCAGTTTCTTCGGCTATAAAGTGGTATCAGTACCACTTATTTCTTAAAGATTAACCAAGGTGGCTTTTGCTCAATCGTTTGGTTGTCTAAAACTTGGATATAGTACCTTATAGTAGTTCAGTACCATTGCCACCACCATTGAACACAAACGAATGCCTGAGGAGCTCCCCAACTACTCAGTCTAAGGCAGATGTAACAACAGTGCCAGGACACCTCAGGAATACACATGTCCCTGTCTCTTCTCCTAATGTCCCTTCTCCCTCATTAGTCCTCCTCCCTGGCCTCGTTTGCTGGCTTCTCCTTATTCTCTGAACCTCTAAATATGGTGTGCCCTAGAGCTCAGCTTTCCTTTCTAGATCGCCCTCTTCCTGGATGATCTCATCCTCCCCAGGCATGAGCTACGATCTACGACTTCCGGATGTTCATTTCCAGCCTGGATCTCTCCCCTGGGCCCCAGACTCTTATATTCTACTGGCATGTCTACTTGGATGTCTAAAGGACATCTCAAATTTAGAATTTTTTTTAACCCCCAAGCTACTTTTCTCCTAGTCTTCTCTACTTTAGATAATGACATAATTATTCCCACAGAGTAATCTAGAAACCATACTTGATTCTGCCTTCCCTCTCACCTTTTATATCCAATTCACCAGCAAGTTTGTTGGCTTCACCCTCAAAATGTAGTCAGAATCCAATCACTTCTTATAGTCCACTGCTCCCTCTTTAATCTGGGCCAGGGTCACCTCTCATCTAGACCTCTTCCTGCATCTCCTGCCTCTGCTGTTGTTTTTCTTTTAGGCCAACAGCAGCCAGAGTGCCCTTTAAAAATGTAAATTGCAATGGTTTTTCCCAGCTCTGAGCCTCCCATGGATTTCCATTATATGTAGAATGAAATTATCTTGCCATGGCTTTTGTTCAGTGGTTCTTAAATGAAGGTGATTTTTCTCCTAGGGGACATTTGGCAATATCTGTGACCACCTCATTTCTGTGGTCATAAAGGGGGTGGTGGAGGCTTCAGGGGTGTTACTGGCAGCCAGTAACAACATGCACAAAACAACATGCACAGCAAAACAACATGCACAGGACAAGCACCTGCAACAAAAAAATCATCTGACCCAAAATGTTGATAGTTCTGGGGTGGAGGAAATCTGCCTTATACGATCTGGACCCTGACTGTCTCCAGCATCTTAATCGCTCCTCCCGTTGTGGTTGTGTGGTGACCACACTGACCTTTTTGCAATGTCTTCAACATGCCAACCTTGTTACTGTCCTGGGGCCTTCGCACTCACTGTTTGCTCTATTTGGGACACTCCTACCCACAGATCTTCACATGGTTAGCTTCTGATCGACATTTTTAGGTCTGCTATCACCTCTTGATCATTCTAATCTAAATATCTATCCTACCCCCACCAAGTCCTGCCACTCTATTCCCCCATCCTGCCTTACTTATTTTTTAATACTTAATTTTATGATTTGTTTTCTTATTTTATTATCTGTCTCCTCCACAAGAACATATGAATGAGGGCAGGAACTTTGCTGTGTTTATTGAGGGACCCATTCATCATGTAGTAGGAGCTCTATAAGTCTTTGTCAAATGAGTAATTCAACAAATAATTGACAAGGATAGCACAGACACAGCCTATGACAGAATGTTAGGAGAAGAGATCAGCGGGATCTAGCATTTCAGGGAATGCTTTCTGGCGTAGACCAGCCATGGGCTGCCCTGTGAGTTTCCGGAGTACCCCACTCCTCCAGATGAGCTAGCCCTAAAATGGAGAAGGGCTTCCTCTCAAGCATATATGCACCCACAGTAGCCCTCTTGTAGAGACAGCTGTGGATTTTAATCTGTGATAGGACAGAGACCCAAGCTGAAGGGCTCAGGGGTCCAGGCTCTGATGGAAGAGAGGAATCAGGAAAGAAAGTGAGTAGGAGAGAAGCAGGGCCAGGAAAGAGAAGCCGAAGCTCAGGTTGGCTCAGGTCAGGAATGGAGCCCAGTATAGAGGGAAGGGAGGGGCCAGGGAAGGACAGCTCCAGAAGAAAATCTCTAGGTTGGCTCATCCTGGGGTGAAGAGCCAATTGAGGAAGCTATGAACTGGAAGGCAGATAAGGGACAAAATCAAACCTTTCATGTAGCCTGGCAGAGACTGAGTCCTGTTTAGACATAGTGACCCATATAGAGCCGGTACCACATGAGAAACATGACATTATGACACACACAGTTAGTTCCAGGACAGTCTTGATTCCAAATGCTCTGACCCGTCATCAAACATTGATCTTGTCCTTCAGTTTTAGAAAATCATGACAGTAACACCACATGTAACAGTGCTTAGCAATGCCAGGTGATGGGTGGGTGTTCACCTCCATCCAGGTGAGCCCCTTGTACCATCTCAAAATAATGATGTTGATGTCCAGTTCTTAAGGGAGATGAAGCGAGCAGGGCAGGTCATAGATCATATTTCCAAGGTCCCGGGATTCCAGGTTATACAAATTCTGGGGTTTGCAGATCACACAGTCTCCCACAGGAGAGGGATGCCTGGTGGCATGTACACAGCTCTGGCCATCCTGTCACTGTTTCCAAGAGAAAGGGTATGGTCAGGGTCTGTGCCCTCAGGGCCACCTCAGGACACTTACTCATAACTCTGGTTCGTTTTGCTGCCTGGATCCTTCTGAGGAGATGACTACATGTGATTAGCTGGCCAACACCTCATTTTATTAGTCTGTTTTAAAGTTTTAAAGTAACACACCTAAGATGCAGGCAGCTTACTCCAACCTAGCAAAAATGTCATTATGAAAATTTACAAGGTCTACAGAGTGATATAATGGTGATGAAATTCAGATGTGTCAAATTACCCTCATGTTTAATTTAGCCTGACTCAGTCCATAGAAATATGGATTTTCCCACAGATGTAGTCTCATAGCTGCCTGGGCACTGTGTGCTTTGCAGGGCTGAGGCTATGATAAGGTTGCCTGTCCCACAGCCTCAGAAGTCATAAAACAGCCTGTGCTGACCATCCCTTCCTGCTTCCTTAGAGAGCTGCTGACAGGCCACTTTGTCTTTTCATTCACAAAACCCATCTGCCAACTGGTCTTTGGGATCCCCTTCCATCATTAGGTCCTCTTCTTGGTGGACACAGATTTGGTACTCTCAAACTTCTGCTCCATTGAAGCATGATCTCTGGATCTTCATTCCTACTAAGAAATACAGGGCTGATGAAGGCTCAGACCCATACTCATCCCAGGGGCAGATTCTAAGCAGCTGTCAAGTTCTCTCAGTTAGAAAGGTAATAAATGCCACTCAGCAACAATGGAACAAGCAAAAGCCTGGCCCTGGTCCTTCCTTCTTGCTAGCAATGTGACTTTCAATAACTTGTACAAACTCCCTCTGATTCTCAGCTTCCTGAATTGTAAAACCAGAATAATAATAATACTCCCTTATAAAGTAGTGATTGTAAAAAGAGAACATATGTAACACTTAGCACTGTGTTTGGCACATAAAAGCTGTTCAACAAATGGTAGCTATCCTCATTATATTATTAAAATCTTGGGAAGTAAGATTTCAGACATCAGTCAATGACTCATGGAAATGTTTTAGAGCTTGAGGTCTTTGCAAAGTGAGAGGGCAGGAGAGTGGAGTCCCATGCAAGGAATGCAGAAGGTCGTCGCCATGGCATCATGGTGACTGACCACTCATTTGTGGGCTAAGCCCCATTAAGCCAGCTGCAAAATGGGGGTAATAAAAATGTTGCTATAATTATTAAATATAGCAATGCTTATAAAATGGTTAACATAGTTCCGGGCACACAAGCCTCAAAAACTTTAGAGTTGTTGTTATCACAACCAGTCTTCCCTTGCTAGCTCCTCTGTCATCTCTTTACGCTGGTCAAGCCACTATTTAGACAGGTCCAACCTGGGTTCCTAAGGCACTATTTCACAATTTAGGGGGGGACAGTGCAGCCCCCACCCTAAAGGTCTCTTAGTGTCAGAGGGCATTTATAGCCTCCAAAAATCACTCCCACAGATTTCTGGGGCCCACTCCTTGTAGCCTCCAGGTGGCTTTGTCACATGTAAAGGCAATGTCATGCTATGCACAGAAAGGGAACAGCCCCTTTCCTTTCTTACCATGGGCCTGGAGTTGGTCCCACCTGGCTGTCACCCTACATTCCTGGGATGGTCATGAAAGCAAGGGATTTGTACCCCCTGAAAGGAATTTATTCAGCACCATCAAAGAGCAAGGCGCCCAGACTTAGCTTTTGCCATGGGCCCTGCCAGAAAGTGCTGGGCAGGGACAGAAAAGAAATTCCAGAGACAAGGTTTCTCTAGTGTCCTTGGACTTGGGGAGAAGCAAATTGTAGGGTTGTCTCATTTATGATCAAAGGTACCAAAACTTTATAAAATGCCGTGAGGATATTTTGTCTGTGTTCCTAAGCAAACAGAAAAATGGAGAAACATTTTGGGTCCACCAAAATTGGTAGTTAGGATGAACTCTTACTGCAAGGGCCACGTCTATCTCAAGCTAATTCTGCAGCAAGTATGACTGCGTCCTCACTGTGTGCATGCACTACTCTGGGCTTTTGGGGGCTGTAAGAACATTTAAGACTTACACCTGCCCATAAGGGGCTTGCCATCTGTTTGGTGCTTCTTATTTCAGTTTTAATTACAAGGAAGACTTTAGCCTTTTGGGAAAAGAATCACTAGGATGAATCTAATACTACAGAGCTGGCTGTCAGGCAGATTCTTTTATGACCCTGTGGCCTTGGACATGAAAAGGAAATGAAAACATTTTATTATAAGGTTTCTTCTCCCCTCCTGCATGCTCTATCATCTGCCCTTGGCTATGACACACACACACACACACACACACACACACACACACACACACACACACACACATCCCATACACACATCATGCAAAAGTGGAGCCATTTCTGAGGCAACGGCAAACATTAAAGAACTGCAGTCCTTTCGGACTCAAAAATCCATAGAATCCTAGTGTTGAAAGAATAATGGGAAATAATTCAGTCCTTTTGTTTATAATAAATGCAAAAAAAGAAGGAAAAAAACCCAAAAAGCTGGTGGATGAAGTTCCTTGATTAAAAATCACAGTGTTAGTAACAGCCCACCCAGCCCAGGGCTCAGTTCATTTCTTCCTTCCATTCTTTCATCAACTATTTATGAAGCACCAACATCATACCAGGAGCTGTGCTAGCCACTGGTGATACAACAGTGGAAAAAACCATACATAGTTCTCTCCCTCCTGACGGGGCTTACAGACTAGCCAGGAAGATAATCAGTCAGCACACAAAGAAATGGCCATTTCCACGTGCTAAGTGTCATGAAGGAGAGTTCCACGTGCTGGTCCATACTGCATCTTAGTGGGCAGAGCAGGCTTCCTGGAAGAAGGGATGATTCATCTGAGGTCTGAAAAGTGGGCAGGAGAAGGAGAGGAAGGATGCTCCAAAGATAAAGAGAGGTCCTCCAGAAAATGTCTCACATAGTGGCGGACTGCAGCCAGCTCACACAGGCTCACCCCTGCTCCACCGTAAGCTTCTCTTCCCAACTCCACTCCCAGTGAGGCCACACTTCTAACCTGGAATTGGCCACACTACGGATAATCACACAGCAGAAAGTAGCAGATGCTCCAAATTAGGGCTTCCACCTCCTTCTGCTTTGTAGAGCCATTTTTTACCAACACTTCATGGGCTTCATATACAGTGGTCACCCCCTTAGCTGTGGTTTCACTTTCCAAAGTTTCAGTTACCTGGGATCAGTTGTGGTCCGAAAATATTAAATGGTAAATTTCAGAAATAAAGAGTTTATGTTTTAAATTGTGCGCCATTCTGAATAGTGTGATGATATATTGCGCCATCCCACTTTTTCTGCCCGGAACGTGAATCATCCCTTTGTCTGCTCTCTAGGCTACCTGCCCCTTAGTCACTTAGTAGCCTGCTTGGTTGTCAGATTGACTGTCACTCATTACCCACTTAGTCGCTGGTTTGGTTATCAGATGGACTGTTTCAGTATGGCAGTGCTTGTATTCAAGTAGACCTTATTTTACTTGATAATGGCCCCAAAGCACAAGAGTAGGGATGCTGGCATTTTCTTATAATTGTTCTATTTTATTGTTATTGTTTTTTATCTCTTACTGTGCCTAATGTATAAATTAAATTTTATCATAGGTTATGTAGGTTTGGGGAAAAAAACATAGTGTATATAGGATTTGGCACTATTTACACTGGGGGTCTTGGAACATATCCCCTGTGGGTAAAGAGCAACTATTGTATTCCACCTGTTTTCAGGCTGAGGGTGACACAAACACTGCCCTTTAAGCCACCAAAGGCCTGGTCCTTCTCCTGCAAAAACTCTACCAAATGCCTATTCCCAGAAAGGCACTGTCAACAAGTGACTTGGACCTTGGGGCTGTTTATTTCAGACCCTGGGCCATCTGGATTCTCCCAGGATCCAGAACGTCCGCATGAGTTAATACCAGGCAGCTAAGAAAGAGCCTGTTCTTGTGGTCTTCGCCACCCCCTTGCCATCTAATGATATTTATCAACCACCCACGCCTGCCCAGTGCTGTATAAGACACTTGGCCAGGCAGATCTCAAGTCAGGCTTTGACCCCTCAGGAATTCAGGGCCTGGCTGAGGCTGCTAGGCTGACATTGTTCTTCCTTAATATAAGGAAAAACTCAGGCCACTGGGGGCACAAGAACGAGGGCTGGGTGCCCAGCTGAGGGCATGGTTTAGGAGATGGTACTGCTGCAATTTTTTGTTTGTTTCTAGGCACCAGAAATGCCAGGTGAGTAGGGGTCAGAGTTCATACTATGTATGATTTTGTCAAGTTTTAAAAACAACTGATGCTACCACCCTTGTACCCGCACTACCATTCCACTTCTCCAAAGAAATTTGCCAAAAGAAAAGGTGAGTTTTGAGTTCTACTAAGTCTGTTAGGAAGCAAGGATGAGCAGCCATCCCAGAGGCGAGGGTTTTGCAGTAGCAGTGTCTTTGTTTCCAAACTGTGTGTGTACAGGTGTGTACATGAGTATGTGTGTGTGCGAGTACATGTACACATGTGTGTGTGCTTATGTGTGTATGAGCATGTGTTTGTGGGTGTGTGTCTGCAGTGCATACAGAATGTGGAGAGCAACAGTGTCTGTGCAGTGGTGCAGGGTGCGAAGGAAGCAGCCAGACAAGGCTATGAGATGGAGAATCTTGAAGAAGAAGGCCAGTCACCGGGTCTGGTTAAGAAAAGAAACCAGGCATCCTGGATGGACAGAATTCCCTTCTCTCTGGTCATCTCTCAGCTCCAGAAGGGAGTGAGTGACTCTCATTCTTGGCCCATGCTGGAGAAGACACTGTGGAACGCAACCACTTACTATGCTGACCTTTAGTCAGACTTAAATGCTGAATAAGACCTGTATGTCTCCCCACCAGGACGCTAGTGAGAGCCAGGCAGGAACATACAGAGTTTGAATCTGGGGAGTCCCATGAAGCCATTCAACAGCATCTGTCCATAGCCCTGCTGTAAGCTACACTTGGGCCAACAGTGTGTCTCCAGGAAGCTTCCACCCAAAAGCAAGAATGAGAAGTGATTTGGGTGGCATTGCCAGCTATTGATGGCTAGTCTTGAATTCATTCTGATTGTCAGCTGCATGTTTGGGAGTGGGGAGCAGGTAGGAGTGGGCTCAGGGGAAATGCTCTCGGAAGGGCTTACTGTTGGGAGAGTAGGGACAAGCAGGTGGGCTGCCAGGGAGGTGGGGATGTGGTGATGCAGAAAGTTGCTATTTGAAGGCTCTACATAGAGTAGAGAAGTAACAACAAAGAAGAGAGGTGGCTGGAGATCACAGAGTATATAGGGGTGGAGGCTGGTGCTGGGTGAGCAGACAGACTGTTGGAAGGTGGGTGGACATGAAGATGGCCCTTGGCTGCTTTGCAGAGAAGTTTTGCCCCCTCCCAGGTCTTGCTTCCTCCTTCGCCCTATGCTGTGGCCTGTCGGCACAGCTCACATGCTACTCCTTTTCCTGACACTGCCTTGGAGCCTGGGGTTATCCATTGACCCCATCCCCACCGCTGGCAAAGTATAATTTGAGGGTCCTGGCCCAGACAGTGAGAGTCAGTGAGAAAGCCTGGAGGGGAAGCACTGTCCAATTCTCGGTAGAGGGACTGTGGGCAGTCACCATTAAAGCTGTGCAGGTTGTGTCCTGTCTAGGGCATCTAGCTAAGGGGATGAGCAGGGGCTCAGCTCACCAAACCATGCCCCTGGCAAGGAGCGGCCTCTGCCTAAGAAAGGGGCATTTCTTCTAATTCACATGAAGCTTCCTTAGGACTTAGCTTCAGCCCCCATTCTGGGAGCCCCTGCAGGCCATGGAAGGGAGGCCCCAAGAGAGAATCGAAAGGCCAGAAAATGAGAGAGAGCATATACAGTGGGGTCCCACTGGAGGGGGCAGCCTTTGGAACAGGGAAAGGTGAAGACCAATATTAGCCACTTTACAAGTCACCGAGAGCTAGCCCGGGGCTATCATTTTACTACACTGAAATGCTTGTGGTCTGAAGATGAAGGAATGTTTTCCTTATTAACATTGAAATACTTAACTTGTTTATGTTATTATGCTCATTGTGTAAACATTGTTCAATAAAACATCTTATTGCTGATAATTTTCCAAATGTTACAGTAAACACGGGACTCCTGCCAGCGGCAGGGATGCATTTCAAGTTACACAGTGAGCAAGGTGTTTGCTTTGCTGCCAGAGTCACTTGACTAAGGTCTCCTGACTGTAGCTTGGCCGCAACTTCTTATCAATCCCAGGTGAAGAGCGCTCTGATAAAGAGCAAATTATTCTCTGTGGTCAGATCCCCAAATACGTGGGTGACAAACACAGTGGCATTGTTTCCTTGACTGAATCTTGTTTTCCATGTGTGGGAGGAATTCCAGACTTGAGAATTCTGCATCCAGACTTCATAGATTTCTTTTTTCTAATTGAGACAACACAACTAATGATAAAGAACAATACCAGCCTGGCTTTTAAGCTCCAAAAGGCTCTGGGTCAAAACCTGACCTCCATAGGAATTGGAGAGGGTCCAACAGCAACTACTCTCTTCTATTGTCAAGCTAGACCGTGGGCTTCTGCAGACTAACTTTCCATTGGCTTCTGGAGCATGGAGACAGAGCAGATGTGCCTGCCTGCTAATGTGCTGTAGGATGGAACTGCTTGCCCAGCTTATTGAAATCAGATGCACAACACTCGAGCTGCCCTGCAAACAGATGGTGGCTCCACGCAAGCGCCATCACATTGGAAAATTACAAGGGCCATGACTCCATCCCCTCTCCACCATGCAAAACTGCATTTTTTTTTTTTTTACCAACTGGGTAAGAGAAAGTCCTTCTCTTCTCCATACATCCACTCTGAGGGGCCAGGCGCTTGTGAAATATAGCACTTCTAGATCGCTAAAGTAATATGAAAATTTGAATACCATGGACAATTCTGGAAGGATGTACCCTAAATATTAATATTCATTATCTCTGAGTAGGAGGGAATTGGAATTAAAAAGCAGCATGGCATATCTGGACTTGTACACACTTCTTTGAGAAAATTACACCCAATTCCCAAATAGTATTCAACTTGTCAGAAACAAATTCTGAGATTGTTTGGAAATTCTTTTTTAATATGCAATATCCCTTAACAAAATTTTATCTTAAAATTCTAGATAAGCAACTATTTCAATTGGTCTAAATTTTAAGTTTAATCTAAATTATATTGAATTTCTTTGAGAATTTCTAGGTTAAAACTGTAATCTGAGTAAAACATTAAGTTAGAGTAAGTTTGTTGGTTGATTTTGGATATTTACATAAGCAAACATGTATATATAGCTTCAGTTTCCTCCTCTGTGCAAAGCTCTATTCATAGGGCTATTATGAGCATTAAGTGAGATCATCCATTTAAAGTATTTACCATAATACCTGACTATACAAGATATATAAGAAATTGTAGCTATCATTAGCTATATAATTTTCATTTTTCTTTTAAAGATGACACCAATTTCTGCAAAAAAAACAAGTGGACAATCAACAAGGAGATATCAATTGGCTTATTTTCTGAATAGATGTGAGTGTAAAACAAACATCCAGGGCCCCTACTCAAGTCCTCCAGCCCACATTGGCTCTTAGATCTCTTCCCAGCCAGCCCTAGATGTAATGAATGCTAATTTGGTGTGGCAGGAGTTTAGGACTAGAAGAGAACTTAGAGATAACCAGTCTGGGTGGTGAGATTGAGCCCAAATGGGTGATGACTTCCCCATGTCACAGAGCAGCAAAGACAAGACTCTAGGGCCCTGACTGCTCCTCTTTTCACTCCGACAGATGGTCTCTCTGGTTGATATATAATGACATTGACTCCCGCTATTGCCTTTTACTACATTGTGATATCACACAGCACATAGCACAGCCCTGGGTGCATAGTAGGTACCTGATGAATGGTTTGCTTAATCCGCTGATGTGCCAAGTGTATGCTTGACAATCTAAGAGACAGGAAGTCAAATAAGACAGAATACCTTCGGGAGGCTTCAAGAGACTGACAAGGAAAGTCACAGCAGGGGACAAGGGGGTCTTAGAAATGGGAAATTTGTTTAACTTCCTCGACAGTACAATGAGAGTCAGAAGTCGAATCACGTAATGAACCTCAGCGAGCTCGTTCTTCGTACTCCCTATGCCAGACAAGTCCCAATGCTACTACATATTTACCAAATGTACATTTATAGCCCTTGACCTCTCCCCTAACTCTACATGTCTATATCAACTGCCTATTCAAATTTTCCATGTGTATGTCCAATATAAGGTATCTCAAATATAGCTATCTCAGTATATAGGTATCTCAAATTTGACACTTTCAAACCTAAACTCTTGATTCTGCCTTCAATCCTGTTCCTCCTTCAGTGTTCTCCATCTCAGTAAATCTCACCTCCTTTCAGCTGGGTGCCAAAAAGCTTGGCGTCATCCTCGATCCCCCTGTTCCCTCACTCCTGCACATCA
The DNA here is from genome assembly GCF_000001405.40 of Homo sapiens. Classification (NCBI taxonomy): domain Eukaryota; kingdom Metazoa; phylum Chordata; class Mammalia; order Primates; family Hominidae; genus Homo; species Homo sapiens. Next base: position 115,315,442 of record NC_000001.11, on the reverse strand, counting down.
CAGTCTGTCAGGAAGTCCTTTTGACCCTATTCCTCCAATATATCCCACTTCCATTGTCTTCTCACCTCTGCTACATTGCCATGAGGCCCCAGACCATCACCTCCCACCTGGATAATTGCAGGAGCTGCCTAACTGATCTTCCGGTTTCTCTTCTTGGTCCCCATTGTGTGTGCTCAGCCACAGTGTTCCTCTTAAAATATATCCAGTCATGTTGCTTTCTGCTAAAAATCTTCTAATGGCTTCCCATCTCCATAGAAATAAAGTCCAAACTCACCAGGGTCCATAAAGCCCTACAAAAGCTGGTTCCAGTTTCCCCTCAGCTGTCATCTCCTAAAACTCTGCCCCAGCCACAGGGGCAGGTTTGCTGTTTTCAGCCAAGCAGGTTCTTGCCTCAGGACCTCACACTGGCCATCCACTCTGCCTGGAATGTCCTTCCCACATTTCTGCATAGCTTTCTCCCACACTTCATTCAGGTCTCTTTGTAAACATTGCCTCATCAGAAAGACCTTTCCTGACCAAACTAGCGCCTCAACTTATAATTCCAAAACACTTACTGTGCTTTATTTCTTCCAGCACTTATCACCAACGGACATTTCCTGTTAATTTGTTATTTGTCTTCTGTCCACCTCCACGAGAATTTAAGCTCCCTGAGAGCAAGAATTTTTCTGTTCTGTTCACGACTATATCCCCAGTATCTAGAATAGTGCTTTGGTGCATAATAGTTGCTCAATATCTAGTTGCTAAACAAGTGAATCAACAATAAACTTTCATTCTGTATTTCAGCTTAGCTGTTTGTGTGCTTATCTATTAACCCCTACTAGGCAGGTCTTATTCATCTGTAATTCCTGCAGTTCCAGGCATGGTGCACCTGCACAGAACAGGTGCTCATTAAGTGTGTGTTGAATTAAGTTGAGCAATTACCAAGCACTAGCCACAGATTTTGTGACTTAAATCCAGTTCATATCATCTACAAGAAGCGTGCCCAAAGGGTTTGTTAATTTTTCTGAGAGATAGTCCCAATGTTTCATTAGAACTTAGGCAGCAGCTCTGGGAAGAAGTAGCCACACAAATAGAGCTTTGTGTGATGAGGAAAACAGGGAGGTGCAATCCCAGTCAGAGCTGTTAGAAGCAACCCTTTGCCAGGCCTGAGCATGCAAAGCCAAGCTCTGGGGAGAGCAACAGAAGGGTCGATTGGATCCAAGCCAAAAGGTCACAGAGTCTGTCTTGGAGGGGAAGGGTACGCCATGTGTCACAGAACCGTGTAGACAAACTACAGCAAGTCAGACACACCAAGATTTTTGCTCCTGTTTATTTCTGCTACACTTCTACAGAATCAAACCACTTGGTTCCTTGACTTTGGAATTGTGTCCATTTGTTTAAGGTAATGGACTGGGGTCTTCCACCATGCCACCCTCAGGACCCGCATCCTGAAGTCCTGGTATAGGCTGTGCTATAATGTGGTCTTTTTAATAACTGGCTCTTTTGGAAGGAGTTCAGGTGCAGCCTGAGTTGTACCAATTTCAGGGTTATAAGTGGGGCTAGAACATGACACAATGTACTAGGAATTATTTTACAAATTTATCTTAAAATCAAAGCTACTTGCAAAAATGGATTTAGCTCTGCCCTCAACTGTTTCCTCAGGCTCAAATGTTTAAATAGAAATAATTCACAAAATATGTCACTGTCTGCTTATATTTTATCCTCATGGCAATAGAATGTTACTCAACTCCCCAGGTCACTATCAATTATTTTTAAACTGCTTTGCCTTTTACTAAAAACTCTTTAGTATCTGGAAGATTTGTTTCAAAAGCTGATCAGAAAACAAACAATTATGCATTTCAAAGATTTATTAAACTAAAAAAGAAAAAGCTTTTAATAAAGAAACTTACTATGATGAGTATTTCGCTTTTACCTTTTTAGTGGGTTGGTGCCCATAAGTGATCCTTGTCATTGCAAACTATGCCAGGAAACCCTCCAAAATTAAAGCAAGTGCAGATTTACATAAAAACAAACAACAGCTGTCCCAGTTCATCTAAGGGTCTGGGCCAGCAGCCTGCTGAGAATTCATCAAGCCCAATTGAGCAGTTCAAGGCAAAAGACATTTAAAAAATAAAAGTACAAGCCCCTTGGGAATATTAAGAAAAGACAACTCCAAAGATTTTCAAAGATGTGCATCCAAGGCTCAAACCATTACAACAGACCAAAGTAGTACTCTCTAAACCAGAGGTGCAAAATGGCCACTTATGAAAGCTACTATGTGAAACATCAAAAGTATTCAGGTCTTTCCTTCACACATGACTGGCTTAGAGGGACAGAACTTTCTTTTTCCTCTCTCTATAAAATTCCCAAACCACAGTTTTATGGGCTCTATTATACCAATTTTCAAAGCATTGGTCAACTCAAAATGCCATTTTCTTTGGATGGTTTAGATGATTCTCAATACATTTTTGGTATATTGATTCAAATAAATGTTACCAAATCCTCAGTAAAAAATGTTTCCATGGTGAAATAAGTATGATCTCAAACAAATGAAATCTTAGAGATTCCCAATGCATGTGGAGAGCTCTGAGTAAAGAAAGCTGTTTCTAATCCAACAGTTCCCAAATATGTTTGACCATGGAATCTTCTTTTTACTAACCCCTTTTGATGTTCCAGGGGTGGGAAACACTGATTTAAACATTTCTGTGACTTCAAGGTCAATATTAAGGTCTATTTCCTATTGAGATCATTCATTCACCTATTAAGTAGACATTTTGTTAGTTGGCTTGTACAGGCCAGGCTCTCTACCTAGACACCAAGGCAAATAAAAAGAAAGTGCTAAGATCCAGCAACTCTGGTATCTGTCAAGGTAAAGCAAAAGACAAAAATGTACATAAATATCAGCATTTTCATGTGATACAGGCTTCTGTGACCCCTCCATTGCTGACAGTATGTACAGCAAAATTTATATCCCAAGTTGTTCACTAAATATTTCCTGTGCCTTTGTCGTGTCACTTCTGCTATATTGTTTATTACTTAAAAACAAAGCTCATGCCTTATACTTGTCTAGTATTCTCTGTGGTACCTAGCATGGGATTGGACACACAGTAGGTCATCCAATGAATACTGGTTGATTGACTGATTAAGGACCAAACTAGATAATCACTTGAGTCCTTTTCAGTTTTGCAGTTCTAAGAGTCTTTTTCAAATATTGGTACAATCTTGTGCCTACAAAATTACGGTGAACCACAAAGTATTGAATAATTCATTAGCTCTAGTTTACCAAGAGATGTCTTAATGCCACAAAAGTCACAAAATTAATGCATGCTGCCCCACCAAATAGACAAGCAACAGCAAACTAAAGCAATTTACTCTCTACTTATAGACACAACTTAAGTGTTAGAACTTAAAATTTAGTGATTTGACCTTGTAATCAGAGAACAGTCAAGTTCTGATTTTACATATGGGAATCCTGGGAATCAAGTGAACATTTAGCTATTCATTGTAGAATTTAATACAGATTAGGGTTAGCCACAATTGGTAACACTTGGGGAGTTGTTAATTTCTTGCTGGCAATTTCACTGTAACTTCCTTTCATAAATTTCAGATTTAAACTTAGTGTTGTCATCCAGATCTTATGCACATTTATTTGATTTACATATGCTGAGTGGCTCCTAATTGTATGCTCAGTAAACAGACAGCACCTCTGATGCTTTATGTATTTGAGAATTCTTCAGAGCCACAGAAACTTAATTTTGTAAGTAAACAAGGAAGTGAATTTAGTGAGGATAAATTACATTAGGCTTTATTAAGATATGGCAGGATTTCTCAGCCTCTGTACTACTGGCATATTGGGCCAGATGATTCTGTGCTGTGGGAGGCAGTCCTGTGCATTATAGCAAGTGTGCATCATCCTTAGCCTCTACCCACTGGATGCCAGTAGCACCCCTCCTACCCCCTTACCAAAAATGTCTCTAGACATCGCCAAATGTCCCTTGTGGGAGAAGTGGCAGAAATTAAATTTCTGTGGCTCTGAGGAATTCTCAAATACAT